>NC_000008.11:30163132-30466163 GCF_000001405.40 Homo sapiens | reverse complement strand
TAGTATTTGCTGTAAGTGACAGTTATTGGCTGACACAATCTGTAGAATAACCAAATTCATACCCTGATTTAGGGCCTATGGAAACCAGGGTCCCTTTGCCAAGGTGATCACAAAGTTTTTGGTAGGATAATGGGAAGAAGGAAGACTAATGGGAGCACAGGTGGAAGAGAGAAGAACAATGATGTTCCATAATTCATAAGGCAGGACCTGAGCACTGCTCAGACATGTTCAGAGAATACGGACAGCAAGTTAGCACTGGGTATACCACACCACTATGTTCAATCTTTGAGGAGCCAATCCCAGCCCAATCCAATGCTGACTTCTAATCAGAATGTTTCCTAAGCTCTAATTCTGATAGGACTTTTTTCTTCTTTTCAGACAAAGTCTCACTTTGTCACCCACGCTGGAGTGCAGTGGCACGATTTCGGCACACTGCAACCTCCACCTCTCCCAGGTTCAAGCGATTCTCCTACCTCAGCCTCCCAAGTAGCTGGGATTACAGGCGCCTGCCATCACACCTGGCTAATTTTTGTATTTTTGGCAGAGACAGGGTTTCGCCATGTTGGCCAGGCTGGTCTCAAACTCCTGACCTCAGGTAATCCACCTGCCTCAGCCTCTCAAAGCGCTGGGATTACAGGCGTGAGCCACTGTGCCCCGCCTGATAGGACTTCTTAAGAAGCAAACTCCAACTCAGGCCATTCCTCATGTCTGCCATATATCTAAAAGGAAAAGAGAAAAAGTGAGAATTCCTAGGATTTTAAGCTGCCAAAGTATAGGCAAGAGAAGTGTCTGCACATGTGAACACTTAACCTCATTATTAAGAAATTCCCTTAGTACTGTCAGACACAGAAGGAGGGAGGTATATCAGATACAAATCAAGAATTTAATGTGTGAATTAGGCTAGACAGGAAACTAGATATATGTGTGTATACATGAGAGAACTTAACCTTGATATTAGGAAATTCACTGAATGCTGTCAAATAAGAAACATGGTTGTCAAATCCTTAGAGTTCAACAAGAAGTTCCTTATAAAGGCAGGATGCTTCATCCCTTAACTCTGGTCCTGTTCTTACTCCATCCTCTAGTTCTTCTAACTAATTTTTAGGTGGCTTGCTCTATTTCAACCCTAGTCAGCCTATGAAATGTTACTTTTCATACAATTTCACTGCATACACTGCTAAAACATTAAGTTTTTAAATGTATACATCAGTCCAATGTATTATGAACATAAAGTTGCATTCTAATGCCCTAAGGTGTACATGCCCTTACGGTTTCACCCTAAGTACCCTGAAGTTTAATGTCAAAATGATCACCACAATAAAGACTTTTCCATGGACTGACAAAATGAAATACAAGCACAGAATATGAAAAAGATCTTATCAAAATTCTAAGACCTCTCTTCCTTTCTCTTTTTGCATAATCTGGGTGACTCATTTTACAAAACAGATTTGTTCAAAGAAACAAGTCATTTCACATCTCTCAAACTACCTAGTTAAAACTAACCCAGACAACACAGAGTTCATGGTCATTTAAAGTACCAGGAAGAAAAAACAGACATTGGCAGTTTACAGTTTCAACATTGCCCAGGACTCTCAAGTATTTATTGCTTTTGATATTAGCAGTAGACAAACTCTATCTGAGGAACTTCATCCCATTGCCAACTTCAGTTTACAATGCATTCTTAAAACTATGCAATATGCTTCTAACAATTAGAGAAGGTGTGAACTAGAAAGCTGGGGTGGGGGGAGGTTTATTTCCCAATATTTAGTTATCAGAAATTACCCAATATATAGTTTAAATTCCTTGGTGCCAGGTCAGTTAGTTCACCTTTAAATTGAAAGTTCTTTCCCATATGATGGTGAGCATCCCAGTACTTGGCAGGAGGTGATCAGTATCTATCAACTAAATGAGTGAATGTAAAAATTGAGTCAAAGTACTAAACCAGATATAAAAGAGAGGGCCGTATCATTCATGAATATCTAGATATGAACACGTAAATATGAAGAAAGTCATTATAACTTTTTTTATTTTAAAGAAACGGGTTGCACTGGCACAATCATAGCTCACTGCAGCCTCAACCTCCTTGGCTCAAAAAGATCCTCCTGCCTAAGCCTGTCAAGTAGCTAAGACAACAGGTATTCACAGCGGGCCTGGCTAATTTTTTTGTTTTCTGTATTTGTAGAAATGAGGTCTCCCTATGTTGCCTAGACTGGTCTTGAACTGTTGGGATCAAGTGATCCACCCACCTCCACCTCCCCAAGTCCTGGGATTACAGGCTTGGGCCACCAAACCTTGTGAGTTCGAATATGCATTCAAGAGGTTAAGTGCTCAAAGCATGTGGTTCACAGAACAACCAAAAACACATGGAGTCTGCTGGGATTCAAATCCAGGTTCTGCAACTCACAAGGTATGCACTTGGACAAATCACTTAACCTTTCCCTTCCTAAGTTTCCTCATATTAAACTATGTCCACAATTTCTTTGATATTCCTCCCTTAAAGAAGTGGAGCTTAATCCCCTTCACCTTTAGCATGGCTTCACTTAAGTGATTCGCTTCTAGTGAGCAGAGTATGGCAGAAGTGACAGTGTATGACTTCTAAGACTGCATCAAAAAAGGTATTCTGGCTTCTTTAGCAGAAGCAGCTCTTGAATTACTCACTCTGAGTGAAGCCAGTTGTCATGTTGTGATAATATTTTAACCCGATGGGGTGGTCCACGTGATGAGTAACAGAGGCCTCTGGCCAAAAGCCATGTGAGTGAGCCATCTTAGAAGCAGATCTCCCACGCCTAGTCAAGTCTTCAGATGACCGCAGCCCCAGCTAAAATGTTGTGATTCCAACCTTATGACCCTGAGCTAGATCCACCTAGCCAAGCTGCTCCTAAATAACTGTTAAGCTGGTAAATTTGGGGTAATTTGCTACATAGTTTTTGCAAGGATTAAATGAGTTAACTACATGCAATGTGCATAGATTTCAATGCTTGGTTCATAGTAAGGGCTCAGAAAAATGTTATCTATTATAAGGTGGCTTACAATGTTCACAAAAAAGATGCATTTTCATGTACCAAAGGCAATCCTAAGAGAAGGTGCATGTGATGGTATTATCATGCAACTGTTATACACAGGCTTGAGGTGGGCAAGAGAGAAAGTAAGTCTGCATCCTAAAAGGAACCAATGCATAACTCAAAGTAGAAGCATTTTTCGTATTACGGACCCCAATAGTATGACTCAAAATCTCTTCATTACCATCACTCTGTCTACCTTTGTAAAAGGCCGCGGGCAAATTTCACTCTGGCCAGCACCCCACCATCATGCTCCTCATGCATCCTTCCAAAATCCATTTCTTAGATCTCAGTCAACTTTTGGCCCATCAGGAAAATCTCTGTCTCTCTTTATATTCCATTTTTGAGATTAAAAACAACAACAACAACAAAAAATCAGGCCAGGCACAGTGGCTCACGTCTGTGATCCCAGCACTTTGGGAGGCTGGGATGGCCGATCACTTGAGGTCAGGAGTTCGAGACCAGCCTGGCAGACATGGTGCATGGTGAAACCTCGTCTCTACTAAAAATACAAAAATTAGCTGGGCGTGGTGGTGGAGGCCTATAATCCCAGCTACTCGGGAGGCTGAGGCAGAACCACTTGAACCCAGGAGGAGGAGGTTGGAGTGAGCCGAGATTGCACCATTACACTCTAGCCTGGGTGACAGAGCAAGACCCTGTCTCCAAAAAACAAACAAACAAACAAAAAAGTATAATGTTACTTAATTTTATAATATTCCTGTTTGTTTAATCATCACTTTTTATTGTAGTATATGGTATTTTAGCTACTTTATATTTACATTAAAATCCATACCTGATTGTATCTCATATGATACAAAAACAATGATAACACTGGTTATGGCAAAGATGCAGAGAAACAGAATCTTTCACATATATTGCTGTTGGGAATGCAAAAAGGTACAACCACACTAGAAAACAGGTTCTAATCAAACTACACAATTTCCAAACAATCTAGCAGTTGTACCCTTGGGCACCTATTCCAAAGAAATAAAAACTCATGTTCACACAAAAACCTGAATGGTTAAACAAATTAGATATATCCATAACATGGGATACTAATCAGCAATGAGAATAAATAAACTACTAATACAAGCAACAACTTGAACGACTCTCAAGGGAATTACACTAAGTAAAAAAAGCCAATCTCTAAAGATTACATAAGGCATAATCCCACTTATCTACTCAAAAGCAACCTCAGAGATCTCTGTAGTGGGGACTTGTTCTGTAACTTGACTGTGGTGGTGGATCCATGAACACACACATATAATAAAACTTCACAGAAACAAAATTAGTGGATTATATCAACTTCTTGATTGTGACATTGTGCTACAGTTTTCTAAGATGTTACTACAGGCAGAAACTAGGCAAAGGGCACAAGTGATCTCTCTGTATTCTTAGAACTGTACATGAGGCCGGGTGCGGTGGCTCACACCTGTAATCCCAGCACTTTGGGAGGTCAAGGCGGGTGGAACACGAGGTCAGGAGATCAAGACTATCCTGGCTAACATGGTGAAACCCTGTCTCTACTAAAAAATACAAAAAATTAGCAGGGCGTGGTGGCACGCGCCTGTAGTTCCAGCTACTCAGGAGGCTGAGGCAGGAGAATCACTTGAACCCAGGAGGCAGAGGTTGCAGTGAGCCGAGATTGGGCCACTGAACTCCAGCCTGGGCGACAGGGCGAGGCTTCATCTCCCAAAAACAAACAAACAAACACACTGTATGTGAAACTACAATGAGGTCAAATTTAAAAGTTTAGTTAAGCAAATTTCAGTATACGTTAAATAAACTTAAATATTTAAAAATGTTGAAGAAAAATTGTCCCTAAAAGTTATCAAGTCACTTTTTATAAGGGGCCTATTTAGATTATATAAATCACTTCTTTATGATGCCATAATCCTGTCAGGAATAAATAATTATATCAACATCAATGAAGAGATTGGTATCAGTTGGTAAAGCTAGGCAGTAGAAGCTATGTAGTTAGGGGTGCATATGCATTTTTACTTTAAAGTCCCACCAGAAGACTGGTCTTTTTCCCGTTAATTTCTTTTTTTTTTTTTTCAGATGGGGTCTGTCACCCAGGCTGGAATGCAGTGGTGTGATCTCGGCTCACTACAAACTCCACCTACCAGACTCAAGAGATCCTCCCCCACCTCAGCTTCCCAAGTGGCTGGGACCACAAGTATATGCCACCATGCCTGGCTAATTTTTTGTGTTTTTGGTAGAGAAATACAAAATGTCAAAACATTTATCGAACTCCTGAGCTCAAGTGATCCACCCACCTCAGCCTCCCAAAGTGCTGGGATTACAGGCGTGAGCCACCACACCCAGCTCCATTAATTTTAATTGACTAGATTCAATAATCTAAAAGGCAATAAAATAAACACGACCCTTTAAAAAGAGAGGTTTCAACTTATAATTTTCCTGATTTGTTTAATCACTACTTTTTACGGTAGTATAAGAAATCTTAGCTATAGTCTCCTTTAATATCTATACTTAATTCCAGATATATCTGATGTAATATAGAAAATAAATAGCAATAATATAAATGTAAAATATTTTGAAGCTAATACCAGGAAAAAGACTAAGAGTGTCAAGCCTAGGGACGTTCACAGAGCATAGATGTATATGTAGGCTAACAGGGCTTTGGTGAGCTCTCTACTAAGAACCATCCACTTTTCTAAAACTGTTTCTACAGAAAAAAATCCATCCAGCCACTATTTAAAACACCACATGGCTGAAATACAAGTTTTTAGAACACAACCTATTTTACATTAGTGCCTTTCTCTAATTCGCAAACTAGTTTACTTAACACTATAAAGCCCAGTGCTGATAATGAGTACTTCCAGTAAAAAAGCAAACTTCCATTTTAAAGTTTAGATATTTTTAAGTTTGGATTTTTAGTTTAGATTAGCTTTTCCAATTGTTTGCATTTCAAATTTCAGAATACATTCAGTACATTTAGGCTACAATTAATATGCCCCATCCTACTTAGTACTCTCCACCAAAGACATATTTGTTTAATCTGATAACCACCTAATTATGTCTGTTAACCATTTATGTGGTTGCATGAATCAAGTCAATATTAAGTTTATATGTTGCTTATATGCATGTGTAACTATGTAAAGAGACACAGATCTTACAAGTCTTGCTATGATGTACAACTAGCAATGTTATGTGCCTGCTGGAAACAACAAAAGACAACAAATGTGAGAGGAAAAAAAGGGCGAGGTTTGTGGTTGAGAAATAATCTAGGTTAACATGATTATATGTACTTTTAAATTGATCTAAAATATTTTTTAAAGTTTATTGAGCTATTTAATCTGGCACTGTATAAATTTTTAATGACTATAATGGGAGGAAAAGACCATTAAATTGAGGAGTGTGGCTTAAATCATGTTTCTGTTTTAGAACAAACTGTTGAGGGCTTAGGGACTGACCTTGTTGGGTCTCAATTTCCTTATTTATGAAATGAAAGTGTACAAGGGTTGATCTCCAAGTTCCATTCCAACTCCAAAGGTATAATGAAAGGCTTTTGTTAAAAGCATAGAGGTCACCGAACACCAGGTGGGAAGACCTACTTCTTGCCATTGAGAACCTGTCAATCGAGCCACTTTTCACCACATATTTATATTTATTTAAACTGTACAATCTATTTATGTTTCATGTAATAATTAAAATAGAATGAAGCTGGGCACAGTGTTCATGCCTGTAGTCCCAGCTACTCAGGAGGCTGAGGTAGGAGGATCACTTGAGCACACGAGTTCAAGGAAAGCCTGAGCAACAGAGATCTCATTATTTAAAAACAAAAAACAAAAAAAAACCACAAACAAAACCAAAAAAAACCACTGGGGGCAGTGGCTCATGCCTGTAATCCAAGCACTTTGGGAGGCCAAGATGGGAGGATCACTTGAGGTCAGGAGTTCGAGACCAGCCTGGCCAATATGGTGAAATCCTGTCTCCACTAAAAATACAAAAACTAGCCGGGTGTGGTGGCACGCCTGTAATCCCAGCTACTTAGGAGGCTGAGGCACGAGAATCGCTTGAACCCAGGAGGTGGCGGTTGCAGTGAGCGGAGATCGTGCCACTGCACCCCAGCTTGGGTGACAAGAGTGAGACTCCGTCTCAAAAAAAAAAAAAAAAAGCCAACATGCTGGGTGTGGTGGCTCATGCCTATAATCTCATCACTTCGGGAGGCAACAAAGTGAGACCCTATCTTTACAAAAGCTAGCTCTGGATGTGGTGGCCCATGCCTTTGGTCCCAGATACACAGGAGACTGAGGCAGGAGGATCAACTGAGCCCAGGAGGTTGAGGCTGCAGTGAGCCATGTTTGCACCACTGCACTCCAGCCTGAGTGACAGTGAGATCCCGTCTCAAAAAACAGTGTCTGAGGCCACAAATTTAAAGAATTTAGCACAGAATTGTCAGTGCAAAACAAGGGAAATGGACTACAGAATTACTGATGTGCAACCAGTTCATCACAGACACTGACCTAACAGCCATGACTAAATCTATTTGTTTTTGTTTTTTGTTTTTTTTTTCTTGTGAAAGAATTACTCAGTAGAGAATAGTGTTAAAGCATATAAACTGTAGAGCCAGACTGCCTGGGTTTGAATCCCAGCTCCAACACCAATTAGCTGAGCAATCTTGGACCAACTATTAATTAAATGAGTGCTTTAGTGTCATCTGCAAAATAGGAAGGATAACAAAACCTACCTCTCAGGGTTGCTAAGAGGAATAAATCAGTGAATATTTGTAGAACATTCAGAAAAGTACCTGACAGAGAGACTAAGTAGGACCCAAGGTTTTTTTGTTAAACAAATTCAGTAGGCCCTTGCTATCTGTGAGTTCCACATCATGGATTCAACCAACCACAGATCAAAAATATTCTGAGGAAAAAAAATGCATCTGTAGTGAACATGTACAGACTTTTTTAGGTCATCATTCCCTAAACATTATAGTATACCTATTTACATAGCATTTATATCATATTAGCTATTGTAAGTAACCTAGAGATGATTCAAATGTACAGGAGGATGTGCATAGGTTATATGCAAATACCATGCCCATTTTATATCAGAGACTTGGGCATCCAGGTTTTGGTATCCTCAGAAGTCCTGGAACCGATCCCCCCACAAATACTGAGGGATGAATATATAAACTCCTCAAATGCTACCTTGTTACACTTTCTGCTAGCAGGGACAGAAAAAATACTTAAAGAATATAAATCAAGGCTAGGGCGGTGGCTCACGCCTGTAATCCCAGCACTTTGGGAGGCTGAGGTGGGCAGATCACGAGGTCAGGAGTTTGAGACCAGCCTGACCAAAATGGTGAAACCCCGTCTCTACTAAAAATTAGCTGGGTGTGGTGGTGTGCGCCTGTAATCCCAGCTACTCAGGAGGCTAAGGCAGGAGAATCACTTGAACCCGGGAGGCAGAGGTTGGAGCCATCGCACCACTGCACTCCAGACTAGGCAACAGAGCAAGACTCCATCTCAAAAAAAAAAAAAAAAAAAAAAAAAAAGAATGTAAATCAAATTCTAAAACTTAGGATTTCATTTAGCTACAGATATTTTGAGAAGTTACCCATAATAAAACAGTGCTTCAATTGCTATTAAAGAAACAGAACATTACCACTGAACAAATTGCATATCACTAAACAAATTAAACACAAATATTTCATTATTAATACTGAATTTCCAGTCTGAAATGCTTATTTATACTACTACCACCATGACCACCACCTTTCAGGACCTTGGAATTTACAAAGTTTAACCTGTGAATGAGAATACAGATTTGTAATATATCTGTAAAGAGCACAAATAAAATAGCATATTTTACAGAAACCAGCTCAATATTTTCCATTTTGTGAATTTCAAACATCTCGGGCAGTTTCCAAAACTGTTCTCAAAACTGAGAAAGGATTCTCTCAAAACTGTCAGAACCTGGGGGCATATGAAGGATGTTTCAGAGCAGACATGACCCAGCCTGTCAGTGATCTTTGGAACCTGGTATGACAGGCCAGCATTGGCCAGAACACAGGCAAAGATATGTGCAGGCAAACAGTTCTCACAGTGCCAGAGAGTCTGTGTTTTAGTACGACCAAATAAAGATACGACCAACATCCCAGATATGCAGTTCTGTTGTGCCAAAGGTTCTGAAAGTTCTGTTGTTTCTTTGTGTGTGTGAGATGGAGTCTCGCTCTGTCTTCCAGGCTGGAGTACAGTGGCGTGATCTCGGCTCACTGCAACCTCCACCTCCGGGGTTTCAAGCAATTCTCTGCCTCAGCCTCCCAAGTAGCTGGGACTACAGGCGCACGCCACCATGCCCAGCTAATTTTTGTACATTTTGGTAGAGACGGGGTTTCACTATCTTGGCCAGGCTGGTCTTAAACTCCTGACCTCATGATACACCACACGTGACCCAAAGGTTCTCAATCACTCTTGCAAGGCCACATCTAAGCTATTGTTAATTACAGGTAATTTGTTCCGATCCCAGTGAAAGAATTTCCAAATATTCTAAATATAATAAAATACAAACTCTCATCAGAAATCTTAAAAGACTGTATATGTATGTTAAACTACAATATAACCATGATTTTAAAAAAAAATCTTTTTAGTGTGGTTAATGTCACACACCACATGCAATACTTTTTTGCTAACTGAAACTGTGTCAAAAGTACTATGGACCCAGGGAATAAGAATATGGACCCCTTAGCCTTACACCTCATCCCTCAACACCATCAGAGTGTAAGCAGCGCTTAGACAACTGGCTCACAGACCTTCGATGACCTTTTAAGGCTAGCACAAGCATCATTTTTTTGCCCAAATATCTTCATCTTTGCTGGAGAGTATACCACTCATCAGAAATTTTCGATTTTATTTGCAGTGTCATCTTAGATGACAAAAACTAGAAACGCTAAAAAACAACAAATATCAGATAAATATATAACATACACACAGAAAGACACACATCTAGTTTTTGAAATGCATTAAAAAACACACACACAACAAAATTATTGCTCTTCTGACCTCATTCAACACTGCTAGCATGCATCAGTTTCTTCCAATTATATCAAAACAAAATCCCCAAGCCTCTGGCCTTCAGATGTTCCATTCATTACCTCCCTGGGTTCTACTGGCTCAGTCTTAATACCACACATTGCTTATTCCCGAATAAAAGCATTGTCTTTTATTTATTTATTTTTATTTATTTTTTGAGACAGAGTCTCACTCTGTCGCCCAGGCTCGAGTGCAGTGGCGTGATCTCAGCTCACTGCAAGCTCCGCCTCCTGTGTTCATGCCATTCTCCCGACTCAGCCTCCCGAGTAGTTGCGACTACAGGCGCCCACCACCACGCCTGGCTAATTTTTTTGTATTTTTAGTAGAGTTGGGGTTTCACCATGTTAGCCAGGATGGTCTCAATCTCCTGACCTCGTGATCCACCCACCTTGGCCTCCCAAAGTGCTGGGATTACAGGCGTGAGCTCCCACGCCCGGCCTGCATTGTCTCTTATAATTATTCTTTACTTCCAGAGAAGGCTCTCTTCTACTCTTAGAAGCCCAAATTAAACTCTCCTTCCCCAAAGCAGCTTTCCCCACTGCCCCAATTCTTTTTCTCTTCTGTACTCCTAATGCATTGTTTATACCACAGTCAGGACTTACTTTTTTTTTAATTGTTTCACAGGCTTTAGTTAAGTCCTCTCCAATTTAATTATAAATTCCTTGAGAGTAGGCAAGGTATCTCATTCACTTATCACTATAACTTTGAATCAGAGATTTAAATTTCCTCAGACCAGGGATCTAAGTTTCCTTTTGCATTGGAATGACACACTCACTTAGAGAAAGCCCTAACTGGGTAGTATTTAAATTATTTCACAGAAATGGTCAGGAATTTAGTTTTAAGAGGAAAAGACTCCCTTCTCACTTATCCATCATAAGCAAGAATTTAAACCCATGAAATGATTTATAAAATACAAGAATTTGAGGCCGGGCATGGTGGCTCATGCCTGTAATCCTAACACTTTGGGAGGCCAAGGCAGGCGGATCACTTGAGATCAGGAATTCGAGACCAGCCTGGCCAACATGGCGAAACCCCGTCTCTTCTAAAAATACAAAAATTAGCCGGGTGTGATGGCGGGTGCCTGTAATCCCAGCTACTTGGGAGGCTGAGGCAGGAGAATTGCGTGAATCGGGAGGCAGAGGTTGCAGTGAGACAAGATCATGCCACTGCACTCCAGCCTGGGCTAACAGAGTAAGACTCTGTCTCAAAAAAACAAACCAAACAAACAAAAAGAAACCCAAGAATTTAAGAACTCAAATTAGATAACACTACTTAATTTAATCATGGATTTATACACACAAATAATAGATTCAACAATGTGTAACACAGTAGTACCCTAAAGTATTTGATAATTCATCTTTTTGTCTGAGACACAAGGATTACTCCAATACTAAATTAGAGGCCAACACATTTATTTCTTTATAAGAAACAAATCCTTCTGCTACGTTCAAAGAGGATGGTACATAAACTATGTAATTATAAGGAAAAGAATGCATAATTCATTTCTCTAAATAACAACAATTTGTCCCTGAGGTTGAAGCACACTCACAAGTTTAATGTTAAGAAAAGGAGTTGCAGAGTAAGACATGGCAAATCACACATATAACCTCTCCCCATCAGCCCCTACACATATACCCCTAATGTACTTCATGACGGTTCGCCATTTTACTGTTTTAGATCTTGTTTCCTTGCAGACTAAATGTAACACTTGCCATCTTCAGGACACTATCCATGGAACAGACAATAGTATGAATAAGTTAATAAGTTAATAAACTCACACTAAGTTAATACTCGTTAATCAAGTATGCTTACATTATGGACAAACAATATCATGCAGTATTTAGCTATACACACTTTCTGGTTTTCAATACTAAACTAGCAATCCTGAGCTGCCTCTTTACTGCTGCTGGGGTAAAGTATGTTCAAGAAAACAAAAGGGATGATATGAGTTCAAAAAAATATAATCAGAAAGGTAATCTGCTGGGAGAAGGATCACATAATTCAGTATTTCTTAAATATGCCTGATCTCAAGAATGTCCAGGATGTCTGTTAACAGACTGCTGGAGATCCCTCCCAGAAATTCTGATTCAGTCGATCTGGGGATGAGGCTTAGGAGTATGAATTTTTAATAAGCAATACAGATGAACTTCCTGATCAAGCACATTTGGGAAATATGACTAAATCCACAGGAAGGTTTTCTAGTTTTAAAAAAACATACAAATAACATTCAATTGTACCTACTCCCACTGAGATGAGATTGTGGCCCTTGAAAGCTCCTATTGCCAAGTGCCACTGAAGATCGTTGGGAAGATTTTCTTGATCTTGGAGCAGAGGCCTTTGAATCAGGCCGTGAGTGAATCTCACACAGGCAGAGAAAAATTAGACCCTTTTGTATAAGAAACAGATTTGCAATTAGATTTTATAAGGTACTTCTGCAGTTATTTAGGAGGAAATAGCTAAATCTGTGCTTATACTAGTGATAGCATGAACTTTCACTATTATTCTTTACTGTGAATAATGTAATAAGAGAACAATTCTTCTGAGACACCCCCACAATTTCCAAGAAGCTAAAAGCTGTTTTGTTTCTTTTTTTTAGAAAAGTAGAATATATGAAAAGCAGATCCACAAACCAACAGTCAGTGATTAATTAATGAGTGCTTCCTACTTATAAAGAGTTGTAAAGCAATTCACATCCATATTTTCATGTAGCATTTTATTGAAATGTAGATTCTGATTTAGTAGATCTAACGTGGGGGCTGAGATTCTGCATTTCGAACTAGCTGTCAGGTACACAGATCATATTACAAGATTCTACATGAACCGTTACCCAAACTTTAACATACATTAAGGACCACAGGGAGAGTATGATGGCTATTTAAAGTGAAGAATCCTGGATACTCTAAGTAAGGTTGGGCCCCTGGAATTTGCCTCGTTAACAAGGACTCTAAATGATGCGGATATAGGCAGCCCATAGAACACACACTGAGAAATACTGCTGCAGAGACCACAATGAATCCACGAGGAAGGGGAAAGAAGACATCTGTATCAAGTAACCACACTTGAAGGCAGAATGAGATACCTGTTAAGAACAGTAACCCTCAATTTGCTCTGAAAGTCAGGAGATACTGACATTTTCAGAAGGAAATCTCCAAGGAAAAGATTTTGGAAGTTCTGACTAGCAAACAGTAACTATTAAATGTGAAAAGGATAGTTTTTAGACAAATAGCATATCTCACATGACACAAACAAGTGCCAGGAGTCAGTCTCCCACATTCTCTGATAAATGGTTTTGAGCTAAAGCTAATTGTCCTGGTATATCCCCTGCAGTAGAGAATACTATCAGCAACTCAGCAATTGGCAGGAATTTGAGGGCTAAGGACCATTTGGCACTCTTCCCTACCTAGGCATCATTATAGAAGTCAAAGATGACAGAATTACATGAACCACACAAAAGAAATGAGATACGGATCCTCCCTATGCACTCACTAGCAGTATTTTTAAGAATTCTTGTAGGGGGTGGAGGTAGGAGAGATAACAAATATACTTACAATGATCATGTTCTTCTGGTGTCTGGATAAAATGCCAGCAATGAGTATCTAACTGCCACCTGGTGATATTCTACCTCCAACACCCCCCAATCCCAGCCCTGCCCAGTGACATCTAGTCTAGCATTTTGCTTATTATGGTTTGGATGCCTTCTCTGTAAATGGTAACACTGGGTACAATCATCTCTGTACATCAAACATGAGTTACTCATTGCTTCCAGTTCTCCCGTACCTTGGACTTTACAGACCCTGATTTCTGGCCACTTATGACAGCCCTCAGGAATGCCCATATTTTTCTTAACTAAGGACTGATGATGTAAAATGCCATGCTTGATCATCACCTTCTTCTTACAACCTGTTTGGCCTTAGAACCTGTACTGATGATCTCTCAGACACACGAATGCAGCCTTGTTAAGGCATCTCGCAAAGGAAGGCAGAGTGATATGGAGGACAAAGCACTTGACAGAAAAGGCCTGTGTTCTAGTACTAATGGCCCTTGACTGCTGCTTCCTCCCTAAAAGGTGCCATCTATGGATGTGACGTCTTTCTGAGGGACACCTGAAATGATACTGTGGCTGAAATATGATAGAAAAGAAACACAATCATTATATGATGGTTTCGGGCTAATGACAATGCCTGGAATAACACTGTTCTATTTGCCTGCCGTCCCCCAGTCCCTAAAAGATAGGAGAGATTTGGGAGATTTGTTACAATTTGATATTTAAAAAACAAATGGGCTAAATGTCTCCATGAATGAAATTTGCCCCTGAAGCCTGTGCAAGTATCTCTAGTTTCTCATTTTTCTCTATTCTTAGCAGTATATCCATCACCAACAGACTGTTGCCTGCTGGGAAAAAAATCAGTAAAATGGCAGTTTCCCTGAGAAAGACACTAGCCTCATTCACACTTCTAGAGAGCCTGAAATAACGTGAGCTATTCCAAAGAGAAAACTGTTTGGGGTGCAGGGGACAGTGGAGATAATAATCCATATCTATCAGAATCTCAACTCAGTTCCTGGGCAAAGCACTGTTGCTTTGCTTGACAGACAACATTCACACGACCTGTATCAAAACACCCACTAAATAATGAAAGACATCTCAGTCTTGCCTGAACAACAAAGCCCCATGAGTACAGACACTATGTCAATGGCTGAAGCAATTCTTGATAATATGTCATTTTACACATGAAGTTTATTATAAACAGAACAGCCAATGACAGGATATGATTCAACGATTTTAGCTTGGAGAGATAGGAGAAAGAAAAGTCTCAGGGCATTGAAATGGCAGGTGTGAATCTAAAGACCTCAGAAGCCCAGGGCAGTGAAATGTGTTGTAGTCCACCTACTTCTACTACAGAGCCAGTTACAAAAAAGGACACACTTGTTATAATCCAGAACCCTCAGCCTGTACAAGACCCCAGGATGGAAACATTTCTTTTGGCATGCAAAGTAATTACATTTTCTACCTCCAGGGCTTTTCAAGGAGTCTATTTTTTCAAAAATATTAAGATACTGGCTAGTCACCATATTTTTTGATATTTTTTACTCATTTTAATATACATTGTAGGATTTTTACCAGATATATATCTGCCTTTCATCAGTCAGTACCATAAAAGGCAAAGGAGAAGTAATTTTATTCTGAAGCTTCTTTATTTTTAAATGAAAGTCCTTCCTTTAATTTTCAAAAACACACTTTTTTTTTTTTTTTTTTTTTTTGCTTTCAGGCAGTGGGAAACCAAAAGCCACAAATAAACTGGTCACTGCATTTACCTGTTGTTATAAAAGACTGTGCCAGCTTTTAGAACTCCAATTATGTTTTCACAGCCATGCAGCTCTCTGGAAATACTATGCAGCACTTTATGAGATGACTTCTTCTCTTTCAAGTGTCATGAATTCCAAGACAAGAAGTGGAACTGAAGGCCTGGACAGCAGTGGAGGCATACTACCAAGGTTGCCATTTGCTCATGACCTGGGAGCTGCCAGTCAGTATCACAGGAACTGACTCTACCTGAAGTGACCTCCCATGACATCCTTCCCACCTCCTCCTCAAAGTCCAGTTGTGGGTTTAGGGAGTAAAAGCAAACAGATACTGGGCTGAAACCATCCAGTGTTTCCACCAGACTGAAACTAAGTCTGCCTGCTAGAGAACACCAAATCTAAGATAGTCCATCTATAAATCCATCTCATGCTGAATTGCTTAATTATGAATTCTTAGAAACTAGCATGCAAATGATTAAATAGTCTACCTCCAGGGTTTTTAAGCAACTTACTTTTAAAAGAATATTAAAATGCCAACTAGTTACTATGCTCGTTGATTTTAAAGTGTCTATATGTAGCAATCTATAATTTTAATCCATTCTCCCATACCCTCACTTTAAGAGGAAAGTTATTTGGGAAAAGGAAACCATGCACTAACTTATTTTAATGCGGCAACCTGCCTTCCATCTGTGAGCCGTTTAATACCTTCATTTGTTTAAAAGAAAGATAAACTGTTCTTTAAAAAGGCTTGGAGCCCTGCTTCTAAACAGGACATCCTAGTTGACTTGAAGTGTAACTAAAAGTAAATTGTAATTTTTGAAGATTTTCTGTTGAAACCAAATTCTAACTATAAAACTGTAGAATCTGGCCCTGAAGGAGGTCTTTATAAAATAATGGAAAAGTACTCTGTGAAAGGCAAAATGCCTAAGAGGCTATCAGAGAAGCAGAAAACCTGGCCTCAAGCCTCATAGGAGCAGCAATGCACCTCCAGTGAATCACCCTGAGGCCAAGTTTCTCCTTGTGTGAGGTACAGGTGACAGTGCTTGCTTCTGTCTCCATTTAAAAAGGAGGTGTGGGCCGGGCACGGTGGTTCATGCCTGTAATCCCAGCACTTTGGGAGGCTGAGGTGGGCAGGTGACCTGAGGTCAGGAGTTTGAGACAAGCCTGGCCAACATGGCGAAAGCCTGTATCTATGAAAAATACAAAAATTAGCTGGGCATGGTGGCGGGTGCCTATAATCCCAGCTACTCCGGAGGCTGAGGCAGGGGGAATTGCTTGAACCAGGAGGTGAAGGTTGCAGTGAGCTGAAATCGTGCCATTGCACTCCAGCCGGGGCAAGAGTCTCACTCTGTCTCAAAAAAAAAAAAAAAAAAAAAGAGGAGATGTGAGGAAAAGGATCCAATCGAGCTGGGTGGGGGCAAGAAACAGGACATTATTCAAGTTGCTTCAGGATATCTGAACATAAGACTAAGTCAGAAAAGATCATGTTAGTTTCCTACTACTTAAACAAAAACAACAACAACAAAATCCAAGTTTAAAAACATTATAGTTTTCCTTTTTGTTTCTTTTCTTTCATTTTCAGGCACAACAAAGCATTGAAGGAATACGTGCCACAATGGGAACTGTTCAAAAGCCTGACAATGTGCAATTAGCAAGGTTCTCAACACTGTTTACCCTTGCAGAAGTTACCTGTCATTCTCCAGTACTCCCAGCTATAAAGTTTAACATGCCAAACTCCCAAATTTCTAGGCCTGACTTCAATCCCAGGGGCTGAGTAAGAAAGCTAGCCAGGACAGCAGTTAAACGAAAGACAGCAAAGTTCCCCCCCATGGGTATGGTCTCGTAATATTTTAATAATCTGGACATAGAAAAGAAATGAAGAGTATATAGAGTTGTATAATAGTTGCCAAACATACTGCCAAGCATTTTATTACATGAACTATTTAATCCTGAATCCAACAGATACTACATTCTATTTCTGTCGCCACTTTATAGATAAGGAAACTGAAGTTCAAAATAACTTGGTTCAACATAACTAGAAAGTGATAGAGCCAGGATTTGAATCTTGAACAAGACATGAGTCCTGGGTCCAAGAGCTGTCAACCATTATACCCATTTCTACCCACTGCTCTCTGTATACTTTTTCTAGTTTTTACACATTTCTGCAGGCTTTTTTCTCTGCTTCGTGCACTGCTGCTTTCATCTTGAAAGTGTATACTTGACAGAAAACATGCCTTGACTTGAATTTGAGAGGCAACCTAGTCAAGATGGGAGGGAATGGAAAAGGACCTGGTTTTAAGACTAGTACTGAAAACAGGCAGGACAGCTCATCTTGAAGCCAATGGCAGGAAGAGCAATAAGAACACATACTTGGAATGCATCTGCCCTGCAAACATCTTGGTGTTTTCCACCTCAGTTAGGCTGTACATCCAAATATGCACACAGGAAGACCTCACACATGCTTAATGTTAAGGGCATGTGAAAAATGTCAAATACAAGTTAACTCTTGCAATGCTTACCCAACATACAGCTAATAAGTTAAATTCTAATATTCTAAAAGAATTAGGCAAACATTTAGAACAAGCCTAATTTATTTTTCTGTGTTCCATTCTGAATTAAACAGTGGGCACTACAATTGTAAACCATCTAATAATTTTTGTTTATTTGCTTTCCGTGTCAGAGTCCCCTTAACTTTTAACAGCATATATATTCTCACAGAGGAAATTTAGGAACACTGAAAGGATGGACTATAGATTGCTGAGGTAAGAGGACTAAGAGGCTTTTAGAAATCTCCTGTTTGTATCAGAGAGCTATCTATAATCCATCATCTAGCAAAAAAATGTAATCACAAAAGAGATATGTGACAGTTATGTATTAACACTGTTTTAAAATTCCCCAAATTACTACGTATCATTTTTAAAATGAGTTAGATCTCCATTACTGATATAAAGTCTAAGATTCATTGCTAAGTTAAAAAAAAAGATGCAGATACAATTTTGTATAGACACAATAAAGTTCTGAAAATATTTATTTCAATGAAAGTTGAATAGACGTTTACTTTCTCCCCTTTGTTATGGAATTCATTTTTCTTTTTATCGTATGTTTCACTTCTTAATATAATAATGTCTCCTTACAAAGTCTTTCCTAAATTAAGAATTAGGAGATCTTTTTCTACATGGGTGACAGGCTGGAAGGAAATACTTTGCAGGGATGCTCAAGACTGGTGATTTATAGAACCCAGCAGCTCTATAATGCAGTTCAGTCTTTTTGTCAGATGTTTATAATGATGAGTATCCAAAATTCACAAAACATTGCACTATTACACACTTTACTATTCTAACCGCTAACTTCCTCTAATATATTCTCTATTTTATGTAGTAATAAATTTCTGTTGGGCACATGATTTCCTAAATTCCCTTGCTAGTTAATACTGTACAGGTTGAGTACCCTTTAACTGAAATGCTTGGGCCCAGAAGTGTTCAGTTTTCGAATTTTTCCATATTGGGGGATATTTGCAATTACACTTTCCATTGAGCATTCCCTTTGGGCATCATGTCAGTAGACAAAAAGCTTCAGATTCTGGAGCATTATTTTGGATACTCAAACCATATTAGTAAATTCTGGCCTATGGTGTGGACAGAAGTGATGCCTGCAACTTCCAGGTGGTGCCTTGAAAAGAGAACATTCCTTTGGTATGCAACAAAATCAAAAATAAAATAAGAGCTTTTTTCCTGCTTTCTTGTTGCCTAGAAGATGACTGTGGGAAGTAGAGCACCCACCTTAGATCATAAGATGACAGCTACCTGTTGAAGATGGCAGAGAATCAAAATATAAAGTCACCTTGGGCAAAATACTGAAGTTCCATCTCTACCCCACTACCCTCCACCGCGCGCGCGCGCGCGCACACACACACACACACACACACACACACACACACACACACACACACAAGCCATGTGTGGTGGCATGTGCCTGTAGTCCCAGCTACTTGGGAGACTGAGGTGGGTAGATCGCTTGAGCCCAGGAGGTTGAGACTACAGAAAGCTAGGATCACACCACTGCACTCCAGCCTAGGCAATGGAGCAAAACCCTGTCTCAAAAAAGTCTGATAAATATAGACCACTTTTCGGGCTTTTACATGAGAGAGAAATAAATGCCTATTATGGTTAAGCCACATTACTTTGGTTTTCTGTCGCTGCAGCCACTATCATACTGCATCCACGTGCATGCACACACATACACGCACTATTAGGGATTCTAATGCTGTCACTAATTATCATCTCATTTTTAAGAAAAGCTTATTTTAATTGATGGCTGAAGTAGTCTACCTGTAGTAAGCCTTAAAATAGAAAACACAGAAGTTAGTTTTTGAGTGTCAAGTTTGAAACAGAACAGCCTCACCCTGATTGCTGGCCTTCATTCTTACATTAAAGGCAATAAAATACAAGATTTACGACACTGTGAGACTGCTAAAAATAAAGTGTATTACATGACCAAATCTACTTCGCAGATTAACCACAATAAAGGGGAAAGTGAACGAAGGAATAACTACCATAATAAAACGATAAAATCATCTTTAAAGTTAATATCCCAGACATCAGGATAACATGAAGTTGCAAAAGAGATAAGTGTATACAAAGAAACAAGCCTTACACTTGAAAAAGGTGATCTTTGGCAATTTTGATTTAATGCTCCAAGTTGTTTTTCATGTACCATATTGGTGTCTTCACTGATTTCATTGTCTCTTTCTTTAGCAAAGTCTTCACATAAATGTATTTACAGGCTGGGCACAGAGGCTCATGCCTATAATCCCAGCACTTTGGGAGGCTGAGGCGGGTGGATCACTTGAGTCCAGGAGTTCCAGAACAGCCTGGGGCAACATGGTGAAACCCCATCTCTACAAAAAATACAAAAATCAGCTGGGAGTGGTGGTCTGTACTACACGCTACTCAGGAGGCTAAGGTGATATAGGCTCGCTGGAGCCCAGTTGGTCGAGGCTGCAGTGAGCTGTGACTGCACCACTGCACCCTAGCCTAGGCGACAGTGCAACACCTTGTTTCAGGAAAATACATATATATATATATATATATATATATCCGTGTGTATATCTACATATGTGTGTGTATACATGTAATAGACTAAAGATAACTGATGAAGAAATGGCAAGGAGAAAGAAAAGATGAAAACTCCAATGTAAGCTTTCCATCTACAGAGAATTTTTAAAAGAAACTAATAGGCTACTAATTTATGCATAAAAATGGAACTTATAGTTCTTCAGATATAAGCCAATAAAATAATCTAAAGATGTAATTCTTTTGAATTATCTAAATAGCTCTGTATTATAGTTACTTTTGTCAATCTATGTATCTTACAGACACAAGGATAGCAAGATTTACCTTTAGATTTTAACTTTGTCCTTCAGAGTTTCTGCTTCCAGTATCTGGCTTATCTTTTGAAAAGCACACATTATTCTTTCATGCATTCCCACATTGTCCTTTTGATCAGGCTTAGACTGGGTAAATATGTGTATTAAGTAGAAAGAGAGGATGAAATAGGTCTAATTATTTTTCACTGTAAGAGCTACAGTGTATTTTCAATAGATATTAATGGATCACAGGATAAAATATACCAGATCACTAGACTTTCAGGCCAAATGTAATATAGCCATGAACTCACATGAAACATCAACCCCACAGTCCTCAACTCAGAAGCCACCTCTCTTTGGTAAGAAAAAAAAAAATCTTAGAAGCATTTAAGTTGCCTAAAATTTAAGAATTTTCTACACCATCATGTTCTAGAAATAATCCATTGGCAGCAAAGCAGATTAAAAGATTTAAGATGCACAGGGTGGCTTTCGGTTCTTACCGTGTGCTTAAGAGTAGAGGCAAGTCAAGGCTGAAGTCACAACAAAAGAAAACATTTTAGAACTTATCTGAAATCTTTGAAATAGATATCTGAAACTGTTCAATTGTTTTGGCTAGGCAAGATGGAGTGAGGAGGAACATGGAACTTTTCTGCTCTGCCTTCTTTGTTCTGTCTTTCTTGTTCTTTTACCATGGGAAAAACAGACCTGAAACCCAAATGAGATAATATGCGAAAAATACACACAGATACTTATGTAGGCCTTCACTACATCCACTTTAAACCACTATGATTTAAACTACTCTTTTAAATAATAACAATCTAGTCATAAAGTATAGGAAGAATTCAGTTTTGCACTAACATTTATAGGGTGCTTACTAAATGCCAGGCCCTGTTCAAATGGTTTACATATGACTCCACAACCTCTAATCCACAACTCCAAAATCTAAATGCTCTGAAAGCCTATAGTGCTGAGTCTGGGAGAAGGGCGGTGCAAACTCACTGGGTGGCAAAACCTGATCTGAAGTGATGTAAAACTATTTATAGCTTTAATTTATCCCGCTTAGTGTATTATTCATGTTTCACTGCAGAAAAATTAATGTGCTTAGTTACTATGTGCTACCTTAGACATTGCTGTATTATGTTACCTATGGGTTATGTACTATGTTATCTTTTACAATCTGAAAGAGGCAGGGTGTGGTGGCTCACACCTGTAATCCCAGCAATTTGGGAGGCCAAGGCCGGAGGATCACTTGAGGCCAGGAGTTCAATACCAGCTTGGCCAATATGGTGAAACCCGGCTCTACTAAAAACACAAAAATTAGCCGGGCATGGTGGTGCCCCCCTGTAGTCCCAGCTACTCAGGAGGCCGAGGCAAGAGAATCGCTTGAACCTGGGAGGTGGAGATTGCAGTGAGCTAACTGCATTCCAGCCTGGGCAATAGAGACAGACTCTGTCTCAGTGAATTAATAAATCAATACAAAATCTGAGGCTGGGCGCGGTGGCTCACACCTGTAATCCCAGCATTTTGGGAGGCCGAGGCGGGCAGATCACAAGGTCAAGAGATGGAGACCATCCCGGCCAACGCGGTGAAATCCTGTCTCTACTAAAATACAAAAATTCGCTGGACGTGGTGGTGGTGCACGCCTGTAGTCCCAGCTACTCAGGAGGCTGAGGCAGGAAAATCACTTGAACCTGGGAGGCAGAGGTTGCAGTGAGCCGAGATTGCACCACTGCACTCCAGCCTGGGCAACAGAGCGAGACTTTGTCTTAAAAACAAAAACAAAACAAAAAAAACCTGAAAGATTTTTAAGCACATCCGACCCCAAGGATTTCAGATAAGCAACTGTAAACCTGTATCTACCCAATTCCCCCTACCACAACCCTACAAGATAGGAGCTATTTTGCAGCTAAGGAAACTAAGGGTTAAGGAACCTGTCCAAAATCAAAACAGCTGGTGTTAGAGCTTGATTTGAACTCAAGCAGTTCAAAGCCTGGGCTCTTAACCACTATACTACGCAACCTTTTGTTTTTACATCATGCATATTAAAGGTTTTTAATTTTTTTTTAGCCATAATTACCAAAAACATTAGTGCAGGACACCATTTTAAAAAACTATTTAAAATAGTCTTCAGAGAAAAAATATTAAGTATTACAGTTTAGGAGTATATTGACTTTGGGCCAACGGATTCCAATATTTTACAAAAAGGCAATATCCACGCAACATATTCCAGATTCGGGTTGTGGAGAAGCTGCAGGGCTTGAGGTGACTCTATCACAACTGCTTTCCGTACGGAGGAGCCACTGCCAACTGTGTGGACGAGAATACTTAAGCACGTGCTTTCATTGCTCCACTGCCACAGGTGGATATTTCAGGGGAATTATTATTAATTTCAAAGTTTTTTAAAAAGCTATGATAAGTAAATAAAAGTAATGGTAGGAGTCACGGTCGGAGAGCTTATCGCCAAGTCTTTCTATAGCCTTCCCCCGGAAGCCCCAGTTCAGGCATCGGTCACCCGAAGTGTCACCCTCTGATCTTTCCCCCATCCCATCTGAGGAAGTTAAAGAGATCCCTCACAGGTACCGTGGCTCTCGGTGCCCTCGCACTTCCAACAGCCGGTTCGGGCCCAGGAGACTCGCTCCGACTTCCACCACAATGGCGGCCAGTGTGGGCCGCGCAACCAGAAGTGCGGCCGCGCACCTGACCCAGCTTCCGCCTGCACCTAGAGCTCAGCGCACCAGCCCGGCTCAGCCAGACGAAGGCAAACGAAGAGATGCGGATCCCTGGAGGACTGGCCCCACCGTGAACAAAACAGGAAGCATTCCAGGAAGACTGCGGGGGTGGGAGAATGCAATTAAAATGGAAAAGGCAGCGACTGGCTGCGAAGGTTTACAGAAACAGAAGATAAAGCGCCAGAAACCCACATTCTGGAGTTGCCACGGTGAGGGTGAAAGGAGTGGGAATGAGCTGAGAAAAACCTGCAAGGCTCCAGGATCCTAGAGTGCAACAAAACGAAGGGCCAAGGTGAAAAGCGACTGAGACTTGGTGAGGCAGGGAAGGAGAAAATGGAGTGTAAAGAAGCCTAAATGTTTTATTTCATATTTTGGCTTAAGTTTGCCTGTATCACCAGAGGGAACATCTAGCACAGTAAAGGCCCAGGAAATACTGTTTAGAATTGTTACTCAGTAGCCACGCGCTCTTAGGTCAGACATTTCCCACGCTTGAGCCCAGGAGTTCGAGACCAGCCTGGACAACATAGCAAGACTATACAAAAAGAAACAACAAAATAAAAAATAGGCCGGGCGCGGTGGCTCATACCTGTAATCCCAGCACTTGGGGAGGCTGAGGCGGGCGGATCACGAGGTCAGGAGATCGAGACCATCCTGGCTAACATGGTGAAACCCCGTCTCTACTAAAAATAAAAAAATTAGCTGGACCTGGTGGCACACGCCTGTAATCCCAGCTACTCGGGAGGCTGAGGCAGGAGAATCGCTTGAATCCAGGAGGCGGAGATTGCAGTGAGCCGAGACTGTGCCACTGAACTCCAGCGAGACTCCGTCTCAAAAAAAGAAAAATAAAGTTATTTCTGATATGGTATTAAGAGAATCCACGAATAAAAAATATTGATGGCAGATAAATCAGAACATTCCTTTACCCCTTTTTAATTTTTTGGAGGGTTTATTTTTCAGATCGAACGATAAGGAAACATATGTTGATACTACCCAGCGTCTGTAACAGAGGAAGTTAGGCAGTATGAGGGAAAAAAAAAATCAATCACGGGAGAGAGCGGAAGAGATCTACCACCTTATCCATCTTCTTGACTGTACAGTCTCCAGAGCATTTCCATTAATGGGCAAGAAACATCCCAGTGCATTGTACACCTGTTATTTGTAAACTCTTGTGACATGAATAATGCTTTCCTCACAATCTGTTCTACTGAACTTTACTTTTTTCTAATAGTTCTGCCAAGTTTGAGATCTGCAATTTTAGCTACCATGATGTTCCACTGCTTTTTCTACCTACACAGTCCCACACAGACTGTGCTGAAAATCAAGAAGAAACAATGATACACTGCACCAGACCCGCTGTAAGTTTAAAAACCCCAAAACAGTGTTTAGGAGCAAGTGAAAGAAAAAAATTTTAACTCTACCTTTGCAGATCGCACACAAATCTCACATTTGTCCAACCCCAGGTGCTCAAAGTTATTTCATCATTACGGTTAATATTAAAAATGGACAGTTACGGCTACTATCAAAACTCAAAATAGTCCAGGCAGGGTAGCTCACTCCTGTAGTTCCAGCACTGTGAAAGGCTGAGGCGGGAAGATTGCTTGACCAGCCTGGGCATCATAGCAAGACACTGTCTCTACAAAAAAATTAAAAGCCAAACAAAAAAACAAACTAGCTGGAGGGGGGCGGGGCGGGGGACTGTGGTGGTGATGTGGTCCTAGCCAGTCAGCTACTTTGGGAGGCTGAAGCAGGAGGATCCCTTGAGCCCAAGAGTTTGAGGCTGCAGTGAGCTATGATCATGGCACTGCACCCCACCCTGGGTGAGATAGTGAAAACCTATCTCTTAAAAAAAAAAAAAAAGTTAAAAAAATAAGTGTTCTCAAAGATGTGGGAAAAATTGGAACCTTTATGCACTGTTGTTGGGAATGCAAGCTGCTATGGAGAACCTCAAAAAATCAAAAACAATTACCCAGTAGTAGTAGACCCAGTGAGAACAAAAGCAGTATCTCAAAAAGACGTTTGCACACCTGTGCTCATTGCAGCATTATTCACAATAGCCAGGTGGTGGAAGCAACCCAAACATCCATTTGACAGAAGGATGGAAAAATACGATGGAAGCCTTAAAAAGGAAGGAAATTCTGGCACACGCTACGACATGGATGAATTTTGAGTACATTAGGCTGACTTAAAGCCAGTAACAGACAAATACTGAATGATTCTACTTACATGATGTATCTAACTAGTCAAATCCATAGAAAAAGGGAGTAAGAATGCTGGTTGCCAAGGGGTTAGAGGTGGGGTGGATGTGGGGACAGCGAGCTGTTGTTTAATGGGTATAGAGTTTCTGTTTTGCAAGATGTAAAAGTTGTGGAGCAACAATGTGAATATACTCAACACTACTGAACTGTACACTTAAAAAAGGCTAGGGCTCAGCACAGTGGCTCACACCCGTAATCCTAGCACATTGGGAAGGAGGATTGCTTGAGGCCACAAGTTTGACACCCGCCTTAGTAATAGAATGAGACCCCGTCTCCAAAAAATAAAATAAACAAATGGTTAGGATGGTAAACTTTTGTTTTGTGTACTTTACTGCAGTTGATTGATCGAATGACTGATTGATTGACTGACTGACTGATTGATTGTAGAGACGAGGTCTCACTATGTTGCTCAGGCTGGTCTTGAACTCCTGGCCTCAAGTAATCCCGCCTCAGCCTCCCAAAGTGCTGGGATTACAGGCGTAAGCCACTGCACCTGGCTTTAATTTTTTTTTAATTATAAAAAATAAGCACAGCCTGGGCAACATGGTGAAACCCCGTCTCTACAAAAAATACAAAAATTAGCTGAGCAAAGTGGTACATGTCTATATTCATACCTACTCAGGAAGCTGAGGTAGGAGGACTGCCTGAGCCAGGTCAAGGCTGCAGCGAGCAGTGATGGTGCCACTGCATTCCAGCCTGGGTGACAGAGGGAGACCCTTTCTCAAAACAAAAACAAAACAAAAGGAAAAAAAAAAGTCAAAAAACGGGCAATTAGCAAGAGGGAAGCAAGAGGGGGTGTGGGGGAGCCAAACTCTAAGAAAGAAGTTTTTCCTCCTAACCTTTAGAAGAATGTATCATCACAATGTCAAAAGATTTGCTCACCGCATTCCTTCTTTGAGACCCTCACTGCAAAGTCAGCCTATTCAAAGTTTCTCGTAGGTGCTAAGCTATGGGTTTCCTTGTAAATCATGAATCAAAGGAAAATATTTTGCTTTATGAACAAAATTACTTTTGTACTTCTTGGAAATTGCCCATTCATGACTTCCCACTCACCTGTAAGATCTGCCAAGAAACATGGAAGAAAGAAAACACATCCTTTCCTTTTGACTTTGATTAAAGAGGTTTGCTTTTAAATGATACTATGAAATGTACGGAGAGCACACACAAAGTTTATCTCCAAACATTATTTCCTGAGCATAGTAACTGACTACAGCTGTTAATTTAGTCTCAAATAAGAACAAAATAACAACTAGTACTGCAGTATCAGAGTATTTTTGACGCTTAAAGGTAAACTCAGATATTCCCCCTCAGCAAACAAACATTTAAAATAAGTCACATCTTCTTGTAATTTCAGTACTTTGGGAGGCCAAAGCAGGTGGATCACATGAGGTCAGGAGTTTGAGACTAGCCTGGACAGCATGGTGAAACCCCATCTCTATTTCTAAAAATACAAAAATTAGCCGGGTGTGGTGGCATGCGCCTGTAGGCCCAGCTACTAAGGAGGCTGAGGCATGAGAGTAACTTGAACCTGGGAGGTGGAGGCTACAGTGAGCTGAGATTGCACCACTGCACTCCAGCCGGGGCTGGCAGAGCAAGGCTATTTCAAAAAAAATAAATAAAAAAAAAGTAAGATCGCATCTTCCTATCTCTCTATATAGATACGATGCGAACTTGATGACAAAAATCATGGGACATCAAGCCTATCTAATAATATCATTATTGCAAAGACAAAGAAAAACATTTATTAAGGTAGAATAATATAATATCTGCATTCAAATGCCTCTCTCATTATGCCCCAGTGTGTTAGAATAAGAGCTAAAGACAGTGATCACACAAAGAATTTAATTCTAGTGCAGAAGTAAATATGGTAATTCTTACATTCCTCAGTTTAGAGGTAGTCAGTTAAGCTTTTGCTTGAGCAAATGTTTCCTCAATCAAGTCACAAGTTTCACGTAAATGGCATTTTTGGCTGCTATTTTTCCTCCTTCCTTGCAGTAATGACCACGTCAACACTTCCTGGTTCCACTTACGGTCAGTCTCCTTCATTGTACAGGGAGGACAGAAGGGAAAAATCCACTTGGTTATACTCTGTACCTGATAAAAGTAATGACTAACCTAAAACATGGAAAGTAAAAGGCCAACACAAGCAATTGGCTCACTCTGTTGCTCGGGCTGGTCTCAAACTCCTGGCTACATAGGTGATCCTCATGTCCTGGCCTCCCAAAGTGTTGGGATTACAGGCATGAGACTGTATTATTTAGAGAACCCTGCTGATTAGCTTATTTTACCAAAAACTACCAGGTTATTTATCAGAGGAAAGGGGAAGATAGGAATGAATAATAAGTAATAAATAGCTATAATTGTGCTCTAAGATGAACTTGCAAAATAGATAAATCATTTCCTAAGTAAAAATAACAACTTTTTTTTTTTCTTTTTTTGAGACGGAGTCTCACTCTGTCACCCAGGCTGGAGTGCAGTAGCACAATCTTGGTCCATTGCAACCTCCACCTCCCAGGTTCAAGTGATTCTCCTGTCTCAGTCTCCTGAGTAGCTGGGATTACAGGCATGTGCCCACCACGCTCGGCTACCTTTTTTTTTTTTTTTTTGAGATGGAGTCTCGCTCTGTCACCCAGGCTGGAGTGCAGTGGCGTGATCTGGGCTCACTGCAACCTCCATCTCCCGAGTTCAAGTGATTCTCCTGCTTCAGCCTCCAAAGTAGCTGGGATTACAGGCAAGCAATATCATGCCCGGCTAATTTTTTTATTTTTAGTAGCGACAGGGTTTTGCCATGTTGGCCAGGCTGGTTTTAAACTCCTGACCTCAGGTGATCCACCTGCCTCGGCCTCCCGAAGTGCTGGGATTACAGGCATGAGCCACCAAGCCCAGCCTAATTTTTGCATTTTTAGTAGAGATGGAGTTTTACCATACTGGCCAGGCTGGTCTGGAACTCCTAACCTCAAATGATCCTGTTGCCTCAGCCTCCCAAAGTGCTGGGATTACAGGCATGAGCCACCACGCCCAGCCAATAACATCGTTTTTAAAAAAGCCTTCAAAGAGTTCAATACAAAATTTTTCTGAAGTAAAGTTATTTTTCCAAGTGGCAGGCTCTGATAAGATCAATTTTAACATTTTGACTTATAATCCCAACAAATCTAGGTCAAAATGCTACATATATCGGCTGGGCGCGGTGGCTCACGCCTGTAATCCCAGCACTTTGGGAGGCCGAGGCAGGCGGATCATGAGGTCAGGAGATCAAGACCATCCTGGCTAACACGGTGAAACCCCATCTCTACTAAAAATACAAAAAATTAGCGGGCATGGTGGCGGGCGCCTATAGTCCCAGCTACTCGGGAGGCTGAGGCAGAAGAATGGCGTGAACCCAGGAGGCAGAGCTTGCAGTGAGCCGAGATTGCGCCACTGCACTCCAGCCTGGGCGACAGAGCAAGACTCCCTCTCAAAAAAAAAAAAAAAGCTACATATATCACGACAAGGGAGTGTAAACACGTAAAGGTTCAATATTTATTCAGTTACAGTCAGGAAATATTTATTACGTGCCCTTAAGCAAGAACCTCTTTTAGAACAAAATCCAACTCCTTTATAAATTTGACACAACGAATTCTTTTTAAAACAAAAACACAAGCAAACCACAACTGCATGGAAGAATGCAAGGGCACCAGCAAGCTCAGGCACACTGCATACCCTAGACTTGGAGAAGCAGGGAAACAAAGTGACGTGTGCTGAGAAAACTATTGCAGTCCTAAGTGGTATTAGTGTTAGATACAGGAAAGTGATAGTCCTCCCCTGTTCTTGCATAGAACAGCTATGCTCAGAGCACAAGATTCCAACTGACGACTGACAGGGTAAAGTTGGAGATTTGGAGAAAAGCAATCAGGCTAGTAAAGGAACTGGAAACTATGACCTATGAAAGTAGTTGAGGGAGGTAGAGATGGTTAGCCTAAAGGAGAAAAAAGCAAGGCTCAAGAGAAATTAGACAGCAGCTTTCAAATATTTTTAGAGAAGTAGGTTAATTATGGTAGTCATTCAACAAGGTAGAAATCATACCAAGCATGAAGTCACAGGAATGTCCCAGGAGTGTGCAACCATTGGAACTGTCCATAGTAAAATGGGCCAGCTTGAGCAATAAAAGTCTCCTAGTACCAGGAAATGCTTAGAGGTTGGGGAAAGTGAAAAAAAGGGGGAAAGTGAAAAAAAGACCTGATTAAAGGAGGAGGCTGATGTCATTACTCTGAGAAAAGACAATTGTTTTCTTCAAAAGGAAAAGGAGCTAATTATTGGAAATAACTGAATTCCACATAAGGACTAAGAAGAGTCAGAAAAATTGTTGTTGTCTCCCTGTACTTACCCACATTCCCCCAATTCTTTATATTTCAGATCAATATAGTCCTAATTTAAATAATCTAACCAGGCCAGGCACAGTGGCTCACAACTGTAATCCCAGCACTTTGGGAGACCAAATCAGGAGGATCACCTGAGGCCAGGAGTTTGGAGGCTGCAGTGAGCTATGATCACACCACTGCACTCTAGGCTGGATGACAAAGCCAAGAATCTATCTCTTAAAAAATAATAATTATCTAACCAAAGGTTGTTTCTTTTCCTTCCAGTCACTGATTTATCTTTGAAGACTCTTCAAGAGTATTCTTGATGTAGAGTCTTCCCTAACTCATCACTCCATTGACCCATCCACCCCCACATAGGCTTGTGCATACATCCCCATTGGCTGCTGTCTCTCTTCTCTATGCTTCCACAAGTTAGTTGTCTGTGTATATCACCAACACAGTACCCTCTGACCCACAAGGATTACTGATATGAATGGAATCTTAAATTGTAGCAAAAGGCTTTGAATCTATGTCATGTATCATAAAATACTGGTACCATGAGATTACAACAATCTGTGATTTATGAAACAGAATTAACCAAATCAACAGGCAACATATCCCAAGAGGCCTCCAGAGAGTATTTGTTATAGCTTAGCACCTCCACAAGTAGTGTAGGTTGAGCATCCCTTATCTAAATGCCTGGGACCAGAAGTGTTTTCAATTTCAGATTTTGGAAGATTTGCATATACATAATGAGATACCTTGCAGATGGGATCCAACTCTAAACATGAAATTCACATACGTTACACATATACCTCATATGTGTAGCCCAAAGGTAATTTTATATAATATTTTAAGTAATTGTGTTCATGAAACAAGTTTTGACTGCAAAGTTTTGACTGTGTTTGACTGACACATAGGGTGAGATGTGAGGCGTCATGTCAGTGCTCAAAGTTTCAGGTTTTGGAGCATTTCAGATTTTCAGATAAGGGATGCTTAACCTGTAAGCATTTGGATCGGATGGATGGATGGATGGATGGATGGATGGATGGATGGATGGATGTCTTCTTTGGAAGTTCATCCTTCAGAAATATGTCTTAGAACACTTCCATTTTATGTCTTTCTGCTGATCACAGATTATAAATTCCTGAGGACAATGATGTCTTCCTTTCCCTGTCCCATGAGAACCCTTAGATGCAGATTAAACGGAATTCCCTAAAATCCTTGCTGCCAGAGAAAACTATTCTTGAGAACTAAATGTGTGTGTGTGTGTGTGTGTGTGTTATATGGGAATAACTCCTGTTATTTCTGCAAATCTGGACTGACTTCTTTTTGTTGCCTTTTTTTTTTTTTTTCGAGGCAGAGTCTCGCTCTGTCTCCCAGGCTGGAGTGCAGTGGTGCCATCTCCGCTCCCAGCAGTGGCCGCCATCCCGGTTCAAGTGACTGTCCTGCCTCAGCCTCCTGGGTAGCTGGGTTTACAGGCACCTGCCACCATGCCCAGCTAATTTTTGTATTTTGAGTGGAGACGAGTTTTCTCCACTTTGGCCAGGCTGGTCTCGAACTTCTGACCTCAAGTGATCCACCTGCCTCAGCCTCCCAAAGTGCTGGGATTAAAGGTGTGAGCCACTGTGCCCGGCTTGCTGTTCTTTTTTGTTCTTATTTCTTTTGTTCTTGGTCTTGTTCACAAAAGACCAATGATAGTAACTCCCCTACCCCCACTCTCCCATAACAATCTTTGATACTCCTCATTTCCTAGAAGTTGTAGCAATTAAAAAATCACAGATCCCCAGTACTGGACCTAATATCAACCACAGAATTTCAGAGTTTGAAGGTTGCTTAGAGACTATCTAGTGTAGCTCCTTCATTTTATACCTTAGAAGGATAAAGTCACTTATCGACCCAGGACTTTATTTTTATTTTATTTTTTATTTTTTATTTTTTTTGAGACAGAGTCTCGCTCTGTTACCCAGGCTGGAGTGCAGTGGTGTAAACTTGGCTCACTGCAAGCTCCGCCTTCCATGACCCAGGACTTTAAATACTTTTTTCACTTTTTCTTTTTAAACTACAAATGAAATGTAGGTTTATCCACCTCAAAGAATTTACTGATTTGGGTTTAGGACCACCTGAAATTAATGACTGTTCAGCCATTTAACTGTTGAAATAGATCATATTTGAAATTCATCAATTAGATAACACGTGTATAATCATGCAAGATCTAAGAATCAGGACATGGAAGTTCCAGGTCAAATTAATAATTATAAGAACAGCTACAATATCATGAATTCCTACTATGTACCAGGTGGTGAATCAGATCCTATGTTCATGCAATTATCCCAATGATCCTGCCAGGTAGGTAGAATTCACCCTCTTTTTCTTTTTTTGTCTTTAAGACAAGATCTCACTCTGCCACCCAGGCTGAAGTGCTATGGCCATGAATACAGCTCACTGCAACCTCTGCCTCACTGGCTCAAGAGATCCTTGCACCTCAGCCTTCAGAGTAGCTAAGACCACAGGCATTCACCACCACACCTGGTTAATTTTTTGTAATGTTAGTAGAGACAGGGTTTTGCCATGGTGCCCAAGCTGGTCTCAAACTCCTGGGTTCAAGCGATCCTTGATCATGATACAACTTTTGGGTAGAACCTGGTAAATTACTCCAAACTACATATGACAACCCAACAAAGAAAATGCACCCCTTAAAGATATTTGAAAAATCTAAACATAGGGAATGTTATATTTTGCCTCCCTTGTGAATGTTTACTTTGTTACACAATTAAGTGGCCATTGAAAGAGTAAGTTTTTTCAAAGTTCTGGAAAGTCATCTTAACTTAGGCCCCAGAAAGAAATGGAATCTCTTTTAGTAATGACTCTTATTTTCTTTGAAAGTTCACGTTTGGGTCAGCCAAGTTTTAAACGGTAGAATTATATTGCTGTGTTGTTAGTCAAGTTTGGGGGGAGTGAGGCCGCTGGCTATTTGAATCACTGTAGGACAGTTTATCTGGTTTTTAGACTGAAAGAGGGGTCTATTCTTAGGCAAAAGACATCATTTTAGAGGAACAGAAGCTTGCATTGGCTTTCAGTTGAACGTACTCAAGTCTAGTTCTCCAAATAAAAGTTGCTTCCAGACCCTGTGTGATTTTTCTTGGATCAACAGAATGTTTAAGCGAAAAGGATCTTTCTTTTGTTGCTTCCTTATGTTGCAATTTAGGCAAACAGAAAATAATGTGGAATCGTTTTATTTATTTATTTATTCCCTGCCTTGTTCTAACAAGAACAAGGTGGTCAACAATAACAAAGAATAAATCGAAACTACTGCACAGTTATGAATGAGCCAGAAACTTTATTTGGTTTCATTACACCAGCTATTACCCTGACTTTAAACTATGTATTAGTCATAGAAGCCTACACACTACACTTTATTAATAAAGCCTATCTGATTTTAATATAAGCATCTTTTTTCAATATAACTACTTTCATGGAGGTAGTTGCGATAGGAAGGCAAAACAGGTAAATGACACAAATTAAAACAATAATTCCTGACTGATGAAATCGTTTCCTTCCAAGGAGGATTTAAGTAGCCTTTGGCACCAACATCCTCAAGGGACACAGAAAGAAGTCATGGGCACCTCTATGGTCATGGTTCTGTGTCAGCACCAGATCACAAGAGGACCTGGTGAAGATTTCTTGCTTAAGAGTAAAAAATATTATGTAAATGAGATGCAGGGCTAACTTGTCTGCAGTCTTCCATCTAACCAAAGACTCAGAGCATCTCATCAGACAATGGGATAGAAAATAGTTACTTTCTGCCGGGAGAGTCAGTTTATTTAAACAACTACTGGATCACTTCAAACTTTGTTAATAAGTAAGAGATTGGTTGGTTCAAAAGAAAAAGTCTTTGAAATGTCAAAATAAAATTTGTTTTTGGTTCTTTTTTGAGACAGGGTCTCACTCTGTTGTCCAGGCTGGAGTGCAGCGGCGTGATCATGGCTCACTGCAGCCTTGATCTCGGGCTCAAGTGATCCTCCCACCTCAGCTTCCCAAGTAGCTGGGACCTCAGATATATGCCATCATGTCTGGCTAACATTTTTTTTTTAATGTTTTTGTAAAGACAGGGTCTCCCTATGTTGCCCAGACTGGTCTCCAACTCTTGGGCTCAAGCAATCCTCCCACCTCGGCCTCCCAAAGTACTGGGATTATAGGTGTGAGCCACAATGCCTGGCCCAAATAATGTTTTAAACTCTTACTTGACATAGCAGACTTGTATAATCAGGAATAAATATACTGATAAGTACTATTATTGAAAGAGAGGGCTGGGCGCGGTGGCTCACACCTGTAATCCCAACACTTTGGGAGGACGAGGCAGGCCGGATCACCTGAGGTCTGGAGTTCGAGACCAGCCTAGCCAACACGGAGAAACCTTGTCTCCACTAAAAATACAAAAATTAGCTGGGCATGGTGGTGCACGCCTGTAGCCCCAGCTACTCTAGAGGTTCAGGAGAATTACTTGAACCTAGGAGACAGAGGTTGCAGTGAGCCAAGATCACACCACTGTACTCCAGTCTGGGCGACAGAATGAGAGAGTCCGTCTCAAGAAAGAGAAGAGAAGACAGGACAGAAGAGAGGAGAGAAGAGAAGAGAGAAGAGAAAAAGAAAGAAAAGAGAAAAAGAAAAGAAGAAAGAAAGAGAGAGAAAGAAAGAAAGAGAAAGAAAAAAAAAGAAAAGAAAGAAAGGAGAAAGAAAGAAATGCAGGGGATTGGGTGTAGGCCTTGACTCTACATTCCAAGTAAGGCAATCTTTCCTATGAAATTTGAGTTGTCCCCTTACTATGTGACACCCTATGCCACACAATAAAATCAAGAACCAACATGCTATTTTTTCTCCCCCTGGATACACTCTGCCAGTTATACCATGTGCTCCCCAGTATATGTAGAATAATGCATGCTTCCCAGTGAACCCACTGCAACCCCACATCTTCCTCCTCTCCCATTCAATTCAAGGAAATGCAAGTGATTGAGACTAATAAAGAATACATCTGAAAACCGCTTCATACATTAAAAATACACTCACAAATAATTACTTATGCTACTGCATTTTAATCATCTGCTTTCACTTTTCATCAACCTCACCAAATAAGAAGGCCTTGTTTTATTCGTCTTTAAATTTTAGCAACTTGGATAGTGCCTACTACATGGTAGGCATTTGATATATCTTTTTGGAATAAATGAACTATAAGACATAGGTATTTTTTAAATTAATAGTACTTTTATCCATTTCTAAGTAAATGAACATGAGGCTATAACTTTAGTCTTTAGGAGAAACCACTAAATATGGTGTTAGTAGATGTCCCTCAAAGCTATATGTGTAACTCAAACATGTATAAAATGATTGCCACAATGATTACTCTACCACAGCCAACAAATAAGTGAGATAGCTACTAGGAACTTAAACACTACTCTCTTCATACAGCATTTAAATAGCAGTGATTTTGACAATGCTGGATTACTGCATTTTTGTTCTTTGATATACTTGTACTGTACATTGGGAAATGGATGAAAAGTTATTAAAAACTCAGTACAAGATGTTTTCTTTACAAACTCTGAAAAATGTACCAAAAAATACAGTGTAGGAATATGCACAATGAAGCCTCTTCTTCGCTGTCAGCTTGCAAATACCTTGGTTCCATGTTACAGAATAGAACCAAGACGTACAACTTGTTACTCCTCCAGAGATACTATGGGTATAAAGTAGTATGATTCTCTTCTCTATTGACAACAGGGGGACATATAAGACTTCAGATTTTTAATTTATTTATCTATCCATCCATCCATCCATCCATCCATTTAAGACAGGGTATCACTCTAACCCAGGCTGGAGTGCAGTGGCATGATCACGAGTAGCTGGGACTACAGGCGGGCGCCATCATGCCTAGCTAATTTCTGTATTTTTGTAGAGATGGGGTTTCACCATATTGCCCAGGCTGGTCTCAAACTCCTGGGTTCAAGCAATCTGCCCGCCTCGGCTTCCCAAAGGGCTGTGATTACAGGCATGAGCCCCTGCGCCGGGCCAGATTTCAGATTTTCAAATTTGCCAAGTTTCTGTATAGATTCTGTAACTATATGGCTATAATCAAAAGTATTTTTCCACAAATCAAAGTTACTAGGGCTTGGGCATCTAATTTTTAAATTATTTAACTTCTTCTAAAACATTCTCCCTCTTTCACTTTAAAAATTAAACAGTCACAAATTGGACTACATTTTGAAAAGGAGACAACAGCAAATGTATACCATATGTAAGATGTGGAAACCTGGAGATAATAGCACAATTTATTGGGCTGCTATCTTAGAAACTATGTAGACACCAAGAAGCCAAAACATGAAAGGAAATGGCTCCAAGGAAGTCAATGACAGGGATTTTGCTGGGTGACTTAACAACCCAATTGCTAAGGACTTTTTGAGATGTACTGTAATTGGCTAGACCTTGATTACAAAATCAGATTATAGACTGTTTTTATATTTCACTACAAAAATTTGGGGGCATGTATATCAATCACTGGATGGGGTGGTTGAGGCTTCTAACACTGTCATTAGCTTAACTGTTCTGCTAAAAAGGAAAACTAAATACCCTTCCAGGAGGCCTGGATTTCATTGCTTTTAATTTAGTCAAAATTTAGTTTAAAATGCACAAAGGAAATACTGCCTGGGGAGTCCAGGAAAGCTTTCAAGAAGCAAGCCATGTGCTTAAGACAGACAGGGGCTCCTGTATAAAGAGGGAATAGAAGGTCCCCTCTGAGGCCCCCCAGCCAGCCACGTGGCCATCCACGTGATGACAAACACCCCTCTCCACATCCCCAGCACAATGTGACATCACTCCACATTTTGGGACCTCAGTTTCCTCATCTGTAAAGCAAGAAGGGGCTGGACTAGTCAAGCTCCTTCTAATTCTAAAATACTATTCTATTTTATGACTTTAGCAGGATACTTCTATCCTGCCTACAAATAAAATACACTAAGGAAAGAGCTCCTTCAATGACATCTTTTTTCTCACCACCTTTGATGTGTCTTAGAAGCAGAAGCAGATGCTTCTATGATTGTTTCTCATGGATTCCCATGTGCTTTGCATGTTACTAGTGGAGCTACAAATGGCGACGCCACTACACACATACTCCCCAGCTTATTGGGGCTACTTTGAAAAGGGATTTGAAAAACACAAGGTTTTTGAACACATTTAAATCATACCATTAAAATAGTGTACATGAGTTTTCTTACCCTTAAAAAAAAAAAGCCTTATATTCCCACAGTACGTACTTGTAAATGGCTTAAGGTCCTCACACAGATGCCAGTTAACTTTATAATATAAGGAAATGAACAGTAGATTATAGAGTGTCCTACCGAACCTCTCTGGGAGCCCTGTAAATTTAGATTTCTTTATTTTATCTATGCTGAGATTAAACTTGGAGAATGCAGAATTAACTTAATTTCTGTACATCTATATAATGTTCTCTCCAATTATGCTGGGTTATTTTTAAGAGTTTCTCATTCACTCAATGATATGCTTAATGTTATGATTAAATATCACAATGGTTAACACTGCTGATTTTTTTTTTTGAGACAGCGTCTTGATCTATTGCCCAGGCTGCAGTGCAGTGGCATGATCACAACTTACCACAGCCTCCAACTCCTTGGCTCAAGCGATCCTCCCACCTCTGTCTCCTGAGTAGCTGGGACTACATGGGGTCCCATGGCCAGGTGCAGTGGCTCACACCTGTAATCCCAGCACTTTGGGAGGACGAGGCAGGCGGATTACGAGGTCAAGAGATTAAGACCATCCTGGCCAACATGGTAAACCCCATCTCTACTAAAAATACAAAAATTAGCTGGGCGTGGTGGTGTGCACCTGTAGTCCCAGCTACTCGGGAGGCTGAGGCAGGAGAATTGCTTGAAACCAGGAAGCGGAGGTTGCAGAGAGCCAAGATCGCATCACTGCATTCCAGCCTGGTGACAGAGTAAGACTCCATCTCAAAAAAAAAAAAAAAAAAAAAAGATGGGGTCTCATTTTGTTGCCAAGGCTGGTCTCAAACTTCTGGCTTCAAGTGATCCTCCCACCTCAGTCTCCCAAACTGCTGGGATCACATGCATAAGCCATGGCACCTGGCCTAGTTGCTGAATATTTCACCATGCACTAGGTACTATTCCACTTTACTCAGATTCTCCCCCACCCCAACAAGCCTACACCTGAGGAAACAGAGGCACAAAGAGATGGCAAGTCACAAAGCTAGAATCTGCGTCCTGTGTTCTAACCCCACAACCCACTTGTATAAACTCTGGATGGCAAACATATCTAGCACCTGACAACATGCTGCATGATCAAAGACGATTAAGACAAGCACTTAGTTTACAGGCGGTGGAGTCTGCCAAACACATAAAAAATAATTACAACATGATATGTATGCTGTAACACAGACCTTTAAAAATTGCCATGGAAAGACAGGAAGAGAGAGAGTTTGCCAGGGGAGTTCAGCGAGGCTTCCATTTGATCTGGGTACTGAAAGACGAGCAGGCATTCCTGTAGTGGAGGAAGAATGGAAGGGCATTCCAGGTAAAGAACAAGATGTGCTGAAATACGTAAAGGTGAGTGAACTCAGTGTGAGGTGAGGGAATTCAGTGTGGCAGTAGGGAGAGACAGGGAGGGGACAGCACTGTGAAGATTTGACAGGCTAGCTACCTGGACCCCTTTCAACATCAATGCCCATTTGGCTAAGAATGGCCAATAAAGCAGGGTCCCCTTTATAGTTACCTCCTGAAGTGATCACATGTGATAGAGCTGGAGTGGGTATGGAGTTCTGAAGACTTTCAAATGCAAATAATTCTGGGGTACAAACAAGACATTAAGAACAATAGCTGAATTCACCGATTAGCTTAATTTTAGAGCCACGAGGCCCAGGCTGAGGACGGCACACAGAAGGGGAGGTCGGCCTGGCGTGGTGGCTCATGCCTATAATCCCAGCACTTTGGGAGGCCAAAGCAGGGGGATTGCTTGAGCTCCAGGAGTTTGAGACCAGCCTGGGAAACAAAGCGAGACCCCTTCTCAAAAAACAAAAGAAAAAGGGAAGGGGCAGTAAACAAGTTCTGATGTTGAATTGCCATATACTCTAAAGCCTAGGTGTGTGGCCCTTAAAGACCCATGAACAAAACATTGTGTGTATGTCTGTGTGTGTTTTCTGGGGAGGATGCCCACAGGCTTCACCAGACTCTCAAAGGGATCAACGATCCCCCAAAACATGAACAATCACTGCTTTCAAGCCAGCTGGGAGTCAGACCTCCGAGCAACCTCTACCACCTGGAGAAACCCCAAGACATAGTAAGCAAAAAAAAAAAAAAAAGAAAATCACTGCAAGCAAAGTGAGAAAGTAAACTCTCCCTTCCTCGCTCCCTTGACTTTTAGAAACTACGACAAACACTTTAACCTCAGCCTGTTCAATGCCTTTAAGATCAGAGATAGTCATGTTTGCCTAACTTTATTCAGGTCCTATTACGCAAGCCTGCTACCTATTCAGGACCCCAAATGTTCATGATCTGCCGATAAGGTATTCATTCACCCTTCAATTTGTAATCTAATTCTCCTAAGAAAAGCCTCCCGTCTAAACAGTGAAAACAGTAGGAAAATGCAGGAAGCTGGATCCACAGGGCAGGTACTTAATTAACTTCTCTAAAGTAATATTTAAAAGAAACTTTAAAAATCCAACCACACTTCAGTGAAACTCATTTTAATTTTCTACCACAAGATTAAAAGGATGACTGGTCCCTGAGGAAAAAAATAATCACCACGGAATCTGAAGACAAGAAACCTTATTTACAGATGGGCAATTTGGCCCCTGGTGGGACATGAACATTGAGCCAGCATCTCCAGCATCTGTCAAAATCCTCACATCTTTCAGCACCGGCACTGCCAGATTTCACTGCTGAACTCCGTGCTGCGTCTTTAAAGCAGTGCAGTCAAGGGACTGTAAGTAACTTTTCAGGAAAGAGACAGAGAAGCCTGCAGGCACTCTTTGGGCACGGTGGGAAGCAGCATAGAGTGGTGGTTAAGAACAACACCATCGATAAGAGTCAGCAGCCGCCTGGTCTCAAAGGCCAGCCTTGATCACATTACAGCTGTGTGACCTCAGGCAAGTTAATTTCCCTCTCTGCTGTTTTTTTACCCATGAAATGGGGCTCAGAACTGTACCTCCTCCTAGGATTGTTAGGAGAACTTAGGAAGTTAATGTCTGTAAAAATGTTTAGAACAATATCTGGGACGTAGGAAGTGCCTGACAAATTGTACACTAACTCTTACCAAAACCCTTTAAGAAAAAAAGCCACCGGGCCGGGCTCGGTGGCTCATGCCCATAATCCTAGCACTCTGGGAGGCCGAGGTGGGCAGATTGCCTGAGGTCGGGAGTTCGAGACCAGCCTGGCCAACATGGAGAAACCCCGTCTCTACTAAAAATACAAAATTTAGCGGGGCGTGGTGGCACATGCCTTAATCCCAGCTACTCAGGAGGCTGAGGCAGGAGAATCGCTTGAACCAGGGAGGCGGAGGTTGTTGTGAGTCAAGATCAGGCCATTGCACTCCAGCCTGGGCAACAAGAGCGAAACTCCATTTCAAAAAAAAGAAATTAAAATTACGCTACATATCAAATATACACATATAAAATACATACTTAAATTATGGATGCAGAGAGGACTCATGCTATATATACGTTTCAATATATTAAGGAACCTAGCCTTAGCTTTTGAAGGAAGATAGGAATTTCCATAAAAGTAGTAATAATGGAATAAATGCCTATAATCTCAGCACTTTGAGTGAGAGGCCAAGGCGGGAGGATCACTTTAGTCTAGGAGTTTGAGACCAGCCTGGGCAACATAGTGAGACTTTGTCGCTACAAAAACTACAGAAAATTAGTTGGGCGTGGTGATGCATGCCTGTAGACCCAGCTACTTGGGAGGCTGAGGTGGGAGGACTGCTTGAGTCTGGGAGGCTGAGGCTGCAGTGAGCTGAAATTGTACCACTGCACTCCAGCCTGGGTGGATGACAGAGTGAAACCCTGTCTCTAAATAAATAAATAAATACATGGAATAAAAAGTTAATATTTAATAATGGGCTAATGCTAATTTGTGTGTGTGTGCGCGCGTGTACCCAAGAAAATAAAATCCAAGAGTGTCAAAAAACTTGGAAATACAACAGCCATGCTTCAAAGGACTAGAGCACAAAAAAGAAATTGTCACTGATCACTGAGCACCGCTTTTACCGTGCTTTAAAGGTTACTATGTCTAATAATAAGGGCCTTCTTTCTAGATCAAATTCTGTACCAGACACTGTGTAACATTTTACATATCATATCTCCTTTAATCCTCACAACTCCACGAAGTAGGCATTATTATCCTCATTCTCTTCTTACAAACAGATGAAAAGATTAAGATCTAGAGAGGTTAAAGATCACCTAGCCAGCCAAACGGAGCAGAGTATGAACCTAGTTATGAATCCAGTATAACCATGCACCCTTAGTAACTAACTTATAATTAAATTTCCAATGTCACAAAAGCTGGGCTTATTGACCGACTGCTCTATAACCTGCCCTCATTTCATGTCTCAGTGATATCCCCTTTCAAATAATTATAACAATGATAGCAACTTTCCACCTGTTGAGCACCTATTTACATTCTATTGAGGCATGATCTATAATTATCGCTACCATCCATATGCAACTCTATGTTGTGGATTTTGTTATTCCCAATTTATTCAAGAAGAACTAGCTTCAAAGAAAGTAACTTGCCCAAGATAGCACAGCTAATAAGTGTCAGAGCCAGGTTAGGAGACCAGGATGTCAAACCTAACACTGGCTGACCCAAAACTCATGCACTATGAAGACATCAAAGCCCATCCAAGGCCCAGCATGGTGGCTCATGCCTGTTCCCAGCACTTTGGAAGACGGAGGTGGGCAGATTCCTTGAGGTCAGGAGTTAGAGACCAGCCTGGCCAACATGGTGAACCTCTGTCTCTACAAAAAATACAAAAATGAGCCGGGCATGGTGGTGCACGTCTGAGGTCCCAGCTACTTAGAAGGCTGAGGCAAGAGAATGGCTTGAACCCGGGAGGCAGAGGTTGCAGTGAGCCAAGATCGTGCCATGGCACTCCAGCCTGGGTGGCAGAGTGAGACTCAGTCTCCAAAAAAACAAAACAACAACAACAAAAAAAACAAAAAACCCATCCAGATTTTTGTAATACAAACCTAGTTTAAACCCCCGCACCATCCTGCCTTTCTTCCTGAGAGAGATCTTCTCTCTTGGCAAGGGACCCATGTGACTACTTATCTCTGAAAAACTAAACTAAGATTTACTATTTCCGGGAGGTCCTCCCCTCCCCACCCCCAACCCTCAACTTCCTCCCCACCAATTCACCCTGCAGATTGTTTGGTCCTGAGACACAAGCAGAAATAAATAACTAAAAGAGAGACGAAAGAAGAAATGGATGGGAAGTGGCCGTTACTCCTACAATAGATGGCCCCTGAGCCCCTGGAAGCCCCGCCCATACTAGAGAACAAGCACAGGCCTAACTCAGGATTTGCCAGGCCTTCCCCTTTGCAGCCCAGCCCTCACTGTCCCCTCCGAGGTAGCTAGGCAACCAGGCCCTGCATACACAAAGAGGAAAGAGGTGCCAAGCCCTGCCAGACAGGTCTTCAAGCAAAAGCAGAACTGGTGACCTACAAATATCCACAAGGTGCCGGAACACATGAACAAAGAGATAGGGACAAGTATTACAGATGTTTGAGAGTCTGGATCTCCAGTCGAAGAAAGAATAAAAAGAGCCCTGGTACAACACTGGTAGACAGAGAACTGGTAGGCGAGGCTGGGAAACCAGATAACAAAGCCCACGGCGATTCAGAACCCAGAGTAAACAGGCTGGAAGTGAGGCTGAGCAGCTCTCCTGCCTAAGGCATGGACTTTGCCAGGTACATTTCAACTGCTCGGAGACCTGGAGCCAGGTCCTGGTTCTCAACCCCACTTGGGATAGCTGCAATGAACATGATGGCTACAAAATGAACCTGTAGAAGAAAGGGACTTGCTGCGATCATAGAATTCCCTGTTTCACCCATTTCCCCAGCACATGAAGTAGATAAAAAGAAATATTTATTGAAAATGCAACTCTTGTGTCAGTAAAATACATCCATCCAATACCATGAATTATAAACTTGGGATATTTTGTTTTAAAAGTGCATTTGTTATGTATTTTTCCTATGATTTTCTTGGGTGTGGTTATCTACACAAGAAAAAGATGAAAACAATGAGCCCAGATAGAAAGTTTTCTAAAATCCACACTCAGGTATCTATTTAAATTTGTTCAGAAACGTACATTTGGGTTTCTCTTGTACATTATTAAGTTCCTACAAAGGAGGTGCTACGGAACACTCTCATGCCTAAATGAGGCGCAGATTTCTATATAAAATAACAGCAGGCCAGGTGAGGTGGCTCAACGCCTATAATCTCAGCACCTTGGGAGGCTGAGGCAGGAGGACTGCTTAAGCCCAGGAGTTCGAGACGAGCCTGGGTAACATAGCAAGACCTCTATTACTAAGAAAATTTAGTATTATTATTATTTAAGAAAATTTCGGCCAGGCGCAGTAGCTCAAGTCTGTAACCCCAGCACTTTGAAAGGCTGAGGTGGGTGGATCACCTGAGGTCAGGAGTTCAAGACCAGCCTGGCCAACTGGCGAAACCCTATCTAAATTAAAAATACAAAATTAGCCAGACATGATGGAGGGTGCCTGTAATCCCAGTTACTCAGGAGGCTGAGACAGGAGAATCACTTGAACCCAGGAGGTGGAAGCCAAGATCGCACCACTGCACTCCAGCCTGGGTGACAGAGCAAGACTCCATCTCAAAATAAAATAAAATAAAAATAAAATAAAATAAAATAAAAAAATAAGAAAAAGAAAAACAACAGTAGATTATCCTACCCATCCCAGCCCCCTACTGCTTTTAAGAACTTTTTCTCAATTACCTACCTGGTTATTACTTTATTCTTATCTCTATCATAGCAACCAGCTTTTTTTTTCTTTTTTCTTTTTTGAGACAGAGTCTCGCTATGTCACCCAGGCTGGAGTGCAGTGTTGCGATCTTGACTTACTGCAACCTCCGCCTCCCGGGTTCAAGCAATTCCCCTGCCTCAGCCTCCCGAGTAGCTAGGACTATAGGTGCGTGCCACCACACCCAGCTAATTTTTGTATTTTTAGTAGAGACGGGATTTCACCATGTTGGCCAGGATGGTCTCGATCTCTTGACCTTGTGATCCACCTGCCTCAGCCTCCCAAAGTGCTGGGATTACAGGCATGAGCCACCATGCCCGGCCAGTAAAACAGCCTTTTTAACCTTGTGTGTAATACTTTCCACCTAACCCATAAAACATGTGAGGATATGACATTATCCTTGGCACATAGTAGGTACCTAGAAAATTTGTAAAAAATAATTTGTCATGTTTGGCTTTCAAATGTAGGAATACTAAATATGATATTTGAAAATGATGTTTGTACTTAAGGAATTTTTAATAAGAAACACAAACATAACAAAAACACTATAGAGGATTTATGGAAACATCACCACAAAGTAGTGACATAATTCCTACATGTTCTTTAAGAAATTTACTTTAAATGATTGCTGCACATTTGCCTGTCCAGAACTAAAGTTAAATTATCCTGGTGGCTGCTGTCTGGTGATAATTTCTTAGTGCCAGGAAGCTGGTGAGTATGTGATTAAACATGTTTCCCCCTTAGCTCCACCCTAGATGCTATCAGGTTTGCTAACCAGAAGGTTCTGCAGCTGACCAGCTCATGCGCACACTCACACACACACACTCTCTCTCACACACACACACACCTCCCTAAGAAAACAAATTTTCACAAGAGTAATTACATACAAATTCTAAATCTCTAACCTGTACTTTTAAGCTCATCATCTTCACAATTCAGCACAAATAAATTTAAAGCATGGGATGAAAATAAATCAAAATTAGCCATTTTCATGACTTCAAATAGGTAAGTATTTTAAACTTTTAACTGATAATGTCACTAAAATACTAACTAGCCTGTCAATTGACTGAAAGTTTCTAAACCATTCCTAACTACTGTTCCTAGATAGACCCCGGACTCTCTTCATCTTCTGCCCTGATGACCCTTCAACTCTGAACTACTCTGCTACAATAGAGGAAGCATTTACAGGGAAAACACTACAACATGAAACACGAAGGCTTGACAGATTTTCCTTTTCTCATTTTATTCAAGTTCGGCAAATGTCTAATAGGTTGATTCCCTGCATAAGTAATTTTCCCAAAAGATAGTATCTTTCTAATTGGGAAATGAAGAAGCCTCCCGATAAAGTCTACAACATTGCTGAAAGTTAGAATCACATGCAATCAGTCCAGCCACTGAGAAACACTTCAACTGACCCGCATGAAAAATGCCCATCTAGCTCTGTGACCTTAAACTAGTAACTTTACCTCTGTGGACTTCAGTTTCATTTGGTGATTTGTCTCTTTTAACTACAATATTTCAAAATGGGTTTTGATATCCGGTGTGGAAAGTCCCCCCGAGTTCTTTTCCAAATTTTCTTGGCTTTATGTATGTTTATAAGTCCAGCTGACTTATAGATTAGCTTGTCAAATTCTGTTTAAAGTACTTGGGAATTTTTATCAGAATTTCATTTAATGTTTAATTTGGAGAAAAGAGACTTTACAATATCTATCCACAGAAATACAATCTGTATCTCCATTTACTTGGTATTTTCTTTCTTTTTTTTTTTTTGAAGCAGGGTCTTGCTCTATCACCCAGAATGAAGTGCAGTGGTGTGATCACGGCCCACTGCAGCCTCAACCTCCCAAGCTCAAGTGATCCTCCCACCTAAGCCTCCAGAGTAACTGGGACTACGGGCACACATCACCATGTCCAGTTAATTCTTTGGGTTTCTTTTGTTGAGACAAGGTCTTGCCATGTTGCCCAGGCTGGTCTCGAGCTCCTGGGCTCAAGCAATCCATGCATGTCGTCCTCTCAAAGTGCTGGGATTACACACATGAGCCACTGCACCAGACCTATTCAGGTCTTTTCTGTCCTTCAGAATGCAGTATTCTTCAAGCTGTTCTTGCAAATTTGTTTTTCATTGCTGTCAAGAATGGTATCTGTTTTTTATTATGTGTTCTAATTGATTAGTACAGGGTGAGAATCCCTTATGTGAAATGACTGGGACCAGATGTGTTTCAGATTTTGGAATATTTCCATATTTTAAAAATAATGAGATATGTTGGGGATGGGAACCAAGTCTAAACACAAAATTCATTCGCTTCATATACACCTTATAAACATAGCCTGAAGGTAGTTTTATAAAACATTTTTAATACTCATGTGCATGAAAACCAAGTTTTGACTGAAACCTGTCACATGAGGTCAAGTGTGGAATTTTCCACTTGTGGTACGTCAGTGCTCAAAAAGCTTCAGATTGTGGGGCATTTTGAGATTAGAAATGCTCTCTACCTGTACTACTTTCCTATGCTGACACACACACACACACACACACACACACACACATTTTTGAGATGCAATCTCACTCTGTCGCCCAGGCTGGAGTGCAATGGCATGATCTTGGCTCACTGCTACCTCTGCCTCCCAGTTTCAAGCGATTCTCCTGCCTCAGCCTCCTGAGCAGCTGAAACTACAGACGTGCACCACCATGCCCGGATAATTTTTGTATTTTTAATAGAGATGGGGTTTCGCCATGTTGGCCAGGCTGGTCTTGAACACCCAACCTCAGGTAATCCACCCACCACAGCTTCCCAAAGTGCTAGGATTATAGGCCTGAGCCATTGCGCCCAGCCATATTTTTAAAAATAAAATTAAAACCCTGTGATTTTTGTGTTTTTCTCATCTGGACATCTTACTGAAGTTTATTAGTTCTGTTTTTTTTTTTTTTTCAACTGATAATCTTGGATTTTCTATGCAGATGATGACATTTACAGCAAATGATAACAGGGGCCTATCTTTAAAAGGACAAGCAAAAAGACTAGGGAAAATATTTCTAAAATATATTAAAGACAAAAACAATCAATGTTTACAACGTATAAAGAGTGCCAAGGCCAGGAGCGGTACTCATGTGCATGAGTACCTGTACCACTAAAACAGATTTGGGAGGCCGAGCATTTTGGGAGGCTGAGGCGGATGGATCACTTGAGGTCAGGAGTTTGAGACCAGCTTGGCCAACATGGTAAAACCCAGTCTCTACTAGAAATACAAAAATTAGACAGGCCTGGTGGCACATGCCTGTAGCCCCAGCTATTCAGGAGGCTGAGGCAAGAAAATCGCTTGAACCCAGGAGACGGAGGTTGCAGTGAGACAAGATCACGCCACTGCACTCCAGCCTGGGTGACAGAGTGAGACCCTGCCTCGAAAAATAATAATAATAATAGTAATAAAGAGTGCCTACAAAATCAAAAATGCAATCTAACAGAAAAATAGACAAAAGATAACCAAATTGTGGAAAAACTAAAAATAGCTAATGAACACTTGAAAATGATACACTTCTTTAATAAGAAAAATACAAAACACAACAATGAAATGCCCTCTTCTAGCCAATGATTACAGAGTAAGAAGGACAATCTCTAAGCCAGGCCAGGCGGTGTGCACCTGCGTCCCAGCTACTGGGGAGACTGAGGCGGGAGGACCCCTTGAGCCCAGGAGTTTGAAGCTAGCCTGAGCAACATAGCAAGATCCCCTCTCTTAAAAAAGAAAAAGAAACACAATCTCAAATGTTAGAAAGGGTATTGAGAAATGGACAAGCTAGATGGGACTATAAATTGATGTAATTGTAGAGAGCAATTCGGCCTTATCTACTCAAAATTAAACGCACATCACTTTCATCCAGAAATTGCATTTCTAGGAATCTCAATATTAAACAAGTTCTAGAATTAACAAGTTATATTATAAATGACATATGGTTAAAAAAGATTTTTAAACAGCACATAAGTTGTTCAAGTATATATGTAGTTATTCTTCATATACCTATGTGTTACGTATGGTAACACATATCAACTATACCAACGTACATATCGTGTTTCATGAAGAACACATAGGCAAAATAAAATTCACATTTTTAATTACAAAAGTACACATAGTTGAATTCTAAAAAGTTAAAATGTTACAGCAGGAAATGGGTAATATATTTTGGAACATCCATACATTGAAACACTATGTGGCTACTAAAAAAAGAATGTGTTACAGCTGCACATACTAACATGGAAGTTCTAAACTTTAACGTCAAGTTAAAATTTAAAAGAGGGAGCAAAAAAGATAAAAGACATATTTACAGACATGTTAAGTACATAAAAAGATGCACATTAAACCGTTAACTGTGGTCACACTTCTGGACAGCAAATGGGGATGGGGTTGGGAAATTGAGGGGGAATGTACATGGCATTGTTTACTGGATGTACTTCCATACTTTTACATGTTTAAAAAGTCACAATTACTGAAAACTTCATAATTTTTCAAAAACAGAAAAATGAGATGACATGATGACATTCATGTTTTTTTGGTTTGCAACTTTCTAGAAGTTTCTATAAAACAGGTTTTCTGAGACATCTCCACGTTGATTTCAACCACTGATAATCAGTTATCTGGGACTAAGTAGTGAAGGTTCACTGTGAATCAGCACCATGAAGGCTCTAAGAAAAAACAGAGGGCATTGGACAATTCCAAATGTTCTGGTAAAAGCTTAAATATCCAGTCATCGTGATATATTTGGTTTTCTTTCTACAGAAGTAAAATATTTTAACATTGTAACAAACCTACCAGTGTTCACAAACACAATCAGAAGATTTTACTGTATTCTTAAACTAGCTTAAAAAAATAAAAATAAAAAAAAGGTCCATCTGTCTCTTAGAAGAACAAACTCCCCCAACAAAAAACAAAACAAGGCCAGGAGCAGTGGTTCACACCTGTAATCCCAGTACTTTGGAAGGCCAAGGCGGGCAGGATCACTTGAGGTCAGGAGTTCAAAACCCACCTAGCCAACATGGCAAAACCCCGTCTCTACTAAAAATACACAAATTAGCTGGGCATAGTGGTGCATGCCTGTAATCCCAGCTATTTGGGAGGCTGAGACAGGAGACTTACTTGAACCCAAGAGGCAGAGCTTGCAGTGAGTCGAGATTGCACCACTGTAGTCCAGCCTAGGCGACTGAGGGAGACTCTGTCTCAAAAACAGAAAAAAAGGCAGGGTGCAGTGGCTCACACCTGTAATCCCAGCACTTTGGGAGGCCGAGGCAGGCGGATCACGAGGTCAGGAGATCGAGACCATCCTGGCTAACACGGTGAAACCCCACCTCTACTAAAAATACAAAAAATTAGCTGGGCCTGGTGGCACATCCCAGCTACTCGGGAGGCTGAGGCAGGAGAATGGCATGAACCCAGGAGACGGAGCTTGCAGTGGGCCAAGGTCGTACCACTGCACTCCAGCCTGGGCAACAGAGCGAGACTCCATCTCAAAAAGAAAAATTAGCCAGGCATGGTGGTGGGCACCTGTTACTAGGGAGGCTGAGACATAATAATGGCTTGAACCCGGGAGGCAGAGGTTGCAGTGGGCAGAGATCACACCACTGCACTCCAGCCTGGGCGACAGAGGGAGACTCTGTCTCAAGCAAAACAAAACAAAACAAAGGACAACAACAACAAAACAATGAAAATCACCAAGAGGGTAGGATAAGGGGCCAAAGAGTCTGTTAGACTGGAAAGCAACACTGTATGTCCTATGGATTAACATTTACACAAACATTAACTCCACTAATGGACAGCCTTTTCTACTCTTCATCATTTTGTTTAGTTTATCTGGCAAGAGGGATGCAAAACAAACCCAAGAAGAAACAGGGAACATCGCTAGGGTATACACAATTCTCCCAACTCATAAACCACTAGGGTATTGGGAAACAACACTCTACATCCTGGCTCTCAGGGATTTCCCAATTCTGAAAATCCCACATTGCAATGGCACATATCACTTGGAATGTTACAAAGGGGATTCATTGTGTTACGTTAAAACTTAGCCCCATACACAGTAATTTTAAGTATAAGGCTAACACAAAAACAAATTGACCAACTTCAGAAGCACTTCTCTTAGATGAAGACATCAGTATGTCTTTTCTTCTATGCAACATGCTCCTGGAATAACTCTTCCAAGGAGTCATCCTTTTCAAAGACCAGAGGAAAAGCTGTCAAACATCGCACAAGGCAGAGTGTGTACACACACTGCCCTAACACACCAAGCAGTCTTATTCCAGGTTTTCCCAAGGCCAGTCAATACAGACTTTCCAGCCAAGCCTATACTCCCAGGTCTGTCTTGGCCTCTCCCCATCCAAGACTCTTGAGTTTCCTGAAGCACCCTCCCAGAACCTGATATCTGATAATTGATTATCCATAAAAATGCTTACTGGATAGATGAAAGAGATGATGCATTATCAGAAGTGAATGAAGCTCGGTATGACTGAAGCATAGGGTCTGCAGGAGAAAGTTGCAGATGAGACCATCTGGCAAGTGGACACAGTTAAAGGTTTTAAGCAGAGTGGCAGAGTATATTTCCATTCTGTGAAAGGTTAGCTGGCTCTCCTGAAGACAGCAAGGACTGAAAAGCAGACAAGGCTGGAAACAAGGAAAGTGGCTTAAGGCTGAAATGGCTGTGCAGAAGCTTTGCTGGTAGCCTGAAATAGGACAGCAGCAGGGTAAAGGTAAGTCAACAGATTTGAGAGATATTTGGAAAGTAGAATTGTTGAATCTGGTGATGGATTAGTCAGGGAGGGGAGGGGAAGGGCTGGGCACCTAGGTGAAGGCTGTGACTCCTAGAGAGGAGGAACACAGGGGTGCAGGTTAGATGGTGGGGATAAGGGGATCATTTACTGGACACATTAGCATCCAGCTAGAAGTGGTGTAGACACTTGGATCTTTGAATCTGGATTTCAGGACAGAAGTCTGGGACAAAGGACACCATCCATGGGAATGCAGGACCACGAGAAATGAAGAGGCAGGACGGAGTGCCAAGGAACACTATCATTTACAAGCCAAATTCAGGAGGAAAGGGGAAAAGGAGAATGTAGGGGTGGGGTCAGGGAGGAAGAGGAAAGTCAACCAAGTGTGGTGTCATGGAGGCCAAGGGAAGGGAACATCAAGGATGGAAAAATCCAAAATGTAACCTCTGTCAGTGCTGGGAAAAATAGTGAATTTTGTTTCCTTCCTCATACTTTATTTTCCCAGGATCCTCAATAACATGCAGTTTATTATTAATCAGAAAAAAAAATCTGTTTAAGAAAATTACAAAAATCTGTTATGATACCCTCATAAATTAAAGAGCCACAGATAGTGTACTATCCATAGGGCATGTGTTTTGAATTTGTTTTCTGGGTCTGGTGACGGATTAGTACTGATCTTTCTATCTGCTCCGGCCTCATGACCAGTGATACATATTGCCCAGCCTCCTGGCCAAGGTCTGGGATCCCAGCAGAGCAGAGCTGGCTGACCCATACACAGATGGCCCAGTGACCTTGGGTTCATTAGCATACTGTTCTAATCAAGTGAGCTAACCAGCAACAGACCTGGCCTACTTTGTCCCACTTCCCACCACTACTGAGGCCAAAGTTCCTCAACTCTGCACCATTTCCTATAAACAAGAGATTGCCTATAAACATCCACAGATACAGGAGGTCCAAGGCTCACCAAAAATATTTGTTCATTGTTTCTAAATAGGATTTATGTTTACTTACAAGCTATCTGCCCTGGCGAAAAGAAGTGTATCATTAATAAAAATGGCGACAGCCACTGAGCCAGCATAGACAGCAATCAATGACCCACTGCCTGTTGTTCTGATGACATCAAAAGGAGAGGAGGGGGTGGGGGAGGAGGGGGCACGACAAAAATAAATATTTCTAAGGTCAACAAAGATTTAAGAAATAACACTCTGGCTGGGCACGGTGGCTCACACCTGTAATCCCAGCACTTTGGGAGGCTGAGGTGGGCGGATCACCTGAGGTCAGGAGTTCAAGACCAGCCTGGACAACATGGCAAAACCCTGTCTCTACTAAAAATACAAAATTAGCTGGATGCGGCTCACGCCTGTAATCCCAACACTTTGAGAGGCTGAGGCAGGCAGATCATGAGGTCAAGAGATCGACACCAGCCTGGCCAACATGATGAAACCCAGTCTCTACTAAAAATACAAAATTAGCCAGGCGTGGTGGCACATGCCTGTAGTCCCAGCTACTCAGGAGGCTGAGGCAGGAGAATTGCTTGAACCTGGGGAGGCGGAGGTTGCACTGAGCCGAGATCATGCCACTGAACTCCAGCCTGGGCAACAGAGTGAGACTCTTAAAAAAGAAAAAAGAAATAATGTTCTAACATTCTAACCTTGTGCCACTTTCTTGATGCTCCCCACCGCACCAAATATTGGTATTTATCTTACAGGATTCACCTGTGATAGCACTCTTCTTGGAGCAGGCTGAGAGTAGCTATCATTCTCTCTACTTACAAAATTTGAAAAGTATAGGGGTTATTTTACTTGACCTCAAGGGATCCAGAAAGAGATGCCCACTCTCCTTCCAGAGAGAGAAATAGGGATCAATTCGAACAATGCTGGCCAGGCATGGTGGCTCATGCATGTAATCCCAGAACTTTGGGAGGCCAAGGTGGGAGGATTGCTTGAGGCCAGGAGTTTGAGACCAGCCTGGCAAAAACCTATCTCTATTAAAAAATACAAAAATTAGCTGGGCATAGTGGTGCATGCCTGTACTCCCAGCTACTCAGGAGGCTGAGGCAGGAGAATCACTTGAACCTGAGTGGCAGAGGCTGCAGTGAGCCAAGATGGTGCCACTGCACTCCAGCCTGGGCAACAGAGCAAGGCTCTGCCTCAAAACAAACAAACAAACAAAAACAATGTCAATTAGAAAAGTCCAGCCTGCTTAAAAAACTGGAATGTGTTCCAGACACCACCTTGGACTTCAGTGGCCCCATCTTTTTAAGTGAGGGTGTTAAACAAATACGGTTCTTGGGTGACCTTCCAGCTCAAAAGGCCTATGATAGCCTAAATCGATGTCATTATACTGACAACCTGGGTAGGAGGGAAAAATCTTGGAAAGTAGCTTTTGAATATGTAAATGTCCATGTTTACATACTATTGTTGGAAATGTCTGTTTCATGAGAAGTTAACAAACTTTTATAGACCTCTCTATTGAATATGTGTGGATTTTAATTCATTGGTTTAAAAAAAATGAAGTACTATTGGAATGTTTTATCTACTATTTTTCTCTCCTCCTCAATACAGCACTTAAAAAAGAATGAACCAACTTCAAATAATTCTTGGGATAAGTAGCCTATCTTTCCAGGAAAAGAAAATGTAAGAACTTAACTTGGACTGGAGTATCTCTGTTTAAATGGATTTTACTATAATTGGTTTTGAGAGGGCAAGAACCATGGAGATGAGGTGCTAAAAATAGATGTAGTAAAGTTGGGGGGAAAGTACGTGCGAGACTGACACTAATAATTACAAAAAAAAAAAAAAGTAGTGTCATTCCTATTAAAATAAGAAACCTGAGCCCATTCCGGGAACAGTCATGGACTGCCACAGTCATCTGGGCTCAGGGCTGGCCCTGTTCCCCACAAAGGTCCCTCAGCCTCAGTGGACAGCCTTATAAGGCAACCAAGCTCAGAGAGAAGATAAGAACACCAAGCACTTAACATTTCCAGAGGCCTCTGCAAATATTAACTCATTAATTCTCACAGTGTTCTGTGAAAGCCCTGCTACTATCAGTTCCAAAAGACACTGGGGAAGAAAGATGCCTAATTACAACTAATTATAGCAAGGTGTGTAAGGAGCTGGCAGCCCTTCCTAGTAGGCACCATGTTCACCACCAGACAAGCCTCGACTTTGTCAGTAACTGAACAAACACTTGCCTACTATGGGACAGAAAGGAGGAGAAACATTTCCTTCTTCTGTTTTTGTTTTTGTTTTTTTTTTTTTTTTGAGACGAAGTCTCACTCTATTGCCCAGGCTGGAGTGCAATGGCGCGATCTCGGTTCACTGCAACCTCCGCCTCCTGCGTTCAAGCAATTCTCCTGCCTCAGCCTCCTGAGTAGCTGGGATTACAGGCACAGACCACAACGCCCAGCTAATTCTGCATTTTTTTAAAGTAGAGACAGGGTTTCACCATGTGGGCAAGGCTAGTCTCGGAACTCCTGACCTCGTGATCCACCCGCCTTGGCGTCCCAAAGTGCTGGGATTACAGGCATAAGCCACTGTGCCCGGCCTAAACATTTCCTTTTTCTTTTTTTTTTTTTTTTTTTTCTGAGACAGGGTCTTGCTGTCACCCAGGCTGGAGTGCAGTGGTGCAATCACGGCTCACTGCAGCCTCTGCCTCCCAGGCTCAAGTAATCCTCTCACCTCAGCCTCCCAAGTAGCTGAGACTATAGGCACATGCCACGATGCCCAGCTAATTTTTAAATTTTTTGTAGAGATGGGTTTTCGAGATGTTGCCCATGCTGGTCTCGAACTCCTGAGCTCAAGTGACCTACCCACCTCCACCTCCCAATGTGCTGGGATTACAGGCGTGAGCCACCATGCCCGGCCAAGAGGGAAATTTCTCAATTTTGACAGTAAGTAAGGAACACACACCACCCTCCGTCCTCTGTCTCCCACAGAATCTCCAGAAGATTCCAATCCTTAGAATAAGACTCCTACTTAATGGCCTCCAGGAGGAGCAAAACACAGGCCAGGGTCTGGAGTAAAGACACATACAGGAGGAAGTGAGAAGTGCTTTTCCCAAGTTTGTTTCTATTCGCCAAAGGGACACTTTCACCTTCATGAATAAACTCAGCAACTGTGATTACAGTGCCAGTACGAAATAAGACAGAGATCTTTACAGTCTGGAGAGGATTAAGTGGCTTCATTAAAAATTATTAAGAAAATTTCACGGCCAGGCACAGTGGCTCACACCTGTAATCCCAGCGTCTTGAAAGGCCAAGGCAGATGATCACTAGAGCCCACGAGTTAAAGACCAACCTGGGCAAAGTAGCAACACCCCATCCCTTAAAATAAATTTTCTTTAAATTAGCCTGGCATGGCTGTGTGCACGTGCAGTCCTGGCTTTCCAGGAGGCTGGGGTAGGAAGATGTCTTGAGCTTGGGACTTAGAGGCTGCAGTGAGCTATGATTGCACCACTGCATTTCAGCATGGCTGACACAGTGAGATCTTGTCTCTAAAAAAAAACAAAACAAACAAAAAAAAAAAAAAAGGAAAAAAGAAAATTTCAATGTCAGTTATCAAATAATGTTTATTGACCATCTATACCATATGACATTTCATGGTCAGGTGCTGGAAATATAAAAGAGTAGCAGTTAATTTTATTTATATTTATATATACATATCTATACACACACACACACATACACACACACCTATATATATATTTTAAAGTCACCCAGAAATATAAAAGAGTAGTAGTTGGCCAGGCACGGTGGCTCTTGTCTGTAGTCCCGGCACTTTGGGAGGCCGAGGGGGGCAGATGACAAGGTCAGGAGATCAAGACCATCCTGGCTAACATGGTGAAACCCCATCTCTACTAAAAATACAAAAAATTAGCCGGGCATGTTGGCACGTGCCTGTAGTCCCAGCTACTTGGGAGGCTGAGGCAGGAGAATCGTTTGAACCCAGGAGAGGCTGAGGTTGCAGGGAGCGGAGATTGTACCACTGCACTCCAGCCTGGGCAACAGAGCGAGACTCCGTCTCAAAAAAAATAATAAATAAAAGAGTAGCAGTTAAGTGTGTGTGTGTGTGTGTGTGTGTGTGTGTGTGTGTGTGTGTGTGTGTATTTTAAGTCACCCAGAATGTAAGCTTTGCCAAAATGTTTAAGTCCCCATGGAGGCAGGGATCTTAGCTTGGTTCACTGATTTATTCCAACTGCCAACTAGTGCCAGGCACATAGTAGGTATTCAATATATACTTGTTGGGTGAATTGTCTTTTAAAAAACTGAGCTCAACATCTAAATGAATACACGTAGACACATAAAAGAATATAAGTAAGGCTGGGTGCGGTGGCTCACGCCTATAATCCCAGCACTTTGGGAGGCCAAGGTGGGCAGATCACAAGGTCAGGAGATCGAGACCAGCCTGGCCAACGTGGTGAAACCCCGTCTCTACTAAAACTACAAAAATTAGCTGGGCATGATGGTGTTTGCCTATAATCCCAGCTACTCGAGAGGCTGAGGCAGGAGAATCGCTTGAACCAGGGAGTCAGAGGTTGTGGTGAGCCGAGATCGCGCCACTGCACTCCAGCCTGGCAACAGAGCGAGACTCCGTCTCAAAAATAAAATAAAATAAAAAATAAAGAATGTATTAGGACGCATATTCACTGTGCTAAGTCAGTAACTGACTCAACAGTCCTATTGGGGGAAAGCCCAAAGGATAAGCTCGGACAGAAAAAAGTAGAAATAACTGGAAAAGATTAAAGAAAACACTCTAGGCCGGGCGTGGTGGCTCACACCTGTAATCCCAGCACTTTGGGAGGCCGAGGCAGGCAGATCACCTGAGGCTGGGAGTTCGAGGCCCACCTGACCAACATGGAGAATTCCCTTCTCTACTAAAACTACAAAATTAGCCAGCCATGGTGGTTCACACCTGTAATCCCAGCTACTTGGGAGGCTGAGGCAGTAGAATTGCTTGAACCCAGGAGGCAGAAGTTGCGGTGAGCTGAGATCACACCATTGCACTCTAGCCTGGGCAACAAAAGCAAAACTCCATCTCAAAAAAAAAAAAAAGAGAAAACGCTCTAGGCACTAGACATTGAGGGACCCAGAGGTGGAATGCTTTGTAAGAACAGACTGACATGTAAAAAGCGTCAACAACCCAAATATATGTTAACAGATGAATGGACAAACAAAACATGGCACATCCATACAATGGCGGTATCATTCAAACAATGGGAAAGGTACCAATTCATGCTACAAGATGGATGAGCCTTGAAAACATGATGCTAAGTGAAAAAAGCCAAAAGACCGATCTTGTATCATTCCACTTGCATGAAATGTCTGAAACAGGCTAATCCATAGAGGAAAAAAAGCAGATCAGCAGTTGCTTTGGGTTAGGGAGAGGAGGAAATGGTGACTGATTGGTTAATGAATTTGGGATTTTTTTCAGGGGTTGACAAAATGTTCTAAAATTAGATAGTGGTGATAGTTCCACAGCTCTGAATATTCTAAGAACTGTTCAATTATACACTTTTTAACTCGAATTTTAAGAGGTGAGAGAGTTATTTCTCAACATTGGGTGTTACTGTCACCAGAACACAGTGGTGTGCAATTGCACAGCACTCCACTGTCTTCAGAACACTTTCACACACATCAAATCTTTGATCAAGGAGCCTCCAAATGTTTTTCCATGCAACTGATTTATGGAGTAGAGCTTTTGATTTTTGTTCGTTTTGTTTTTGAGACAGTCTCGTTCTGTTGCCCAGGCTGGAATGTAGTGGTATGATTTTGGCCCACTGCAAACCCCTTCTCCTGGATTCAAGCGATTCTCCTGCCTCAGCCTTCCAAGTAGCTGGGATTACAGGCACCCGCCACCACGCTTGGCTGATTTTTGTACTTTTAGTAGAGACAGAGTTTCGCCACATTGGCCAGGCTGGTCTCAAACTCCTGGCCTCAGGTGATCCGCCTGCCTCAGCCTCCTAAAGTGCTGGATTGCTGGTGTGAGGCACTGTGCCCAGCTGGAGTAGTGCCTTTGGAAAAGGAATCTGCCATTCGTGTTAGATGGACTAAGGGTGGGGAGAGTCCAATGAGGTTCTGGGGGTCTAACTTAAGGGTCTAGACAGGCAGGATGGAAGAAGTAGAAAAGACTAGATTTGGGTAAGAGTAAGCCCAAGGCCATTTAGATTTTCTTAAACTAAGGATCCTGTAACTGGTCATCTCCTTGACAAGATTAGTTTCCACATTACTGATTGCTGAGAGCTTACACAAGTCCTGTGTTGCAAGCTCTTCTGTTTAGGGAGGCAGGATCCTGAGAGATATGGGCCTAAGGAAGAGAACTCTTGTTCCCTTGAAGCAAACTTCTCTAGTACCTCTAAACTGGCAATGAGGTCTAGTGAAAGATGATGGATTTTGAACTAACTGACCAGGTTCAAATCCAGGCTGTTATTTATTAGCTGTGACCCAGGGCAAGTTATTCAACTCACTGAGCCTCAGTTCCTCCTCTACTGGGAGGAGCAGTGGTGGATAGCTACCCCACAGCACAGTGAAGATGACTGAGTTCACACCCAGTGATGTGAATAGTACCTAGAACAAAGTCAAAAAGGTCCCCTTGTGACCATCAACTATCAATCTCACATCAACTGCGCTCTTCCTCCCTAGCACTTATTACAGTTATTCTCTATTTATCGGTGCTTCACTGTTTAATATACACTTTCAACTACACTGTAACTTCCAGGATGAACAAGGACAATGTCTGTTTGCTGCTCATTGCACCAGCAGGGCCTAATCCAAGTAGGAGTTGAGTACCTTTGGGATGACTAGATCATCTAGGAATTATACATTGGGCTAAGAGTCACCACGGCTGATAAACAGTCATGCTGTTCTGAAGAGGCAGAATGAAGAAGCACCCCCCCACCCAAAAAAAAAACAAAAAGAAAAAAAAAAACAAAAAACAGGAAAAAATAAGCAAAGTTATGGAGTAAATGGCTTCATCCAGAAAGTTAAGGCTGGGCGTGGTGACTCACGCTTGTAACCCCAGTACATTGAGAGGCTGAGTGGGGATGATCACTTGAGCTCAGGAGTTCAAGACCAGCCTGGGCAACATGGTGAAACTCTGTCTCTACTAAAAATACAAAAATTAGCTGGGTGTGGTGGCACGTGACTGCTATTCAGGAGACTGAGATGGGAAAATTGCTTGAGCCCAGGAGGCAGAGGTTGCAGTAAGCCGAGATTGCACCACTGCACCCTGCTGGAATAAAAAAGAAACTTAGGGAAGAATAACCAAAGAAAAATATTCCTTATTTTTCCAGTATGGTCATCTAAACAGCTTGCATGGCCTTGCATACTAGGACCCAAATGAGTTTAAAAAAAAAAAAAAAAAAAGACTTAACTGGCATTGGGTTCTGCAGGTGTCTAACTTCTTCCCAGGTTGTGTATCAATCACCTGTGGAACAGGCCTGATTGGAAAACCAATGACATTGACAAATAATAACAATTTTTTTTTTTTAAGACAGGATCCTGTTCTGCAGCCCAGGCTGAGGGCAGTGGCGCAATCATGGCTCACTGTGGCTCTGACCTCCTGGGCTCAAGTGATCCTGATCCTCCCATCTCAGCCTCCTGATAGCTGAGACTACAGGTGCACGCCGCCAGGCCTGGCTAATTTCTGTATTTTTTGTAGAGACAAGGTTTTACCATGTTGCCCAGGCTAGTCTCGAACTCCTGGGCTCAAGCAATCCTCCCACTTGGTCTCCCAAAGTGCTGGGATTACAAGCATGAGGACCACGCCCAGCCTAAAAATTCTTTAATATATCCCCAAATACATACAATTCATTCATTAAAAAGTAATAGATACAGCTTTTCCCTGCTCCTGTAAATGTGCTACATTCATTCTTACTTCCAAAACTTTTTTTTTTTTTTTTTTTTAAAAGAGATAGGGCCTCACTCTCTTGTCCAGGATGGAGTGCAATGACAAGACCACAGTTCACTGCAGCCTCGACCTCCTGGGCTCAAGCAATCTTCCCACCTCAGCCTCCCAAGTAGATGGGACTACAGGCACACACCACCATGCCTGCTAATCTTTTTTTTTTTTTTTTTTTTTACTTTTTATAGAGGCAGTGTCTCATCATGTTCCCCAGGCTGGTCTCGAATTTCTAGACTCAAGCAATCCTCCCACCTCGGCCTCCCAGCCTCCACCTCCCAAAGTGCCGGAATTGCAGACATGGGCCACCATGCCAGGCCCCAAACTTTTATGATGGTGAAACTCTCCTAAGCCAGTACCCATTTCTATTTAAATATTACCAGTTCCTCAAGGTCCACCTTTCTTTCTCAAAGCCTTTTATTCTGGTCCACACTGATCTCTTTCTGAATTTCTAAGCCCTCTCCGCCCATATTACACAATGTTGTCCATTTAGGTAGGATCAAATGTTATTCTCCCATTGTTTCCTGTGTTGACTGAGGTCTTTCCAAGAAGGCAGGAAAACTGCTTCTCAGTAACAACTTCTTCATCCCCCAGAAAGGCCAAGACAACAGACTCTCAGGCTGTCTTTAACAAATATCAATGACTGTACCCAAGGGAGTCATACATACCTCTTCCACAACTAATGTTCTCTTCACCTACACCATCTGCCAAACAAAACCAAGGGCTAAGGGAAAAGAAGACATCTTTTGTTTTGCAAAAGAGCTCCCAATTCCTTTGAGAAAGGTGCTATGATGCATATAAATTTAGCACTCCATGACCTCAACTGGAATCTACTGAAATAAACACTAAATGAGATGCAAATTCCACTCATATATAACAATCGGGATGAGTCAATACTGAGGTTTCCATTACATCTGCTCATTTCCTAGAGTCACACTCGAACACATGTGTGTAGGCTTTGTGGAGGGCATGCACTTCTCAGAATGTCTGTTAACAATTAAGAAGGCCTGTGGGCTGGGGTTAATGGTGATTGCCCTGCCCACATGGTGAGACCGGAGCTGCACTCCTCAGACAGGATTCCACTCTTGGTATGTTGCGGGCATCACAGTGAAAACAGCCCCTCCAGGGAAGATGCAATTGCCCTGAATGGTCTCTCCTTCATCCTGAGAAATACTTAAGGGGCTGCAACATGCTGGAGCTTCAAGGCAGCATCCTCAATTTGAAGAGGGAGGAAAAGAATCATTTTCACAAGGCGATATACACCATGGTCTGTACCTAATAAAAGGCATTGTGGGGCAAACCATGGTAGCTCATGCCTGTAAGTCTCAACACTTTGGGACGCCAAGGCAGGAGGATTGCTTGAGGCCAGGAGTTAGAGAAAAGTCTGGGAAATGCAGTGCGACCCCATCTCTACACAAAAATTTAAAAATTAGCAGGGTGAACCAGGAGTGGTGGCTCACGCCTGTAATCCCAGAACTTTAGGAGGCTGAGGCAGACGGATCACCTGAGGTCAGGAGTTCGAGATTAGCCTGGCCAACATGATGAAACCCCATCTCTACTAAAAATAGACCAATTAGCCGGGCATGGTGGCAGGCGCCTGTAATCCCAGCTCCTCCGGAGGCTTGAGGCAGGAGAATCACTTGAACCCGGGAGGTGGAGGTTGCAGTGAGCCAAGATGGTGCCATTGCACTCCATCCTGGGTGACAAGGGTGAAACTTTGTCTCAAAAAAAAAAAAAATTAGCAGGGTGTGGCAACACAGCTCTGTGGTCCCAGCTACTCAGGAGGTTGAGGTGGGAGGATCGCTTGAGCCCAAGAGGTTGAGGTTATAGTAAGCTATGATCATGCTACTGCACTCCACATCCTGGGTGACAGACAGAGACCCTATTTCCAAAAAAAAAGAAAAAAAAAAAGGCATTGAAGCATTGTTGATTCAACTGTAATTATAAAATTCTTTCCAAGGATATACTTGGCTCACTGTCCACCAAAACTTATGTCAAACTGACCAGTGTGTCTCTGTTCTCATCTCAAGAGCAAACCAACCATGTGACCAGAAAAGTAGATGAGAGAATAACATATCCACTGATTCTGAGACATGTTTCCACACTGTAACATCTATGAAATCAGGATGCATCTTACAATAAAGTTTTAATTGGCAGTGTTATTGCTTTACCTGACAAATGTTAGAGCTGACTCAAATTCTGTACTTGCACTCACAACACCTAAAATACTGGCCTCATCGTCAGACATTAATAGCCAGAAAAATATAGCAAGCACCTAACACACAAAAAGCAACACACTTCACGGTGTCCGATAAACTCAAGAATGACACCCCCAGAAATTATCTGCTAAGCATTTTTGTATCCAGTGAAGTATAAGAAACACAACTGGGATATGTCTTCAAATGAGGTTAAAAAAAAGTCACTATATAACATCCAGGTGTTATACAGATGAGGCTGGAATATTAATTCTGAGTCACGGATGGGACACAAATATGAAAAACTCCACAGTGAGGGAACAATCTTTGGACATTTTTAAATGGCAGGGGCAGGGGATGCAAGGAATGGGCCTGCTGATTTTCTTAGTGGAAATAGTGTTCTAGAGAAGATTTGGCAATAAACATCAAATATCTTTAAAAGAATGCATGCCCTTTGACCCAGAAATTCCACTTCTAAGAGTTGAAGCTAAGGAAATCACTAAGGGTGTATACACAGATTTAGCTAGGAGGATGTACAGCACTGTTTCTATCACTTAAGCTGGAAATAAGTTCAATAATAAGCCCAATAATAAGGGGTGGGTCAAATACATTAAGGCACATCCATACTATAGCACAATAGGAAGAATTTAAAATTTGGCTGCAGGAATGTATCCAATTGGCCAGATGCAGTGACTCACGCCTGTAATCCTAACACTTTGGGAGGTTGAGGCGGGAGGATCACCTGAGGCCAAGAGTTCGAGACCAGCCTGGGCAATATAATGAGACCCTGTCTCTACAGAAAAAATAGAAAAACTTAGCCAGGCATAGTGGTGCACACTTGTAGTCCCAGCTACTTGGGAGGCTGAGGTGTGAGGATGGCTTGAGGCCAAGAGTTCAAAGCTGCAGTGAGCTATGATCGCATTGTGCCACTGAACTCCAGCCTGGAGGACACAGCAAGACGACGACTCAAAAAACAGAGAGAGAGAAATGAATCCAATGGCATGCAAAGATGTTCATAAAATACTGTTAAGTGAAATAAATGGAAAACCTATTATGATCTCATTTTTGTTCAAACAGATGATAGATGCCATGTGTGCACACACAGAGAAAAGAACATGTAAAAGATACGCAGTGAGGTATTAACACTGGTTGTGAGGGAATTATAGAATTGTTTCCTTTTTTAATCTTTTTTTTTTTTTTTTGCTTACTTGTGTTTTCTAATGATGGTGAGGAGAGAAAGGGTAACTATTTAAGATTGTATTTTAAAAAACAAAAACAGTGAAAAGAAACTTGAACACAATGTGATCCAATTAGATGAACAAATGGCTTATGAATCTTGGTAGCTTCAATTTAAAATATAAAATTAAAAACCCCATACATTTATCATTCTTTAATCCCTAAAATAGAAGCAATACGTTACTATCTTTCCTTTGAGAAATGCTGGGAGAAATGACCAACAGAAATAAGCATAAGACAGGGCTTAAAATAGGCAAAAATATCCCAGGAGAAAACTTTCTGCTCCACACAGAAGCTCTGCTGAGGACCACCTGGGGTAGAAGGTAGTTCTCCATATTTTTAACACAACAAAATAATTGCGAAAATACCCTAGAGCTTTCGATAAAGGCAAACTATTTCAGGGCTTTACATGAACAATAACGCTTACTCTTTATGTCAGCCCTATATGAGAAATTTCCTAATTTATAAGACTAAAAATTAATCCATTAGGCGTGGGGAGGGAGGAAAGGTATTTACGGCAAGCGTTTTTGTTTTTGTTTTTGTTTTTGTTTTGAGACAGAATTTCGTTCTTGTTGCCCAGGCTGGAGTACGATGGCGCGATCTTGGCTAACTGCAACCTCCGCCTCCCGGGTTCAAGTGATTCTTCTGCCTCAGCCTCCCGGGTAGCTGGGATTACAGGCACGTGCCACCATGCCCAGCTAATTTTGTATTTTTAGTAGAGATGGGGGTTTATCCATGTTGGCCAGGCTGGTCTCAAACTCCTGACCTCAGGTGATCCACCCGCCTCAGCCTCCCAAAGTGCTGGGATTACAGGCATGAGCCACCCCACCTGGCCACGGCAAGACTATGATTGTGATGTCAATTTGGAAAGTACAGGGCTTGTTAGTTACGTGGTGAGATTTCAGAGTACTGGTTTAAGGGAGGAGGGACCCAGGTCAATCTGCTGCATTTCCACGCCTGAGTCTCCTGCACTGAGCAGCACCCAGGCTTTGCCTGGGCTGACTTTAAGTACCAGTAGATGGAAAAATAACACTTTTCTTTGGGAGGCCAAGGCAGGCAGATCACCTGAGGTCGGGAGTTCGAGACCTGCCTGACCAACACGGAGAAACCTCACCTCTACTAAAAATACAAAATGAGCCGGGCGTGGTGGTGCATGTCTGTAGTCCCAGCTACTCGGGAGGCTGAGGCAGGAGAATCGCTTGAATCCAGGAGGCGGAGGTTGCAGTGAGCTGAGATCGTGCCACTGAACTCCAGCCTGGGCAACAGGAGCGAAACTCTGTCTCAAAAAAAAAAAAAAAAAAAAAAGGAAAAATAACACTTTTTCATTGACTTCAAGGTAAGCTCACACCAATAGGATTCCTCTATCCGTCTAATCACAACCCAAGATATTACAAGAGAAATTCTCATGTTGATTAAAGGCCAGTGGGGTTTAATGGAATGTAGAAGAGGGGACATTTAATGGTTAAAACATCTTGGATGTACATTTACCAAAATCAGAAACTCACAGTATTCCAAAGCCCCACAGCACTTTTGAGTCTTTGCTCCCTCCCTACTGGCTTTTGTTTTTGTTTTGAAGATACAGAGTCAGCAGGCTGGGTGCACTATGACCAAATGGCAACAGATGCTAGTCTTGCAAAGGGCAAGAACTTCCCTTTGATGATCTAAGAACATGGAGAGAATGGACAAACATGCCTGCTCAGGACATTTTCACTTTGATTTGGGGTTAACCATCAGTTACATGAATACCAAGAGCTATAGAAAAAGCAGTTCCTGCACCCAATAAAATCAGACACGCTACATTCCTGAATCCATCTCGACCACAAATGATCCCAGGAAACGTGTCTCCACTGCGTATGTTGTCTTATTCGCCATGCTTTAGAAGGCTGATACACAAATAGTTCTTAATGCACGGGATCTGAGAACCATTCTTCTGACTCAATATTGCATGGTGGCAAGCAGCTTAGAGAATGGATCACACTTTTCTTTTTTAATCTTTTATTTTAAAAATACAAGCAATGTGGCCGGGTGTGGTGGCTCATGCCTGTAATCCCAGCGCTTTGGGAGGCCAAGGCAGGCAGATCACCTGAGGTCAGGAGTTTGAGACCAGCCTGGTCAACATAGTGAAACCCCATCTCTACTAAAAATACAAAAATTAGCTGAGTGTGGTGGCAGGCGCCTGTAAGTCCCAGGTACTTGGGAGGCTGAGGCAGGAGAATCGCTTGAACCCGGGAGACAGAGGTTGCAGTGAGCTGGGATCATACCACTGCATTCCAGCCTGGGCGACAGAGACAGAGCGAGACTCTGTCTCAACAACAACAAAAAAAACAAGCAATGTTACCACAGATAATAACAGGAAAATAACTGATACTTTCAGAATGAAAAACATATGCCAATCGTATACCATATACAACCTCCTCCAAATGAATCTAATATATATTTCCATATTTGTAAATTGGTATCTTACCAATTGTTACAACGTTATACGTTAACCTTTCTCAAATTAGGAGTTTAAATGATGTATTAAGAAAATGAGGGCCAGGCGTGGTGGCTCAGGCCTGTAATCCCAGCTACTTTGGGAGGCTGGGGAGTGGACGGAGAATCACTTGAGGTCAGGAGTTCAAGACCAGCCTGGCCAACATGGCGAAACCGCGTCTCTACTAAAAATACAAAAAAAAAAAGTAGCCAGGTGTGGTGGCGTGTACCTGTAATTCCAGCTACTCGGGAGGCTGAAGCAGGAGAACAGCTCGAACCCCGGAGGCGGAGGTTGCAGTGAGCTGAGATCGCACCACTGCATTCCAGCCTGGGCAATAGAGCAAGACTTCATCTCAAAAGAAAAAAGAAATGAAGAAAACCGGCTGGGTGCAGTGACTCACATGTGTAATCCTAGCACTTTGGGAGGCTGAGGCAGGCGGATCACCTGAGGTCAGGAGTTCAAGACCAGCCTGACCAACATAGTGAAACCCCGTCTCTACTAAAAATACAAAAATTAGCTGGGTGCGGTGGCAGGCGCCTGCAGTCCCAGCTACTTGGGAGGCTGAGGCAGGACAATCACTTCAACCTGGGAGGCGGAGGCTGCAGTGAGCCGAGATCACACCACTGCACTCCAGCCTGGGCAACACAGCGATACTGTCTCAAAAAAAAAAAAAAAGAAAAAAAAAAGAAAACCTACCAACACTTCAGACACTGGGATTTTCAGTGAGAATAATTTTTCCCTATCAACTCTGGAACTTACAATGATCACATCTCTTTTGAATACTGCATTGCTGGCTTCATATCTAAGATAAAGAGTCTTCCAAGCCTTTAATATATAAACAAAACCCTTTCATAATGGGATCTGAGTGGCAGCTTTAATCTTATCTTTAATTCTGTAAAGCATCTGGTGCTGTGGAGTAAATAAACCAGCCCCTTACCCTCAACACAGAGTCCCCATCAAACACATGAGCCAGCCTTTCTAAAAATATAGTTACAATGAAAAGCCTACAAACAGTGGTGGTGTAACAAACAATGCTTTTTCTTAGAAAAGATGTTTGTCGTTTTCAAATGTTCTAAAAACGAAGTAAACCACAAAACCATTTTCAACAAGACGTGTGTTTCTAATTATTAGTGAGATTTATATTCCTTGAAAAAAAAAAAAACAGGAGTGTCCCTGGAAGAGCAGAGAAGTTCATTGCTCCAAGACAGCAAGAATTTATAAAGGCAAAATAATTTTGATAAGACCTATCCCCTTTTCTAGCATTTTAAATTTGGGATCTCCTTGCACAAATACTGATACAATGAATGGTCACTTTGAAGTGAGGAGAGGAGGGAACATTCCACTGCAGGGCAAGGCTCAACATTTCTTCATTACAGACCCACTACCTCGCACAGCAATGATTATTAATTCCCTCTTCAGCTTAGATTGAGAAAAGAAGTTGATAGCAACATAAAAGGTGAGGCAAAATTAATATAAGTAGAGCTTATTTTGGCCAAGCTTGAAGACTGCAACCCAGGGGCTTATGCATTCCAATTAAAAAGCAGTTACAAGTGGCTTTTTAAAGGCAAAAAAAAAAAAAAAAAGGAGCAGGGACAAGGGAGTGGGCTGATATAAAGTTGTTTGCCAGGAATTCTCATTGGTTTACACAAATTATACTGATTAGTGATTGGCTATATACATTGTTAAACTATAGAGTGAGTTACAGTGTCCAGTGCAGCATTATTAGTTAATTTATAGCTACTTCTAGCAACAGCAAGCAGTGAATACAGAGAGGTGAATATATAGCTCAAGAGGGGAGTAGGACCTGACTGTGGTCTCATTTTAAAGTCCCTCTGGACCTGATCATTTAAAAGGACTTGCATTCCTCAAAGTTCATTTTCTCATTAACACAGTAATTCAAATCTTTGATTTATTTACTGGGTATTTATTAGCAAATCATAACACTCTAACCTCTACCTATGGATAAACAGATCATAAAGATATATATGATAAATCGATCATAAACATATATACAGGCCAGGCACTGTAATCTCAGCACTTTGGGAGGCCGAGGCAGGCGGATCACTTGAGATCAGCAGAGTTCAAGACCAGCCTGGCCAACACAGTGAAACCTCGTCTCTACTAAAAATAAAAACAATCAGCCGGGCATGGTGGCAGGCACCTGTAATTCCAGCTAATCAGGAGGCTGAGTCAGGAGAATCACTTGAACCCAGGAGGCAGAAGTTATAGTGAGCTGAGATCACACTACTGCACTCCAGCCTGGGTGACAGAGCAAGACTCCGTCTTGAGAAAAAAAACAAAAACAAAAAGATATATATGACAAATAGATCTTGCAAAATCCCTCTCATACTTTCCTCATTTTGTATTTATTTCTGCATTCTGTTGATCATGAGCTTTTTCAAGCAAATTCTGGAAGCCCAGGTTAAAGGTGAACATCACATTGGGTGTCGTTCTGCCCAACCTGGTTTTTTCTTTCCTTTAGGGGACTTGAAGCCACGCACTCCTGAAGAACCACCACCTAGGCTCCCAGGGTCTTTTCTGCACTTCTTTGGATCTCACAGTAAGTGTTCCCTGGCATTAGATACTTGGGAGGGCGTGCAAGGAGAGAATGTTCTCCATTCTCCCTTCCCCCATTAGAATGGCTAATGCAGAGATTCATTTCCTAGCTCTGGTTTTCTGCATAACCCCTCCTCAAAACACAAAGACTCAGGATAGGCCTTAAAGAGTCCTTTTGTTTAGAAAGGGTCATTTCCTGCTGTTCTCTCACACCCAGAGACTCCCACCCAGTTCTCAAGGAGAGGCACTCATTTGCTTAGGAAAAAACAAAACAATTTCAGGTAAGAAAAGCAGTCTTAAGAAAATCATTTCAAATATACAGGAAAGAGTTTCCAAAGTCTAGTGCTTCACTAATTTTTTCTTATTTTGTTAGAATCGTAATTTAACAAAACAGAGGCAAGGTCTAAGGGTTTTCACTTAAAAGGCTTAAAATTAAAACCATTCCCCCCAAACAGCCCACCCTGGATGTGTCTTGGCACGCCACGGCAGCTTTCTGCATCACAATGGGGAAATGGAAAGTGGAATGAAAGTGGAAAAATGAGATTTATGGTTCTTTTAATGCACCACAGGTGCTGTCTATACAATCCCTACCTTTTAGTTAAGGAAACAGGTTAAAATGACTTGTCAAAGACAAGCAGCTTCAGTGGCTTGTCCTAGGTCCCTTAGAAACAAAGAGATAATGAGATAATAAGAGAGAAAACAAAGAATACTCATGAATTGATTGGTCAAGAAATAACTTCTATAAGGATTTATATACTATTGGTTCTAAGACTATCAGGTAATGGACGATGGTTAAGTTAACCAAGTTTGTTGAAGGTGAAGTGTGACATAAATGCTATAAATGAGGATAATCCAATGGTCTGCATTTTCATCGATGCATTTTCACCAACTAACTAGTCTGCTCAACTAACAGGTGACTTGTTAGCCTGATGCCGTATGTAATGATGACTTACATTTCTTTCATCCTGAAATGTCATCTGGTCTGCTTTACAATGAATAGAAACAGCTCCTGAGTCTGTGAGGCTGACACGTGGGCATAAATTGTGGCTGTGAGGTGGCCCCATAAGGGCTCACAAGGCATATTAGAAGGTCCTTCATGGCTACACATATAGATGGCTTAAAGGCTGGATTCTTCTGGCTAAAGCCAGCATTATGCTGAGCTTCAGATCTTTTTCTTCTTGTAGGCAAATTGAGGAAGGTATATTGAGCTGGAGGCTAGATCCAATCAAAGGATCAGAAGTGGTAAGTCTATCTCCAAATCAATTCCACCTGGGTTATTAAATTAACCCTAACAACCTAACAGTCACATCTGCAAAACAGGAATCAAATTCACCTTGCCCTACTGGTACTTAGGCATTCCCTACACTCCAGGCCCACATCCCTCTCCTCGTTCTGTGGAATTAGTAGGTTTCCCATCCTAAGTGGACAAAAGGGAAGGATTCGTTTATGTGTGAAAAACTGCTGCATACCCCGACAAGGGCTCTTATCACTTACCATCTGAACATTTCCAGCTTAAAAGTGTGTGAGATGACAACTGCGGTTTTGTATGCAATAAAGTGGGGATGAGGACCAGAAATGATCATCTTCAAGGCAGAAATATAAAGTTTAACCTGAAAACTGCTGAAAAAGGTTTATGATGATACAGTGTATCAGACAGGCTTTGGCGTCTGTAAAGCAGATTTACATTCTAGTCAATTCACAAAAAAACTTATTGGACAGTTCTGGGCATTGTCCTAGGCATCTGAGGTTTGTACAGTGTTAAACAAGGCAGGCAGTCTGCTGCCAGGGAGTTACATTCCAAGGGTACCAAATAAGTACAATAAGCATACAAGGCAACGTCAGGAGGTAAGAAGTACTATTTGGAAAATAAAAGGGTTGGGAATATAGGGCTACTTTAAACTTGGAGGTCAAAGGTCTCTCTGGGGTGACATCTGAATTGAGATCTAAATGAATGGCAAGGATGAGGCTGATAATGTCTGAGTGTAGGGCTTTCCGGGCATACAGAATGGCTTGCACAAAGGCCCTGAGGCAGGAACAAGTTTGGCAAGTTGGAGACACCTAACGAAAGCCCAGGCAGCTGGAGCATAATGAATGAGGCTGTGATTCTTGGCAGATGAGGTCAGAGAAACCAGCAGGGCCCGGATCACATGAACCTCATATGCCACTGGAGAATTTTAAGCTCCTATCCACCAGCTGTAAAACCTCAGACCAATTACTTAATCTCTCAGAGCCTTAGCTTTCTTATCCCAAAACATGGGATGGCAACACTTCATATGGTTTGTCAAAGAGCAATGTTAAAAGCAGAGTAGACACCAACTCCATAAATGTTTAATCAATCCATTAATATGCAAAAACCATTAAGTGTTTTTACAGGTTTGATTACATCTGGATATGCACCTGGTCTTTTTTTTTTTTTTTTTTTTTTTTTTTGAGACAGAGTCTCACTCTGTCCAGGCTGGAGTGCAGTGGTGCGATCATGGCTCACAGCCGCCTCGACCTCCCGAGCTCAGGCAATCCTCCCACCTCAGCCTCCTAAGTAGCTGGGACTACAGGCACACGCCACCACGCCTGGCTAATTTTTTTTGTAGAGATGAGGTTTTGCCGTGTTGCTCAGGCTGGTCTCGAACTCCTGGGCTCAACTGATCTGCCTGCCTCAGCCTCCTAAAGTGCTAGCCTCATGAAGTGCTAAGTGTGAGCCACCTGGCCCAGCCACTGCACCTGATCTTCAATTCTCCCACTGATTTTCTTAAGCATATTAGGAAAAGTAAGATTGAAAAGAAAATTTGTGCAATAAAAATGGTCTCGTCTATAATTCCAGCACTTTGGGAGGCCGAGGCGGGAGGATCGCTTGAACCCAGGAGTTTTAAGACCAGCCTGGGCAACACCACAAGACTCCATCTCAAATAAAAACAGGTAAAAAAAAAAAAAAGAAAAAGAAAAAGAAAGAAAGAAAGATAAATAAATTTTAAAAACGGTCTCAGGGTTCACTCTAACAATTCTTTTGCTTATTACTGGGAAAAGTCTTGGAGGTCCTAGAAAAAGAATTTGGCTTGGGAAGGTAAGAGGAGAGCAGTGGATGATCTGGTCTGGGAGTAGCTGACTAGATTCCAGCCCTTTGCTGATTTTCTTCCTTCTACTCAGATAAGCAAGACCCTGAGGGGCAGCAAGTACCAGTGGTTTCAGTCCCCTGTCACCAGGCATCCTGCAGCAGGCACAGGACGGAAGTACATGTCCTCACTCCCACCTCCCCAAACACATCCTGCCTGGCTGGGAGGGATACTGTATTTAAAAACAGATGACTCTTTGGAAACTCACACATTTTAAGTCCCGTAAATCACACATGCTGGGTAAAGTAATTACACTTTTGTAGCACTTCCCCTCTGAGCACAAAGGAAATTCTGCTACTTCTGTAATTAGATAGCACTTTCTGTGTACACTTTCTCCCAGGGGGGGCCTCCACTGTCTATCCTATAGGTGGGCGTAAGAGGAATTTTCACAAAACAGGATCCTGCGGATTCAAGAAAAAAAAAAATTGGGTAGTCTTTAGGATTTCTCTTAGAACAACATTGGCCACTGCCAGCCTATCTACCCTGGTGACATGAGAATCTGGGAAAATCAAGAGGAACGTCACAAAAAAATCAACTCATGAGAAATAAAAGTTAATTAAAAGTAAAGTTGTCCTATAACTTATTTGCAGAGGTTGGTGAGCCAGACCTCATTTTGGAGATTCTCAGATGTCTCCTACCTTTGCAAAACCCTAAAGGCTGACAGAATGGAACTGGCTAAGCATTCCCTTTGCATTTTAAATTTGTGTAACAATACTGTATTACAACCTGGAATGTGAATCCATCTTCTCGGTGTGACTGGCATTTATCACTGCCATTTCCTTTTTCTCTTTAGCATTTACACAATATGCACCGTCACCATAATAGGTGCAGTAGAGTTAAAACCTAAGAGAAATACAAATGCAAGTTGTTTTCTTTTTAAGTTCCTGGACTACTTTGAGCTGACACTTAGCTGGGCTGAAAAAGGCAGCAAACTTTTAAAGTATAAATTGAATAAAATGAAAATATGGCCAGGCATGGTGGCTCATGCCTGTAATCCCAGCACTTTGGCAGGCCGAGGCGGGTGGATCACCTGAGGTCAAGAGTTTGAGACCAACCTGACCAATATGGTGAAACCCCTGTCTCTACTAAAAATACAAAAATTAGCCAGGTGTGGTGGCGTGTGCCTGTAGTCCCAGCTACTTGGGAGGCTGAGGCAGCAGAATTGCTTGAACCCAGGCAGTGGAGGTTGCAGTGAGATGGCGCCACTGCACTCCAGGCTGAGTGACAGCGCAAGACTCCGTCTCAAAGAAAAAAAAAAAAGAAAATGAAAATATAACCCACAGATTAGATGTCTTTGGGCTGCTGGCCAAAGGCTCATCCTACTCTTCCTTTTCCCCAAAAAAGTCAAAAAAGATAAAAGCAACTTAGAAATTTTTTCCTGTAAAAAAACTCACGCCTCTCCAGATTTTATGGTAGCTTGATCTTTCCTTTTAGGTGCAGGGTTGGCAAATGGAGAGTTGGAGAAGTAAAAGCCTGGGAATTAATGGCAAGTTTGGGAGGTTTATAAACAGGTTCCTGAGTTTTGAGCAAAGCAAAAAAAAAAGCATATGAGAAAGACCATATATCAGATTTTTCTAAGCTCCCCCTCAGGCTTTCCAATGGCTAAGTATACCAAACCCTTTAAAAACAGGCAGATTATATGTAATACATTTTTATGTTCCTAAATTAATTTTTAAGTTTCCATTTTTCTTGATTATTTTCAATTCTCTCCCCTTCCCAAACACTTTTTAACATGACTCTAAATTTTCACTAAATTTTGTATCTCTTTCCTTGCTAACCCTCACAACGTTTCCTAGAAAGCAGGAATTCCATTTTCTGGGCACTCACTCCCAGTATGCACGCTTTCAATTATCAGCTCTATGTTCTTGAATTGTTCTGAAAATCGTATTTCAAGATCAGACCTCTCCTCTGCACCCCAGACTCAGTAACATCTTCATCTCCTAGGTACCTTCTTTTCTTACCCTTTCCACATCTCTATTTTCTATTCCTACAAATACAACCGTCACTTAGCTAGCCACCCGAAGGAGAAACCCAAAAGGCTGCTAGGCTGTCTCCTTGCCTTCTCTCCCGCACATCTGACAGTTATCTAGGCCCTGAACACCTGGCATCTCTGCCTCAGTTGCCACTGCCAGGCTGCTGCCTCACTTTGAGACCAGGACTCTTGCAGCAGAAACCTCACTGCAAGAATGGTTCTCAACAACTTTTCCAAAATTCGCCACATCCCCCTGCCCATTGGGACGTCCTAGATTGCTGCCTTCTGGGGCACATCCACCCTGGTGCCCCATCAGAGGACAAAGTCCAATTCCCTAATGCAGAGGCAGCTCTTCCACCCACTGTGGGCCAGTGCCCCCTCCCCAGTTTCATTCTTCCTTCCCCTTCTTCTCTCCTGCCATGCCTTGCTTGCTCTTCCCCAAAAGGGTCTTTTGAAGCCTCTGTGTGTTCATTCACAGAGCGATTTCCTTGCCTAGCCCATCTTTTCCCCACTGTCTGAACCCTTTTCTCATCAGTCAAAATCTTAACTGAGATTTAGCTCATACGTCATCTTTAAAGAACTGACTCTTTAAACTTCTTTAAAGCTTTCTGTGACACAGCTCCATCCCTTCCTTGCAGGTTTGGCTGTGCTCAACTCAACTACCTCTACTTTAACCTCGGGCGTGGTTATACCTGTTTGTTCATACAGGGGCATCACCATTAAACTGTGAGCAACTTTAAGACAGGAACTGCCTCTCTCAGATCTTGGCATCTCTAGAATCTGCACATGAAGACCCTGGCTCCATAGCTTTTCAGGGCTTCAGCCACTTCCCCATCAAAGCAGCACAATCATCATAATCCCTTCATCAGCTTGGCACATAGTAAATACTCAATAAAAGTTAGGAGATAATTATTTAATGAATAGATAAAAAGATTTCTGACAATTCTGCAGGCTAAAGATTTCAGTATTTCCTTTTTCCTGCTATCAGCAACACTGACAAGCCAAGCAGCTTTCTTCTGATACCACAGACATATCCCCTTTACTCAGCTTCATGTTTCAGATAATATCAAGGACCTCCCACCTCCACCGCCAAACATAGAAAATATAGTGCAATAAAATTGTTTACAATATTCTCCTGGTACACTTTAGGGATGTGAGTGTGAGGAGTTATCCCCATATGACAAATAAGCTCATCCCCACCAGGGGCATGGAACTGACTTGTTCATACCAACATAGCATCCATTTTAAATACCTGGTCCCAGATGGCCTCAAGCCCACTGAGCTATGCAGCCACTTCTGCACCAGCTTTTAAGGTTCATTCTCCTCATTCCTTCCTAAGTTTTTTTCTTTGACCAAAGCAAGCACTGTTCAAGAGGAACATTTGCATTCCCTTTCCCCTACCCCCAGGCAGACACTAAGGTGCCAAATGAAACTGAACACAAACATTCCAAAGTGGCTGTCACACAGAGCAGGCTTGTTTGGGAACACAGGGAGTCCATGCTCTTCCACCTAACCAAGGCTTCTGGAAGCCCTCGTCCAAAAGGTCAAATGGAATTCCACAGCAGAAACCAAATTCTAATGGTGAAAACCCAAATGCACCTTGGGACAAGCAGTCCCACACTGACAGTGGCTATCTGATGGACCAGGCAGGCTCACCTGTGCTCGCAAATGGAGGTTCCTAATGACAAAGGGATGGAAGTAATTTTCCAGCAGTGGCTATTTGATGGACCAGGCAGGCTCACCTGTGCTCGCAAATGGAGGTTCCTAATGACAAAGGGATGGAAGTAATTTTCCAGCCGATCCATCCACACCTTTTCTAATTCCCCAGTGCAGAGCACAGAAGGGATCCTCAATATTAAACGAGTGGCTGCTTCTTATTACCTGTACAAACTCATAATCACCAACCTCACCAATAAGGCTATTTCATATATATTTACAAAGAATTATATACGTGTATATATGTAAGTGTGGATGTGTGCAGAGGAGATTTACCTGGTGCTGGGGTAGGTGTTGAACATTGGGAATACTGTAAAATGGCATAGACCCATACAAAATAAATAGCTGAAAAAAATAATAACCAGGAGTTAAATGGACATAACAGAAAGTAACTTTTACTGAAATTCTAATGAAAAATCATCTCTATGGGATGGGACATTCAGGTGAGGGGGATCTTGCAAAAATGTAGGCTGAAAAACTTGAATCCTGGCTTAAAAGCAGCTCAGACTAGATCAAGAGAACAGAAGAGGAAGACCTAGGCTTCCTCTTAGCAAAGGGATCACAGTATACAGGTAGGTGAGGGCAATCCCGAACGCCATGTGCGCACTTGACTTTGTGGAGTACCAAGTAGCACTGAAGGATTCGGGGCATTGGAGGGCCCAGCAGTATGGTGTAAGGATGGACTCCAGAAGAGCATCAGAACAGGAGAGCAGCTGAAGATCACTAACACAATCAAGATAAGGGAATGAGTAAGAGAAATACTAATAGTACTAAGAAAGACTATGTCTGAGGAACAAGGCAGACCTGATTCTCACCGCTAGGCTTGTGAGCAAAACTAAATGTGACCAACCTCGGTTTTGTGAATATCACGATTCAAGGAAACCCTCAAAGCAAAAAGACATTTAATTCTTTTTGTTCACATGGTCATTTTCGAAAACTTAAACACCGAAAGGCATCAGAAAGTAAATAGCAATGATCTGTAATCCACCAATTAGATACAATTAATGTTTGGTTTTATGAATGAATATACATTTATTTGAGAACTGGCATCACATAGCATAAAACTTTAAAATCAGTTCTTTTCATTTAATATTACAACATGAGAATAAAAATATAGTCTTCAGAATGTCTGGAGCCACTGAAGCTCAAAGAGGTAAGGACAGGTTCTCCTCTCCAGCCTTTAGAGAGCACGGTGGCCCTGCCAACACCTTGACTTCAGGTTTCTAACCTCCAGAACACAGAGAATAGTATATAACCACATATGTATAATACATAATAAATATGAATTTATATATAATACATATTTTATAATCCATGTATTTTTCTCTTTAAAAACGGAGCCTTTAGTGGTTGCACAATATTCCCCTTCCAGAATTATACAATGATTTAGTTAGCAGTTTCCCATGTTAGATAGAGTGCCTCTGAATTGTCACTGTCATAAGTCACTGCAAAAATCATTCCTATATATAAATCTTTATGATACCGTTTTCTTAGGGTAAATTTCTAAAAATAAAGGTACTAAATCAAAGGGCCTGAACACATTTTGATAGTGTCACTCCTTTCTGAAAAGCTACACTAATTTACATCACCACTGCTCTGCACAAAAGTACCCACTTTATTGCCTTGTCACCAGCACTGAACACTTTTATCCTTAAAGCAAAAATTAACATGAACCTACGAAAATCATGTGAAACCATCTCCAGAAGAGAACTTCCACCCCTTCCAAACTACCCATCTGAAAACTAATGCCACTGGGAATGAAGAAGACTGCAGATGCACACAAGGGTTTATCAGGGAAATGTTTAAACCGCTACTGGAAAAATAACTCAAAAGTGCATGCCATATTGACAGGGGTCATGGAGCATCAGTTGTCACCAAATCCTATTCTACAACTGAAATATATGTTTATTGCATTGGATTGAACTTGGAATAACAGAGATCCCCAATCTTGGTTAAATTGTATAAAACCATTCTGTACTTTCCTGAAGTCACAATGTAGATTGACTTTAATGCTCAATGAAAATTTGAGGTTGCCACATCAAACTGACATTACCCTCTCTGCAGCAATTTTAAGAAATAATTTTCTTTACAACCCCAATATTTTGGCAAAATTAGCACTTTAAAAGAAGGAATGCAAAGTAAAGGTTTGTATTAACCTCAGAAGAACTGACTGTATGATTTCTGCACATCTTTTTGATCAATATTCCAACACTTCCACGTTTTTTGCTTTTTTAGTTTTATTATAAGTACAAGTCAATTCAAAGCAATTTAAGGAGAAATTAACACCAGTGCTTCAATATAATAAAAGGCCTTTTAAAGATGTTTTACAATCAGCCTGAAAAGTACTCAATGACATGGATAAAAGTAGAAATAAAAACCAAATCACATATTTAATCTAAATTTCTATTTTGAAAATTCAGTGACCAACAAATAAGTTACAAGCTATAAGTTAGCTTTATAGCTATAGCTATAAGTTATAAGTTAGCTTATAGCTATAGCTATAAGTTATAAGTTAGCTTATAGCTATAGCTATAAGTTATAAGTTAGCTTATAGCTATAGCTATAAGTTATAAGTTAGCTTATAGCTATAGCTATAAGTTATAAGTTAGCTTATAGCTATAGCTATAAGTTATAAGTTAGCTTATAGCTATAGCTATAAGTTATAAGTTAGCTTATAGCTATAGCTATAAGTTATAAGCTATAAGACAGAAAAGGTCTTGATATATTTGAAAATACTTTAAACTCATCAATTATAACTGATTAGGTAAGACAAATAATTATGGATCTATTATATATCAATTTTTATAAAGTTTGATTGCACAATTAGAGAAATTCTAGGAATCATTTTATCAATTGTAAAATATAAGAAATGACATGATACTCTAAACATATATAAACAAACCTTAAAAATCTCAGTGAGATTTTGACAACTGGTTAGTCTTTACAGGACAACTTGCTTAGGGAACACACATGTATAATACATTGTACGTGTATTACACATGTATTTAATGTAATAATACATTAAAAATCGGAAAGTTAAATGTATCATCTCTCTTACACAACTGGCTAGCCAAATCCTAAATTATTTTTCCTCAAAGTTTTCAATGCTATCCAAAGTAGAAGTATTAATACATGTTCTGCCAAAGTTCTCAAAAACTTCCAACCCTAAAAAGCTGCAAAAATACTCCTAGATCCTGAACTGTTCATTCTACACAATTAGAACCAAAGAGGCATTTCAGCACAATTATTTCAGGGTAAGCATTAGAAACTCTCAAAAGAAGCTAAAATACACTGATTGATAGAAGGAATTCGTTTCGAAACTAGAAACACAGAAAAAAACAAACTTGGGTTCTACAATGTGGAGAAAGCCCAAACCACCCTCATGATCTGTGAAATAAACTATTTTCCCTTAATGATGATTGGACTCATTTTTCCATGTCAGTTCAATGGCTACCAGAAATTACAACGAAACACATTTTTCCTCTCGTCATTACGTGTATATATCTATGTTGTATGTGTGTGTTCTGTTTACTGGAGTCCACCGCCAAGGTTTTTAAATGTGCTTAAGAGCAAGTTGCTGATACAATGGGTGGGCAGGGAAAGGGTCAGTGCAGTGGTTTTGTGTAATGCCGGGCACATTAATGGCACTCACCTAATACTCTATTTATTTTACCTGTGGCTTTCAGGGTTAGAAAGAAAAAAACAAAAAAGAGGTTAAGAGTTTTTCAAGAACAAAATATAAACCAAAAATAGGAAATTAAGGCAAAATTACCTGGATCATTCAGGCCACCTTAGTTTCTTTTCCTCAATTTCTGACATTATAAACCCCCCTCTCTTCACGGTCTTAACTGTTTTGTACACGACATCTCTCTTGGACAACTTGGGTTCTGAAATCTTCCTACGTGTCCCCTTACTTTTTACATAACAAGTGTTTTGCTAAAAAGACCGATACTTTCTAGAGCCACATGCCATTCCTACCTGAAAAGGAACGCTGTCAGATAACAGGACAAGTAAGAGGCAGCAACTGTACTGCAATGGCCCGCGATTATACAGCGATTATTATACACAACCTCACAAGGACGGAGGAGCGTCCAGGAACAGGGCAGGCAATCCCTTGGTCCTGGCAGCTGTTAAGAGGGGTCAAGCAGAAAAATGTGACTTTTCTATACTTAATTTTAATGTGGGTATGATTTTTAGGACATTGAACCTCTTTTGCTACCTACCAAAAGGAAAAAAAAAAGTTTTCTCAACTGGGTGAATAAAGAAAGATGGTTTCATATAATATTCTAACCCTGAGAAGCAAACAGATTGCACATCTAGCTGAAACAGAAAGATTTCTGAAGCGATGATTATCTTGATATGGTAAGTGAATTAGTTAAATATGGTAATTCCTAAAAAAGCACACTTGTCATTATTTTTAAATTTTTTTAAGTGGTAGGGAAAATAAATAGCAAAGCAGCCAGTAAAGTTCAAGAAAAAAAATCAGAACACACCATTCAACTCTCCATCGCTTTGAAAAAAGAAATGCCAGTAGCATTCCTACAATTGTAATTAGAAAACATGCAAGTAAACAACTCTTCAAATAGTCTTTTATAATAAAATAGAAAATGTCCTCGGGTGAAAAAGCAATTTTTGGCTGACTGCAATTCATTTAGGTTTTCACTACCATACAACTGGGTGACGAGTAAAATCTCCTATTTATTTTGCATTGTTTGGCATAGTCTCGCTCCTCTACCTTCTCCATCTAAATAGTTACCATTTTCCAAGTGGACAATGTGCAGAGAAGTTGTATGTATTAATGAATTCCTCTGCAATTTTGGTTTCACTATCAGAATTGAAGTTTGCACACAACATAGTGTCTCAACAATGATCTCAACATTCTAACGCTTTAGAATCCGTTTACCTTCTGTGTTCACCTATATCAGGATCCAATACCTGTGTGAATCTTTTCGGGTCATATTTAGACGTGCACTTTCCTGCATCTACACACACTCTCAAGTTCCTCTAGAATGTTTAAGAACTCAACTGTGTGGGATGTTAAGAAGTACGCCAGAAATAATTTCTTGGACTCCAGATAACGTACCTGCAAAAAGAGTCATTTGGTAGGATACCACAAATATCCTACTGAATTCTGAAACGTTTGTTCCTGAGTCCGACTCCCCTTCTGACCACATCTACTCAATTTTGTTTCCACCGAAGGAACGCTCCGCAGTCACAAAACTTTCATCATGATTACGGACGCACCACCTAAAATGCATGCTCAGAAGTCAAAGTCCTATGAAAATACCCTCGATGAGCATTTGGTGAATTGCTGCGTTTTTAACCCTCTTACTCTGCTCCCCTCAGCTGCACGGCCCCTAAAATCACAAGCGTTCACCGCCCAGGCTCGGGGTCTTTGACTCAGCAGAGAAGAATGTGGCTGATGAGTTATCTATTAATCCAAAAAACCTCGGCTAGAAAGATATTTCACCAAGAACTTTTAACACGGAAAGGGAGGGGGCAGGGAATAGAGGTATCTTTTAACGAGAACTTTCCCCCGAGTTTCTTCCTTAAACTGCTCCCCCCCCGACCCTGAATCCATACACAATTTCCAGCCCCGGCCCTAAGTCCTGACCCTCCGAGTCCCGATTATCTGAGGTCACCCAGGAGTCAGCTCTCGGTTCCACTTATAAATCCCGGGCAAACAAAGCTGAGCATTATACTTACAAAAGTCTCCGAAAAGTCCTTGGAGTTACGCAATTTGGGGCCCGCAGACGCGCGTGGACACAAAAACACACGCTCCCGAGATCCACCCTCCCCGGGCCACACTGTGGGGCTGCGTCCGGGGCACGGGCCATGCCTGAACCTTCTTCCACCGCCGCGCCCCGGGCCCGCGCCCCGCCGGCCGCCCGCACTGGGTCCCGCGTCGCCCCCGCCACCACACCGAGCCGCCCAGTACCTCCTCCTCCTGAAGGTTGGCCTCGCTCGGGGTGTTCTCCTTCTCGGCTTTGCCGCCGTTGTTCATCTTCCCGGTCCTTCCTCGCCGGGCCGGGCAGGGCTGGGGCGCGGGGCTGGGCGAGGGCGCGCTAGCCCACTGGAGCCTTCCCCGGGCGCCGGGGCTCCCTCGGGCGGGCGCCGCGGGCTGTGGGGCTGGAGCTGGAGCCGGGGCAGTGGCTGTCGGGCTCGGGTTGGGCTGGGGCTCCCGCGGCGAGTCTGCGACGGCGGCGGCGGGCGACTCAGGAAGTGCAAGGGAGAGACGGGGCAGGGCGCGGGCCGGGAGCGGGGCACCGAGACAATCGGGCCCCGGGAGGGCGACCTGGAGAGGGAGGGCGGGAGCCAGGGGAGGAAGGAAGAAGGAAGGAAGGAAGGAAGCAAAGGATGGGGCGAGGACGCGCGTCCCAGGAGTAAGCGCGGAGAGTTGGGGCTGGGGGCTGCAGCCGCTGGAAGGAGGGGACGGGGGTGCCTAGAGAGGAGGAGGAGGAGGAAGAGGAGGAGGAGGAGCGGGGCGGAGGAGCGCGGGCCGCGGCTGGGACGCTGGGACCCGAGAGCCGCTGAGTACGCGCTCCAGGCAGGCTCTGGGAAGTCCGGGATGGAAGCAGCTCCCTTTCTCTCGCCTTCCTCCCTCCCCTCTCCCCTCCCTCCTCTCCGCGCCTCTCCTCCTCCCTCCGCCCTCCCTGGACGTGGGCTGCCGGCTGCAGCCCGGAGGGACGGGGCGCGGGACGGAGCCCCCCGCGGGAGGAGGGGCCGGCGGCCGGATGGCGCGCGCCGGGGAGGGGCAGCGGGCCGCGGGCGGAAGCGGCGACCCCAGCCCCCGACTCAGCGGCTGGTCGGAGGGCGAGGGCCCGGGAGGCCGAGGGCAGGGAGGTCGGGTCCCGCCGTTCCCTTGGCCCCCGGGGGCCCCGGCGTCTGCGCGCCCCGGGACTTCGGGGACCCTGCCCCGCCGGGGCCTGGACCGGGACCTGGGATGTGTGCGACTTTTAGTTTGCCGGCTTTTACCGAGGGATTTGCACCCCTGGCCCTAAGCCCACCCTTCCCGAGCCAGACCCGGTTCTTCCTCTGCTGCTTGAATGACAGCATGAGAACTCGAGGGACACCGGGGACAGCCCACTCCGGGCCGGCTTTTTCAGGACAGGGCTTCAAACCCATCTCCAGCGCGGGTCCTGCGACGCGCCCGGAGCCTTCCCCGCTTCGCTTCCTGAGCGTCCCGCGGCCCCCCGACTCCTCTCCCAACTCTCACCAGACTGTTCTGGGATTGTTTACCTGGCCTCTCCCTCACCCTTCAGAAAGCTCCTTCCTGGAAGAAAAAAAAAAATCCTGCCCTATTTATCTTTTTAATCCCACGGCTATTTAAACGGGCTAAGGGGTATATAGCAGGCACTCAATAAATATTTGTTGGCAAAGTGAATATTCCTTATTGCAGGCAGAGCTGGGGGTCCGTACGGAGGAACTTCAGAGGCTGGAAGCACGCTTGAAAAAGAAAGGGGGCCTGGGCTTTGCACCAGCTTCAGGATTGCGTACTTGTTTCCTCATCCGTGAAATGGGAGCAGCTGAATGTGTCTCCTCGAGTTTTCGAGGTGATTATAGGTTGATAGAGCTATATACAGCACCCAGCATTTATTCTTGCTTCGTTTAGGTTTACAATACATGGAAGCTAACATTATTATTAAGAAAACTTCTATTTTTCCAGGGCCTTAGAAAGCGTTTCCAATACTCGATCATTTAAGCTTATGGTTTTTTGGTTTTTTTTTTTTTTAGAAAAATGAGGGTCTCACTTTGTTGCTCAGGCTGAGCTCGAGCTCCTGGCCTCAAGTGATCCTCCTGCTTTTGGCCTCCCAAACTGATGGGATTACAACGTGGAGCCACCGTGTTAAACTCTTAGATTTGACTGCTACAAAGGTATAAATGTGGAACTCCATATATCAGTGGGTTCTGCCCCACTTCTTCCTCCCAGGAATTCTCCATCCCAGCCTGCTGCTCCTGTCTTGCACCGGTAACAGTTTCCAACTACAGTATTTGCTTAACTGTTTCTCCCCACCCCCACCAGACATTCTTTATACTTGGTTTAAGTGCTGCTGGGGATAGGGCGGGGGTGGCTGTGGGAGTTGCAGATAAGGACCCTCCCTTTAGGGAGTTTAAAGTGGTATGGTGGCTCACACTTGGAATCTCAGCACTTAAGGAGATAGAGGAAAGAGGATTGCTTGAGCCCAGGAGTTCAAGACCTGCCTGGGCAACATAGTGAGACTCTGTTCTCCACAGAGGGGAAAAAAAGAAAAGACAAAAAAATAAAGTGGTATGGAGCCAAGATACTCTCAGAATCCTCTTTCCGATTATAGAAAGCAAGGAAAATATTTGCTTTAAGGGCATTATGAGGAGAAAAACAGTAGTGATACTTGGATTTACATATTGGATTTATCTTGGGGGTTTGGAGATTTTGAAACAGGAAGATTTCCATAAGGAAAACATGTTTTTTTAATTGCTGTCATAATGTGATTTCTCTCTAAGGGGAACAAACATGTATCCTGGATGAAAATAAACCAACTCTTGAAACTGCAACCCAAGACATTCAGAAGAGATAAGGCTACAGTGAATGTGGAAACTTTGCACGTGTTTGGATGTATTGATTGCCTTAACTGGCAGCTCTTTGCACTGCCAGCTTCCCTCAATTACATGAGGAACCACGAGGGGGCAATGTCTTCCCGAGCAATAATAGCTGAGTGGTGGTCTTAGGACCCCGTGGTGGCCCATGATGCTAGCACTGTGTCTTTGGCCATTCTTGCCTGTCATGGAGCATACTCCACAGAAGGGCATGGTCTTCTTGGATCCCGGCATGGGCCCAACAAAAATGACAATGTAGTCAATAGTTCCACTCAGACCTCACTTAGGAGCAGGTGAACTATGTTGTGTGATATCAGGATGCCCGGAGAACCTCTCCTATCCCCACCCAGGGAAGCATGGCTTAATTCCAAATAAAGAATCTGATTTCTTTGTCTTTAAGCCAAGCCAGGACTTTGTCCATTGTTAAAAGTCAAAAATCTCTGGGATAAGAAACAAAAATAAGTTCCAGGCGGGGCACGGTGGCTCATGCCTGTAATCCCAGCACTTTGGGAGGCCGAGGTGAGCCCAACACCTGATGTCAGGAGTTCAAGACCAGCCTGGCTAACATGGTGAAACACCGTTTCTACTAAAAATACAAAAAATTAGCTGGGTGTGGTGGCGCACGCCTATAATAGCAGCTACTTGGGAGGCTGAGGCAGGAGAATTGCTTGAACCCGGGAGGCAGAGGTTGCAGTTAGCCGAGATTGCACCATTGCACTCCAGCTTGGGCAACAAGAGTGAAACTCTGTCACAAAAAAAAATAAGTTCCAGGAGAGGATCCTTGTCTGGCTTATTCACTGTTGTATTCCCAGCATCTAGACAGTGCCCAACACATAGGAGGCGCTCAGTTATTTTTTAATAAATGAGCATTTTAAGTCTGATGGGTTACTGATTCTCAGGCCTGAATGTTATTACTGGATTTTTCCAAGATCCAGCAGGAAGGACTAAATCAGTGGAGATGTCTTAGAACAGATAGTCACAGCAATGGCATTAGGCAGGGTCTTGGCAGTGTTTTTTTTTGTTTTGTTTTTTGTTTTCTGAGAGTCTCGCTCTGTGGCCCAGGTGACATTGTTTAAGCAAATGTCTCACCCAGGCGAGAACTGTTCAAGCAATTCTCCTGCCTCAGCTTCCCCAGTAGCTGGGACTACAGGTGCACACAACCACACCTGGCTAATGTTTTTGTATTTTTAGTAGAGACAGGGTTTCCTCATGTTGGCCAGGCTGGTTGGTATTGAACTCCCAAACTCAGGTGATCCACCCACCTCAGCCTCCCAAAATGCTGGGATTACAGGCATGAGCCACCGGCCTGGCAGTGGTCTTTAGTCATGATTTTGCAGGGGGGACCCTAGATAGAGACCTTGTGCAGAATGGAACAACTGATAAGGTTTCAAACAGTAAAAGATAAAATCCCACCATTGAGGCCGGGCACAGTGCCTCATGCCTGTAATCCTAGCACTTTGGGAGGCCAAGGCGGGCAGATCACCTGAGGTCAGGAGTTTGAGACCAGCCTGGCATGGTGAAACCCCATTTTTGAAAATACAAAAATTAGCCAGGCGTGGTGGTGGGTGCCTGTAGTCCCAGCTACTCGGGAGGCTGAGGCAGGAGAATCGCTTGAACCCGGGAGGCAGAGATTGCTGTGAACCAGATCACACCACTGTACTCCAGCCTGGGCGACAGGGAGACTCCATCTCAAAAAAAAAAAAAAATCACACCATTGAATTTGACATATCAGACAATAAAATCGACACTGATGCAGGGATGGCTATACTATATAGTCAGTGGTGAGAGTGACATTCAGGGTGTTTTCAGAAAAACATATGGGGTTGGGATAATATGTCAAGAAAAGGGAGATTTCCTGCTTTTTATCCTTTTCATGAAGAGTAGTTTAGAGTTATTTGAAAGAGCAATAATGTATTACCAATAAAACTCAAGGAAAATCTGTAAACAGACTTTTGCTATTTATAAAACTTTGTGATTGAAGGCAAAGAGTTTGAATTTGTGTGGGGGAGGAAAATGTACCTTCAATCAGGGTATAAATGATAATTACAGCTTGTTTATGACTTTAAAGAAAGATTCCAAAGTAATATCTCCTCAGTAGCAATAGTTCTCAGGCATCCTGAGAATTATAAGACCACAAAGGGATTTTTTTTTTGAGACGGAATTTCGCTGTAACCAAGGGATTTTAAATCCTGTAATAGTTGTGCTGAAGACCAGAAAAGTCCGCTTTCTCCCCAGCCTAACACTCTACCTACTGTATTGCCTGACCTTCGAGGTTACCTTGAAAGGGTAATATTGTATACACCTGTAGTTTTTTACTACTCACTGCTGTTTCTCTGGCAGTGTTCATTTCGAGGCTTGCCTTAAGAAATCCAAACCTATAATTATGTCTTAAATGTTTGCCTTTGGGAACTGCAGACATTAAAGGTCTATTTTGAGGCGATTTGCATGGCATGGGCTTTGTACCTATGTTAGCTTTGCAGCAGAAAGCTGCAGTATCTACCATGTGTGTTGTGATTGTCTATTAACCCTTCGGCTGAGCCAAAGAAGTTATTGAGGCCAGAGGGGCTGTATTTTATTGGTTTTTGTCATCCTTGACACCTCTCTCTCCCTTACCTCGTGCCTGCTCACCTCCAGCTCCTCTCCATCTTCCCCTGATTTTTTTATTAATTTATCATTGTGGCAAAAGACACATAACATAAAATTTACCTTCTTAACCACTTTGGTTTTTTGGGGTTTTTTTTGAGATGGAGTGTTGCTCTGTTGCCCAGGCTGGAGTGCAATGGTGCCATCTTGGCTCACCACAACCTCCACCTCCCAGGTTCAAGAGATTCTCCTGCTTCAGCCTCCTGAGTAGCTGGAACTACAGGCGTGTGCCACCATGTCCAGCTAATTTTTGTATTTTTAGTAGAGATGAGGTTTCACTATGTTGACCAGGCTGGGTTTTCTTTTTTCTTTTTTTTTTTCTTTTTTTTTAGTGATGGGCCTTCACTGTGTTGCCCAGGCTGGTCTCAGACTCCTGGGTTCAAGTGATCCTCCCACCTCAGCCTCCCAAAGTGCTGAGATTACAGGTATGAGCCACTGCACCCAGCCTACTTGTTTGTTTTTCCAGATTTCGTTCTGTTGCCCAGGCTGGAGTACAGTAGCATGATCATAACTCACTGCAGCCTCGAACTCCTGGGCCCAAGCAATCTTCCTGCCTCAACTTCCCGAGCAGCTGGGACTGCAGACTCTTGCCACCACACGCAGCTAATTTTTAAATTTTTTTCCCAGGCTGGTCTCAAACTCCTGCCTTCAAGCAATCCTCCTGCCTCAGCCTCCCTAAGTGCTGAGATTACAGACATAAACCATTTCACCTAAGCCTTCCATTTGAACCATTTTTAAGTGTAGTGTTAAGTGTATTCACATGGTTGTGCAACAGCCCCCTGACTTTCACCTCCTAAAGAATTCTGAGGTTCACTGGCTTCCCTCTGATCATGATCAGAGGCCCACATGGAGGAGAATCCAGGTGTTTGGCTTACAGCCCCAGCTGAGCTCTGCAGACAACCAGTATCAATTTGCCAGCCCTCTGAGTGAACTATCTTGAGAGTGGTTGCTCCAGCCCTAGTTGAGCTGCCGCAGCTGATACCATCTGGAAGAGAGATGAGCTTTCTGCAGCAAACCCTGCCCAAATTGCAAAATTGTTAGCAAAAAAAAAAATGAATGCTGTTGTTTTAAGTCACCACATTTCAGTGTGGTTTGTAATACAGCAATATATAACTGAAACATAATTACATACCTAGAAGCGGGATAATAGAAATCAACAGGGTGATTCCTACTGTAATAGAAACCTAAAACACATGGCAGGAGCTTTGGGATCAGGTGGAGGATGGAAGCTGGAAGAACCTTGAGGAGTCTGTTATTGACAAATACTATTAAAGAACAGTGAGTGGGGCTGGCCGTGGTGGCTCACACCTATAATCCCAGCACTTTGGGAGGCAGAGGTGGGCCGATCACCTGAGGTCAGGAATTCGAGACCAGCCTGGTCAACACGGTGAAACCCTGTCTCTACTAAAAATACCAAAATTAGCCAGGCGTGGTGACGCGTGCCTGTAATCCTAGCTACTGGGGAGGCTGAGGCAGGAGAATTGCTTGAACCCAGGAGGCGGAAGTTGCAGTGAGCCAAGATCGCACCACTGCCCTCCAGCTTGGGTGACAGAGAGAGACTCAGTCTCAAAATAAAATAAAATAAAGAACAGTGAGGATACTGTTATTGCTGGCTGGAGAAAAGGGGGATTGACTTAGGTATTGGAAGAACAATTAGCTAAACTACTCTGCAGTTATGTGAAAGCTAGAGAAGGTACCTAGTGAACATGTGGATCTGGCTATGGAGATTTCTGGATAGAATGGTGAAAGGGTGGAATGGTTCCTTTTGCATGCCTGTGATATAGTACCAGAGAAGTGCAGTGAGCTAAAAAAGAAACTGTTCCATTTTTCATCAGAATTTAGAAGAAGCAATTAAAGAAGCCAGGACTTGCAGGATTTGAAATAAAACTACTTTTCATTCCTAGTTCTCCAGAGGACAAAACTCTCAAAATAAGAAATGGCCTAGGGGCAAAAGTCAAATCCCAGGTACTATCAGGAAAACATAGTCATAAGTAAAGTTCAAGACAACAACAGGTGCAGCAGCTCACACCTGCAATCCCAGTGCTTTGGGAAGCCAAGGTGGGAGGATTACTTGAGGCCAAGAGTTTGGGATCAACTTGGGCAACATAGCAAGACTCCTCTGCAAAAAAAAAAAAAAAAAAAAAGAAAAAAGAAAAAACAACAATTTTGAGACAGAATCTCGTTCTGTCACCTGGTTGGGGTGTAGTGGCATGATCATGGCTCACTAAAACCTCTGTCTCCTGGGTTCAAGCAATTCTCATGCCTCAGCCTCCCAGGTAGCTGGGATTACAGGTACACACCACCATGCTTGGCTAATTTTTGTATTTTTAGTAAAGATGGGGTTTCACCATGTTAGCCAGGCTGGTCTCAAACTCCTGGCCTTAAGTGATCTGCTCACCTTAGCCTCCCAAAGTGCTGGGATTACAGGTGTGAGCCACCAAACCCGGCCTCTGCAAAAAATTTAAAAATTAGCTGAACATAGTGGCACATGCCTATAATTCCAGCTATTTTGGAGGCTGAGGCAGGAAGATCACTTGAGCCCAGGAGTTTGAGGGTACAGTGAATTATGATCATGCCACTGCACTACAGCTTGGGCAACAGAGCAAGAACCTGGCTCTAAAAAAAAAAAAAAATGCCCAGGTGTGGTGGCTCAGGCCTGTAATCCCAGCACTTTGGGAGGCTGAGGCGGGCAGATCTCGAGGTCAGAAGATCGAGACCATCCTGGCTAACATGGTGAAACCCCGTCTTTACTTAAAAAAATACAAAAAAATTAGCCAGGTGTGGTGGTGGGCGCCTGTAGTCCCAGCTACTCAGGAGGCTGAGGCAGGAGAATGACATGAACCTGGGAGGCGGAACTTGCGGTGAGCCGAGATGGTGCCACTGCACTCCAGACTGGGGGACAGAGAGAGACTCCGTCTCGGGGGAAAAAAAAGAAGATAAGGATGTAGCTAGAAGACACTGGGTAGGCAGCTTCTACAATGGACCCCAGTGATCCTTCCCTCCCGGTATTCAAACCCTCTGTAATCCCTTCCTTCATGTGGGCTGGACTTTGCAACTTGCTCTTAAGGAATACAGTGTGGCAAAAGTGATGGATAGCACCTCCAAGACTAGATTTAAAAAGAGACGATGGCTCATGTCTTACATGCCCTCTCTTGCTCTCTCACTTGCTGCCTTTGACCTGCCTTATGGAGACGCTCATGTGGCAAGGAACGAAGGCCTCCAGCCAAGAGCCACCAAGGAACTGGTTTTCAGTCCAACAACCAGCAAGGAGCTGAATCCTGCCAACTACTGCATGAGTAGACCTGGAAATAGATCTTCCCTAAGTGGACCCTTCACGTGAAACCTATTATGGACTGAATGCTAGTGTCCTTCTGAAATTCACATAAAATCCTAACCTCCATTGTGATAGTATTAGGTAAGGCATTTGGGAGGTAATTAGGTTTAGATGAGGTCACAAGTGTGGGGCCCCCATAATGGGGTTGGTGCCCTTATAAGAGGAGAAAGAGGCTGGGTGTGGTGGCTGATGCCTGGAATCCCAACACTTCGGGAGGCCAAGGCAGGAGGATTGCTTGAAGCCAAGAGTTTGAGACCAGCCTGGACAACACAGTGAGACCCCCATTTCTATGAATAAATAAATAAATTAGCCAGGCACGTGGCTCACTCCTGTCATCCCAACACTTTGGGAGGCCAAGGCAGGAGATTTCCTTGAGACCAGGAGTTCAAGATCAGCCTGGGCAACGTAGTGGGACCCTGTCTCTACAGAAAAATTAGCCAGGCATATTGGTGTGAGTCTGTAGTCCCAACTACTACTCCCAAAGCTGAGGAATAAGGATTGTTTTAGCCTAGGAGTTCAAGGTTACAGTGAACTATAATTGTACCACTGTACTCCAGCCTGGGAGACAGCAAAACCCGGTTTGTGTGTGTGTGTGTGTGTGTGTGTGTGTGTGTGTGTGTGTGTGTGTGTGTCGAGAACCAAAGCTCCTTCTCTCCCTGCCATGTGAGGACACAGTGAGAAGGTGGCTGACTGCAAGCCAGGAAGAGGGTCCTCATGAGGAAATGAATTGACTGGCACCTTGATCTTGTGGCACCTTGATCTTGGACTTCCCAGCCTCTATAACTGTGAGAAATAAATGTCTGTTGTTTTAGCCACCCAGTCTGTGGTATTTTGTTATGACAAGCTCAGCTGACTAAGTAATTAATACCAAGAAGCGGTTTGCTGCTGTAACAAATAACTAAAAGTGTGGAAGCAGCTTTGGAACTGGGTAGTGGGTAGAGGCTGAAAGAGTTTTGTTTTTAGAGATAGGGTCTGCCAGGTGCGGGGGCTCACGCCTGTAATCCCAGCATTTTGGGGGGCCGAGGCGGGTGAATCACGAGGTCAGGAGTTCGAGACCAGCCTGGCCAACATGGTGAAACCCTGTCTCTACTAAAAATACCAAAAAATTAGCTGGGCATAGTGGTAGGCACCTGTAATCCCAGTTACTTGGGAGGCTGAGGCAGGAGAATCGCTTGAACCCAGGAGGCAGAGGTTGCAGTGAGCTGAGATCTTGCCACTGCACTCCAGCCCGGGCGACAGAGTGAGACTCATCTAAAAAATAATAATAATAATAATAATAATAGATACAGGGTCTTGCTGTGTCACCCAGGCTGGAGTGCAGTGGTGCAATCATACCTCACTGCAGCCTTGAACTCTTGGGTTCAAGCAATCCTCCTACCTCAGCCTCCTGAGTAGCTGGGAATACAGGTGTAGGCTGCCATGCCTAGATTTATTTCTTTTTTTAAAGGTGAGGTCTCACTTTGTTGCCCAGGCTGGTCTCTAATGATCCTTCTGCCTTGTTCTCCCAAAGTACTGGGATTACAGGCATGAGCCACCAAGCCCAGCCTGAGGCTGGAAGAGTTTTGAAGAACATGCTAGAAAAAGCCTAGATTGCTGTGAAGGGACCATTAAAGGTGATTCTGGAGAAGGATCAGAAAGAAAAGGGGAGCTGTAAAGAAAACTTGCCTCTTCTTAGAGAATACATAGTCATGTACAAGATGCTGGTAGAAATATAGACAGTAAAGGCCAGTTACGGTCTCAGGTAGAAATGAGGAATATGCTATTAGAAACTGGAGGAAAGGCGGCTGGGTGTGGTGGCTCACGCCTGTAATCCCAGCACTTTGGGAGGCCGAGGTGGGTGGATCACTTAAGGTCAGGAGTTTGAGACCAGCCTGGTCAACATGGTGAAGCCCCATCTCTACTAAAAATACAAAAAATCAGCAGGGCATGATGGCAGGCACCTGTAATCCCAGCTACTTGGGAGGCGGAGATGGGAGAATTGCCTGAACCCAGGAAGCGGAGGTTCCAATGAGCCGAGATCGTGCCACTGCACTCCAGCCTGGGTGATAGAGTGAGACTCTCTGAAAAAAAAAAAAAAGAAACTGGAGGAAAGGGCATCCTTATTAGAAAGTGGCAAAGAACTTAACTAAATTGTATTCATGCTCTAGAGTTTTGTGGAAGGTAGGCCTTACAAGAAATGAAGTGGAATATTTAGCTGTAGAGATTTCTTTTTTTTTTTTTTTTTTTTTTGCGATAGAGTTTCACTCTTGTCGCCTAGGCTGGAGTGCAGTGACACGATCTCGGCTCAATGCAACCTCTGCCTCCTGGGTTCAAGTGATTCTCCTGCCTCAGCCTCCTGAGTAGCTGGGATTACAGGCGCCCGCCACCACACCCAGCTAATTTTAGCTGTAGAGATTTCTAAGCAGTTTTGGAGTGTCTTGATGCCTCCTGACCACTTTAAAGTAAAATTTGAGAAGTGATAAATAAATTGAAGAAGGAATTGTTAAGCAAAAAGGAACCACAACTTCAAGATTGGAACATTATCCGCCTGTCCATATTGTAAAAAATGAGAAAGGATATTCAGAAAAGAACACCAAGGGTGTGGCTAACTGACCATTTGATGAAGAGATTGGTGTGGGTGCAAACCACAGACCTAATCAACCATCTCAACAGAAGTCACGGGATTGTACCAGCAGAAATCCTGCCAACTGGGATTAAAGGAAACAGAAAACAGGACAGAATGAAGGAAGGCTACAGACACGCATTATCCTTCAAAAAAAGGGAAGAGGGACTCCAAAGGTGATTCAGAGATCATCAGAGCTGCTTCTCCCACTACAGGCCCAGATTGCACAGGCTGAGAACAAGGCTTGTGTCCACCGTGGGTGGCTGTGACATTCAGTAGAGGTGGGTGGGTAGGCCCTTGCAGAGAGCCACTTGAGTGGTATTCCACAAAGCCCAAAGGGGCATACTGCTTGCTGAGCTGTACCCCAGTGGGTCAGCTGGGCACAGCATCGAACCAAAGACAATTACTCTTTTTTTTTTAGGAGACAAGGTCTTACTCTGTTGCCCAGGCTGGAGTGCAGTGGCATGATCATAGTCCACTGTAGCATCGAACTCTTGGCCCCAAGTGACTCCTCTGCCTCAGCCCCCCAAGTAGCAGTGACTCCAGGTATGCACGTCCACACATGGCTAATTTTAAAATTATTTTTAGAGATGGGGGTCTCACTATGTTGCCCTGGCTGGGCTCAGACTCCTGGCCTCAAGGGATCTTCCTGCCTCAGCTTCCCAAAGTATCAGGATTACAGGCATGAGGCACCACACCAGGCCAAGTATTATTTTTGAGCCTTAAAATCTCATGGTATTTGCTCTGTTAGGTTTTGGACTTACTTGGGACCCATCGCCCCTTTCTTTCTTCCAGTTTCTTCCTTTTGGAATGGGAATGTATATCCTATGCCTGTCCCACCATTGTATTTTGGAAACACATAACTTATCTGGTTTCACAGATTCACAGCTGGAGAGGAATTTTGCCTCAAGATGAATTGTACCTCGAGTCTCTACCATATATACTCTAGATGATATCAGATGAGACTTCAGAGTTGATGCTAAAATGAATTAAGACTTTGGGGGCAGTTGAGATGGAAAGAATGTATTTTGCATGTGAGAAAAACATGAATTTGGAGGGACAATGGCACTGAACAGGAGGCCGTGCTATAACCTCTACATGGACTGTCACATTTTATTGTTTAAAGATGCCAGGTTAAACATAAGCATTTCCGTCCCTCTCCCTAAACCTCTAATAACAATTCAGAAAAGATGTGTTGTCATCAACATTATTTTAAAGCATAAACTAACAAGGATAAAGAGAATGAAAGAAAGCTAGGCCTGTGGCTTATACCTCTAATCCTAGCACTTTGGGAGGCCAAAGCACAAAGATCACTTGAGGCCAGGAGTTTGAGACCAGTCTGGGCAATACAGCAAGATACTCATCTCTACAAAAAGAAAAAAAATTAGCTGGGTATGGTGACACATGCCTGTAGTCCCAGCTGTTTCAGAAGCTGCAGCAAGAGGATTACTTGAGCCTAGGAGTTTGAGGCTGCTGTGAGCTATGATCATCGCACCACTGTACTCCAGCCTGAGTGACACAGCGAGACTGCATCTCTTAAAAAAAGAAAGAAAAAAAAAAGAGAGAGAATGAAAGAAAACAATAGTAGTAAAATTTGGGAAACTGTGAAGCAGATTAATATTAAGAAAACTAAATCCAGCCGGGCGCGGTGGCTCACGCCTGTAATCCCAGCACTTTGGGAGGCTGAGATGGGCAGATCACGAGGTCAGGAGATCAAGACCATCCGGACTAACATGGTGAAACCCCATCTCTACTAAAAATACAAAAAATTAGCTGGGCGTAGTGGCGGGCGCCTGTAGTCCCAGCTACTTGGGAGGCTGAGGCAGGAGAATGGTGTGAACACAGGAGGCGGAGCTTGCACTGAGCCAAGATCGCACCACTGCACTCCAGCCTGGGTGACAGGGCAAGACTCCGTCTCAAAAAAAAAAAAACAAAGGAAAGAAAACTAAATCCTAAGCTTGGTGGTGGCAAAAAATTGAGAAGCTACAGAATTCCCAAAAGACGCAAGCCTTGGCAGTAGCTGGCACCTCAGAAGTGAGAGTGAAAATGGGGCTGTAACCAAGAGGATTATCGAAAGGAAAGCAATACATTCCTAGATTCCTCTTTTTTTTTCACATTTTATTGTGAAATTTACTTGTTTTCATTTGTTTGTTTGTTCGTTTGAGACAGAGTCTCACTCTGTCACCCAGGCTGGAGTGCAGTGGCACGATCTCAGCTCTCTGCAACCTCCGCCTCCTGGGCTCAAGTAATTCTCATGCCTAAGCCTCCAGAGTAGCTGGGATTACAGGCGTGTGCCAATGCGCCGGGCTAACTTTTGTATTTTTTGTAGTTTTGTATTTTTTGTAGAGACAGGTTTCTCTATGTCGGTCAGGCTGGTCTCAAACTCCTGACCTCAAGTGATCCACCCACCTTGGCCTCATAAAGTCCTGGAATCACAGGCATGAGCTAGCGCACCCAGTCGAAATTAACATTTTAAATTTGTCTCTTCTCTTTTTGGGAATATCTAAATGGAAAAAGAAAAACAGATATATCTTCTTCTTCTTTTTTTTTTTTTTTTTTGAGACAAAGTCTCACTCTGTTGCCCAGGCTGGAGTGCAGTGGCATGATCTTGGCTCACTGCAACCTCTGCCTCCCAGGTTCAAGCGATTCACCTGCCTCAGCTACCCTAATAGCTGGGATTACAGGCATGTGCCACCACACCAGGCAAATTTTTGTATTTTTAGTAGGGATGGGGCTTTACCATGTTGGCCAGGCTGGTCTCGAACCCCTGACCTCAGGTGATCCGCCTGCCTTGGCCTCCCAAAGTGCTGGGATTACAGGCATGAGCCACCAGGTCTGGCCCCCCTATTGTCATTTTTATTAGAAGTTTATTTCTCTTCATATGAGTAAAGTTTTATTAAAGCAGCTTAACTATAAATATATAAAAATTTTAAAGACAAGAAACATGACTAATGAGGTAAACATCAATGGCTGAAAAGTTGGAAAATTAGGTGTGTGTGTGTGTGTGTGTGTGTGTGTAAATTTAGGCTTCCAGTAATCATAAGCATTACTGTAATTTTCACCCTAAGTGAACCACTTTAAAATGTGTGCCTTTCTTGAGTAACCATTGTAAATATTAATTGGACATTCACAGACTGTAAAGGTTTAAAACTAATGACTGGATGTTATGGCAAACAGTGTGGAGCTTCCTCAAAAAATTAACAATAGTACTGATCTAGCAGGCTTGCTACTGAGCATATATCCGAAGGACATGAAGTCAGTATGTCAATGACATATCTTACTTCCACGTTCATTTGAGCATTATTCACAATAGCCAAGATATGGTGTATCTATACCACATTTTCTTGATCCATCTATCAATAGATGAATAGATGAAGAAAATGTGGTATAGATACACCATGGAATACTATTCAACCTTAAAAAAGAAGGAAATCCTGTCATTTGTGAAAACATTGATGAATCTGGAGGACATTATGCGAAGTGAAATAAGCCAGGCACAGAAAGACAAATACTGTATGATCCCATTTATAAGTGGAATAAAAAAAAAAACAAACTCGGCTGGGTGCAGTGGCTCATGCCTGTAATCCCAGCACTTTGGGAGGCCGAGGTGGGCCGATCACTTGAGGTCAGGAGTTTGAGACTAGCCGGGCCAACATGGTGAAACCCCATCTCTGCTAAAAATACAAAAGTTAGCTGGGCGTGGTGGTGGGCGCCTGTAGTCCCCAGCTACTTGGGAGGCTGAGGCAGGAGAATTGCTTGAACCTGGGAGGTGGAGGTTGCACTGAACCAGGATCACACTACTGCACTCCAGCCTGGGCGACAGAGCAAGATTCCATCTCAAAAAGAAAGAAACAAATAATAAATAAATAATGTATATTATGGATGTGTACCCATATGAAGGCATCTGGATTTTTCCAACCCCATCCTTTTAAAAAGCTTTGTATAATTTTAGTATGGGTGTACAAGTCCTATATGGATGGACATTTAGGTTGTTTACAGTTTTTTAATATTTAACAATGTTTGATGACCATTTTTGTGCAAACATCTTTGTACATTGCCTGATTATTTCTTTAGAATACATTCTAAAGAAGTTATTAGGTTAAATGTTAAGCATATTTTATGCATTGATGTTTCTGGTTAGAAAGCTGATAGAATTTGTACTTGCTTCTACATTATATGAGAATGTCCATTTCATTACAACATTCTCAACACTGGAAAAAATCTTCATGTTGTCAATTGGTGGTGAAAAATGATAAAACATCATTCTTTTAGTTGCATTTCTTGATTATTAGCAGGACTGACCATCTTTCCCTCAGTTTATGAGAATTTGGAAATTGCCTATTGTGTCTTTGTGCATTTTTCTAGTGGGATGTTCGCCTTTTTGGTTTTTAATTTTTTTTTTTTTTTGAGACGGAGTCTCGCTCTGTCACCCAGGCTGGAGTGCAGTGGCACGATCTCAGCTCACTGCGACCTCCACCACCCAGGTTCAAGAGATTCTCCTGCCTCAGCCTCCCAAGTAGCTGGGACTACAGTTGCATGCGACCATGCCTGGCTAATTTTTTAGTAGAGACGGGATTTCACCATGTTAGCCAGGATGGTCTTGATCTCCTGACCTCATGATCCGCCCACCTTGGCCTCTCAAAGTGCTGGGATTATAGGCGTGAGTCACCATGCCTGGCCGGTTTTTAATTTTTAAATTGACAAACAAACATTGTACATATTTATCATGTATATGCTTTGAAATATGTTGTTTGCCTTTTTCTAATTGGTCTTTGAAATTATTTTGCTCCCAATATCCTACAACTTGTTTATGTGTTCCACAGATATGAGTGCCAGGTACCATGATAGGTTCTTAGAATAAAATGATGAGAAAGAGAGTCACAGACCCTACCTTCATGGGCTAGGCAAATTGGTAAGGAGTTACAACAAAGTGGGATCGGTGCTTTACCTATGGAAGTTCACCATTCTAGAGAGTTCAAAAATGTGGCAAATACACACTCTGGGAGGTCAGTAGAGTCTTCCACCAGGAAGTGACATTTCCCTGGGTTCTAAAGGATGAGCATAGTGGCCAGTTAAAGTAGGAGTGGTAGGAGCCAAGAGGGTTCCAGTCAGAAATGAGGCTAAAGGGATTAGAGAGAATTCTTGACTGGTGAATTGAAAACACTGAAGACTGCAAAATAGAAAAGTGCTGGGAGATGAGCTTGGATAAGTAAAAAAGGAACAGATTATTAAGAGTTTAAGGGGACAGGCATGGTGGCTCACGCCTGTAATTCTAGCACTTTGGGAGGCCAAGGCTGGCGGATCACTTGAGGTCAGGAGTTCAAGACCAGCCTGGCCAACATGGTGAAACCCCGTCTCTACCAAAAATACAAAAAGTTTGCCAGGCGTGGTGGCACGCACCTGTAATCCCAGCTATTTAGGAGGCTGAGGCACAAGAATCGCTTGAACCCAGGAGACAGAGGTTGCAGTGAACCAAGATTACACTACTGTACTCCAGCCTAGGCAACAGAATGAGACTCTATTTCCAAAAAAATAAAATAAAATAAAATAGTGACTTAAACAAGCAGAACTCTGAAAAATTTTACACAATGAGAAGTGTGGTACCTGGATTGGTTCACCTTTTCATCTTTTCACTCTGCCATTCTCAATTGTATGATACCTCTTTTTCTGGTCCTGTGATATCTTCCCTTATAGTCTCACAATAGCTGCGGCAATTCTAAGCATCGTTCCCTCACACAATCATGCTCAGTGGCTTGGAAAAAATAGGCCTTGTCTCTGTTAAAGAGGAAAGTTTTTTCCAGAAGCTTCTACAAGAATTCTCCATCTCTCATTGGCCAGAACCTGATCACAGGGGCCAAGCTGCGCTGACTGCTGGGAAGGTGAGCATCTGATAGTTCATTATCTGTGGTGGGAGGCACTTCTATCTGTAGGGAAGAGTGATAACCTTGGGGTAGGAAACCAGCAATGTTGTTCTCTGCATTTGGAAAGTTTTGAGCAAACAAATGATGTGATCAGGCTTATATTTAATTCTGTATTCTTCCAGGTCTTCTTCCTCCTTTCACATTACTCTCCACCACCTCCTTCCTCTACTCTCAACCACCACTTTTTCACCTAGTTCTCCCACCTTTTGAAAAAAAAAAATTTTTTTTAGAGAAGAGGTCTTGCTATGTTGCCCAGGTTGGTCTTGAACTCCTGGATGCAAGCAATCTTTCCACTTCGGCCTCCTGAGTAGCTGGAATTACAGGCATGAGCCACCATGCCTGGTTCCTTTTTTTTTTTTTTTTTTTTTTTTTTGTGATGGAGTCTCACTCTGTCGCCCAGGCTGGAGTGCAGTGGCGTGATCTCGGTTCACTACAACTTCTGCCTCCTGGCTTCAACCAATTCTCCTGCCTCAGCCCCCTGAGCATCTGCGACCACAGGCACGCGCCACCACATCCAGCTAATTTTTGTATTTTTAATGGAGATGGGGTTTCACCATGTTGGCCAGGCTGGTCTTGAACTCCTCACCTCAGGTGATCCGCCCACCTTGGCCTCCCATCTAATTTTTGTATTTTCAGTAGAGACAGGTTTCACCATACTGGCCAGGCTGGTCTCAAACTCCTGACCTCAAGTGATTCACTTGCCTCAGCCTCCCAAAGTGCTAGAATTACAGGCATGAACCCCAGCACCCAGCCTGCCCTAAATACTTTAGAAAGTGCCTGACTTGATTTTTAAAAATGTCCTAAAACAACTAATATTTTGGGTTACAAGGATGCTCAGATATGCTTGGTATTGCCACTGGTATGTTAACCAAGACTTACTTAATTTCCACTATTAACATAAATAATGATACAGTCACTTAGATTGTGTGCCTTGCCTAACACTTTATTGGTAAATGTTTGTAGAATGAATAGCTTTTAAATAAATAAGTCTCCAATCCACATCGTTCACTTTTAAAGACTAAAAAGTGACATAGTCACATCTGACACACCCATTATGTCTACTTGTGCCATATTAAAAACATGTGAAAACCGTGGCAGGCTGACTTGGCTAGATGATCCTTTTTTTTCAAACCATGATGCAAATCTGCTAAATTTCTTTCAAGTTTGATGGCCACATCAGTTAAGCATCCTAGAAAATGTTTTTTGAAAATGCATTATTTGTTCTGAAGCCGTCTGGAACTTATTTTATGAGTGCTGATTTGGACTTCTAGCTGACCAGAGATAATCAGACTTGCTGTCACACATTCTGCGCTATAACTTGGTCTGATTTTACCAGTTTTCCTTGCATCCTGAATGTCAGTCTAAACTCAACAGCAGCTAGTCAACAAAAGTTGTGGAGTACGTATTTGGAGATTATGGAAGAAGGTTTGTGCTTCAGCTCATGTAACATAATTAATAACAAACTTTTTTTTTTTGAGACAGGGTCTCTGTTCCTAGGCTGGAGTGCTGTGATGTGATTTCGGCTCACTGCAGCCTTGACCTCCCAGGCACTGATCCTCCCATGTCAGCCTCTCAAGCAGTTGGGACTATAGGTGCACACCACCATGCCCACTCATTTTTGTATTTTTAGTACAGACAAGGTTTCTCCATGTTCCCAAGGCTGGTCTCGAACTCCTGGGCTCAAGCAATCCACCCACCTCGGACTCCCAAAGTGCTGGGATGATAGAAGTGAGCCACCACATCTGGTCAATAACAAACATTTTAAGCACCTTTTTAAAAAAATTGATTAATTGATTAAATTTTGAGACGGAGTCTTGTTCTGTTGCCCAGGCTGGAGTGCAATGGCCCGATCTTGGCTCACTGCAACCTCTGCCTCCCGGGTTCAAGCAATTCTCCTGCCTCAGCCTCCTGAGTAGCTGGGATTACAGGCGCCCGCCACCACGCCCAGGTAATTTTTGTATTTTTTAGTAGTGATGGGGTTTTGCCATGTTGGCCAGGCTGGTCTTGAACTCCTGACCTCAGGTGATCCACCCACCTCGGCCTTCCAAAGTGCTGGGATTACAGGCGTTAGCCGATGCGCCTGGACTTGTTTTTTTAATTTTTTAAGGTGGAGTCTCACTTTGTCACCCAGGCTGGAGTGTAGTGGCTTGATCTTGGCTCACTGCAACCTCTGCCTCCTGGGCTCAAGTGATTCTCCTACCTCAGTGTCCCGAGTAGCTGGGATTACAGGCACCTGCCACCACGCCCAGCTAATTTTTTGTATTTTCAGTAGAGAAGGGGTTTCACCAAGTTGACCAGGCTGGTCTTGAACTTCTGACCTCAAGTGATCCACCCATTTCAGCCTTTCAAAGTGCTGGGATTACAGGCGTGAGCCACCATGCCTGGCCTAAGCACCTGTTGATACTTCAATGAAAGTTAAATGTTTTAGAAACAAGTTACATATGAGTACTTTATGCTAGCGATTATTGAATGAATGAGTTTTTGTGCCATACATGATAAGATATGAACAATGGTTTGAGATCATGGAGTTACAGATTAATGTTAGTTCATGGTTCTTTTGAGTGAGCCTGGAGTCAGGGAAATTGCAGGGAATTTAGAGATAAGATATTCATGTGGAGTCTAAGCTCTGCCACTTGTATCATCTTTGGGAAGGGCATTTCACCTTGCTTAGATGTGGTTTCCTTATTTGTAAAATTGAACTAGTGACTATGGCTCTTACCTCCTCTCTGAGCTGCTATCAAGACCATATGAGAGAGTACGCCTGTTATTTTCAACAGAAGTACAGTAGTCACTCCTATCCATGGGGGATACATTCCAAGACCCCAAGTATCTAGTAGCCTGAAACCTCAGATATAGTACTAAATCCTATATATAGTTTGTTTTTTCCTATACATATATACCTATGATAAAGTTTAATTTATAAATTAGGCACAAGAGGTTAACAATAACTAATAATAAAATAGGACAATTATAACAATATACGGTAATAAAAGTTATGTGACTGTGGTCTCTCTCAAAATATTTTATTGTATTATACTTACCTATTTTACAACTGTGGTTGACTACAAGTAACTGAAACCATGGGTAGCAAAGCCACTGATAAGGGAATACTATTGTTCAATCTTGACTTAGTACATACATTGTCAAGTTTTATCTTTTTGAGATGGAGTTTCACTTTTGTTGCCCAGGCTGGAGTGCAATGGCGCGATCTCGGCTCAGTGCAATCTCCACCTCCCGGGTTCAAGCGATTCTCCTGCCTCAGCCTCCCAAGTACCTGGGATTACAGGCATGCGCCACCATGCCCGCCTAATTTTTTATTTTTTTATTTTTTAGTAGAGACGGGGTTTCACCATGCTGGCCAGGCTGGCCTTGAACTTCTGACCTCAGGTGATTCACCCGCCTTGGCCTCCCAAAGTGCTAGGATTACGAGCGTGAGCCGCCACACCCGGCCATACATTGTCAATTTGTAAGCTCCTTGACTGATATGTTTGCACATGACTCACCACATGAAATAAACTTACCATAAGCAATGTCTCTATAGTATACTGTGCAATTATAAAATAGAGTCTGTTTCTCTCCAGATTAACTCAGCTAAGGGCATGACATAGTTTCTTCTATCTTTATGATGAGACACAGAGTTCCTATTAAAAAGCATATCTTTTATTTGAAAAGGTTGAGGATGATTCTTAAGAAAAAAAAGTGCCATATGGATAAATATAGGTACTAAAACCCATTCTAATAATACCCTCTGGCTCTGGGCCCACAGTGCTATACTTTTATTAGAGTTTGAACTGCAAGTGATTTCATCCACTTTAAACTCTTGCTTTCCACCTATAGTTGTTTATGAGATGGTGGCAATAATCACACTGACCTTAGTAGACCTGCCTCCTTTCCTGATTGATCTATTTCTGTTATATTTTTGCTAATTAATAAAAATTTTACTTCCTGAAATATTTTTCATTAAAGGCCTGTAAAAGAAATACTGATATTTCACAGCCATGGTTGCCTTCTTTTTCTACTTTAGTTTAAAGACGTTTCTTTCATCCTTCTGCCACAAGGAAGAGATTAAGCATTCTGTCCTATTTCTGCATCTGACTATAAATCAAGCACTCTTCTGGTTTTCCTCTGCCTGTATTTTGTTTCTTTTTACTTTTTAGTTTGAAATAATTTCAAATTTACAGAAAAATCGCAAGAATAGTTCAGGGAACTCCCATTTCCTGTTTGTCCAGCGACAACATCAAGTTTTGCTATCTTGGTGCTGTCCTTAATAGCAAAAGGATCTAATCCAGGGCCACACATTGTACTTAGTTGTTGCGTCTCTGTGGTTTCCTTCCATCCAGAATAATTGCTCAGTGATTTTGTAGACTATCTCTCAGTTGAGTTTGTCTGATGTTTCCTTCCTCATGATTAGATTAAGCTATGCATTTTTTTTTCTTTTCTGTTCTTTCTTTTCTTCACAGACAGGATCTCACTCTGTCACCCAAGATGGAGTGCAGTGGCATGATCATAGCTCACTGCAGCCTCAAACTCTTGGGCTCAAGCATCCTCCTGCTTCAGCATGGAGCACCACCATGCCCAACTAATTTTTAAAAAAATGTTTAAAATATTTTTTAAGCATTTAAAAAAATATTTATGTAGAGATGGGGTCTCACCGTGTTTCCCAGGCTGGTCTCAAGCTCCTGGCCTCAAGCAATCCTGGTCTCAAGCTCCTGGCCTCAAGAAATCCTGGTCTCAAGCTCCTGGTCTCAAGCAATCCTGGCCTCAAGCTCCTGGTCTCAAGCTCCTGGCCTCAAGCAATCCTCCCTCCTTGGCCTCCCTCCTTGGCCTCCCAAAGTGCTGGGATTATAGGTGTGAGCCATAGCACCCAGTCAAGGCTATGCATTTTTGGTGAGGATATCACAGTCATGGTGAGAGCTTTTCTGCCTGCATTCCCCTTAGGTAGTACAAAATATTAGTTTGTCCCAAAATGAGGTTAATAGTGTCTGATGGCAAAGCTACTCTTTTTTTCTGAGACAGAGTTTCACTCTTGTTGCCCAGGTTGGAGTGCAATGGCATGATCTCTGCTCACTGCAACCTCCGCCTTCTGGGTTCAAGCGATTCTCCTGCCTCAGCCTCCTGATTACAGGCGCCCACCACTATGCCCGGCTAATTTTTGTATTTTTAATAGAGATGGAGTTTCACCATGTTGGCCAGGCTGGTCTCAAACTCCTGAACTCAAGCGATCTGCCCGCCTCTGCTTCCCAAAGTGCTGGGATTACATGCGTGAGCCACTGCGCATAGCTCACATCCTCATCTTGAAGCAGAGGCTTGGCCATGCTAATGGAACTTGGCAGTGGGTCTGTGTCTGTCCCTCAGATCACATGGGCCACACCAGCTTGGAGGTCCTATGTGTAGGAGGAAACCCCACCTATAGCAGAGGGCTGGAAGCAGTGTGAGTAATATTGGAAAGGTTCTTAGCATCGTCAGTAAAATGAACCACCTTTGATGGGTCTCTACCTCTTGGTGGTAAAGTTCTCTAATTTGTTTTCACTTTATTTAGCTTTTCATCTGCTCCCCGATTTTTAAAAATTAGAATACACTACATTTCTAGTCAGAAAAAAAATAGTTTTCATTTTGAAATTGAAGAATGTTTTGAGAATGCTCAAAACTCAGTAATAAGAGAACAACTTGATTTCAAGATGGGCTTAAGATTTGACAGATACTTCAGCAAAGAAGATATATGAGTAGCAATTAAACACATGAAAAAATGATCAACATAATTCATCATTGGGGAGATGCTAATTAAAACCACAATAGATAACACTACACACTTGTCAGAATGGCTAAAATTTAAAAAACAAATACCAAGGACTGATAAGAATGTGGGACAACTGGAACACTCTTACATTGCTTTTTGGAAAGCAGCTTGACAATGTCTTATAAATGTGTCATTTGACCAAGCAATCCCACTTCTGGGTATTTACCCAAGTGAAATAAAAACTTATCATTATTCACACAAAAACCTGTATGGAATGTTTGTAATAACCTTATGTATAACCTCCAAAGACTGGAAACAACCATCATGTCTTCCATCTGGTGAATGAATACATGTAGTACATGGCATATCCATGCAATAAAATACTGATATGCTTGGGGTGTGGGGTGTGTGTGATTTATATATTCCCTAGCTCTTCCACTATGAGGCTCCATAACAATGAGCATGCCTAATGCCCAGATCTTGGTATCTAAGTACCATTCTCCACTAAAAGGGCTCTTTGTAGAAATGGCTGGTTCCAGGTCTGGGGCATGGAAAGCACAAGATGAGTTTGCAACGTCTTGTTGTACCAGATAAGGAAGTGCTCATAGACTGACTGGCTATATCAACATGGATGAGACTCTAATGCATTTTGGTAAGTGGAAGGTGCCAGACTCAAAAAAAACTAAGAGGCTACATAGTGAACGATTCTGTTTACATGATACCCTGGAATAAAGATCAGTGGTTATGAGGGGATAGTAGTGAAGGTGGAGGGGCTGAATACCAAGGAGGATACCAAGGAATTTTGGGGGGGGGGTGATAGATAGATAGGTGGTGGTATTTACACAACTGCTAATCAAAACTCATAGAACTGTACTCTAAAAAAGGTGACTGTTACTGCATGTAAATTATGCCATCATCACCATTACCATGTGTTCGTTTGAGTTTCCCTGAAACAGTTCCTGAGATGAGAATTTGGGTGAAAGTAGTTTATTAATCAATGGTTAGTATGGTGAGGAAGTGGAGAAGTGCAGGGAAGAGAGGAAACTGCTCATTCCAATGGGGGTCTTTCTGAGACTCTAAAACACACCTCAGAATTGTCCTGTCCTACCAAAGGGAGAGAACACTGATATGTTTATCCACCAATTCCCATCCCTCATGAATTAAAGTTGCTCTTGGGGGTTTCCACTCCCTGGTACTCCTCTGCAGCCAGAGAAATCCCTCAGGGAAGGAGACTCGGGTGTTTCAGGAGATCTCCAGGGTGGGCTGAAGGGATCTTCATGGGTATCAATAGCATCTGCTGCAATGTTTTCATTGATTATAAAGCATTTAAAAGAAAGCCCTCTCCTGTTGAAGTAGGACTTGAGAATTGTATGAACCTTGATGTCCTACTGATTAGTTCTCAAGACAGTCTCATCGAACCCATTAATACCACATAACCAGCCTGCTGTTGTGTTTCCTCTGCATGGCTGGTTTTGTGCCTTCAGGGTCCCTACTCCTTTCGTTTTCCAAACCATTCTTTTTGGTTCTATGGAGCCAAATCCCATGTATCTCTTTTTTACAGAGAGACAGAAGATGTCTGATAGGAACATATATGACTGCCGACCAGGGTATCTCATTGACTTAAGGAGCATTACCACTTGGGGGACAACCTTAGAGACAAACGGTTCTCCACATTCCTGGCTTGCTGGTTTGAGGATGCTTCTACAGGAGAAAGAGTAGGCAGATGTCAGCTGGACTTGCTAGGTTGCAGGTGACAGACTGTGGGTAACAGACAGTCCAGGGCACCTGACTCAAGCTGGGCTTTATTGCCTCTAGAAGTCCAAGAAAGGTTTGGTATATTAAGATGAAGATTTAAGACATGTGTAGGCCTCAGAAACAATCCGAAGTAGGGTCTTAAGTGTCTCTGCAGCCTTGTGTCAACTCAATCCACTTGCAGACCTGCTTTCTCCACAGGTCAGGCCATAGGTGCTGGCTGCTGCTGGCATTATATCCTAGAGCTCCAAATTACTAGAAAAGTCTGAGTTGACTCTCTTGGTTCCAAGTCAAAAATCATGGGGAGGAGTTCACTGGCCTGGCTTTGGTCAGATCCCTGGACTGGTCAACCGTGGGGTATAAGAACATAACCAATCCCACAAGATCATGCCTCTGGAATAAGGGGTATTTTTTCAGAGGATGGGGTGGTGATGTTTGGCAGGCAAAAATAATCAGTAAGAGAAAGAAAAAATAATGTGAGAGTCAAGACATAATATATTAATATTTTATATTGTTCAAATGAAAGATCTGCACTAAGAAGGATAGGTTAGTCAATGCTGCAGACATTAATCAATTCTCAAGTTCCATGGTTTCTCATTCACATAATGTTCAACATGGGCAGGATGGTTCTACTCAATATTGTAGCAATGCCATCTAGAACATGCAGTTGCCACAGTAGTGAAATAAAGCGGAGGAAAAATATTAACTCTTAAGTGCCTTGGGCCCAGAAGTGCCACATGTCACTTCTTTGTGGTCTTCTGGCTAGAACTAGTCTCACAGCCCCAACCCAACTGCAAAGCATGCTGAGAAATGTGGGGAGCACATCTGAATTTGGTAAGGACTAACTGTCAAAAGTCATCATTGGTTGGGCGTGGTGCCTCAGGCCTGTAATCCCAGCACTTTGGGAGGCCGAGGCAGGCGGATCACTTGAGTCCAGGAGTTCAAGACCAGCCTGGCCAACATGGTGAAACCCCATCTCTACTAAAAATACAAAAATTAGCCGGGTGTGGTGGTGCATGCCTGTAGTCACAGCTACTTGGGAAGCTGAGGCAGGAGGATCACCTGAGCTGGGGATGCAGAGGTTGTAGTGAGCTGAGATTGCACCACACCATTGCACTCCAGCCTGGGCCACAGAGCAAGACCCTGTTTCAAAAAAAAAAAAAAAAAAAAAAAAAGTCATTGTTGCTGCTCCACAATCAAATTGTTCACAAGGGACAGGAATGGTCAGAGGACACTTCAGAGAGAAGGGAGAATTTGTCTCGGGTTTTAGAGGGGCCTCGGGTCATAGAGGAGACTTCTGGCTTGGGTAATTGGAAGGAAGAGGGAAGGCAGTAGCATTTCTTGGTGCTTTTAAAAGACATGAAAAAGTTCAATTTAGTAGGGTGGAAATTTGTATAAAGGTGAAATTGGAGAACCAGATTGGGACAAGATTGCAGAATGCCTTGAGTGTTTAGCTGAGGACATGAATAGGTAGGAACTGAGGTATGACTGAAAGCTTTTCAGCCAGAGACTAACATGAACTAGGTGAAAATGTCAAGAAGATTGATGTAGCAGCAATGTGTAGCTTGGCTTATGTTATTCTATGCACAGTCTAATGTTGAGCACTCTGTTGACCTTAAAACATTCTTTAGAGAACTTCCATTTCTGGTAAAATGGCAGGCTAGATAGCCCGAAAAAAAGATCCCATTACGAAACACCTCAGATACAATGAGACACAAATCCAGATGGCACTGGAGGCTCATTTTGTCTCCCACACTTAGCAAGAGGCTGCCTCAGCACGTCTGTGTTTGCTCAGCAGAAGAACAGGTTTGCTGGTGGATGAGCTCCAGAAGCTCTTCCTTTAGAACAAACTGGTTTCATTGACCAGGAAGCTCCTATTGTTATAGCCTAATTTCTCAATCAGTTAGAGGTACCTTGTACAAGCACACGGATCCACAAGACAGCAAGATGATGTGGGACCCATGTACTCTGCTGATGTTCTGCCTGTAAGTTTCCCAGTAAATTTCACCTTAGGTTTACACCACACGTTGCTAGTGGTGTGCCTATCTGTGTCCTTTACATGGCAAGATAAATATCTTTGTATTTTATTTATTTATTTATTTGAGATGGAATCCTGCTCTGTTGCCAGGCTGGAGTGCAGTGGCGCAATCTCGGCTCGCTGCAACCTCCACCTCCCGAGTTCAAGTGATTCTCCTGCCTCAGCCTCCCGAGTAGCTGGGACTACAGGCTCATGTTACCATGCCCAGCTAATTTTTGTATTTTTAGTAGAGATGGGGTTTCACCATGTTGGCCAGAATGGTGTCTATCTCTTGACCTCATAATCCACCTGCCTTGGCCTCCCGAAGTGCTGGGATTACATGCGTGAGCCACCGCACCCAGCCAAACATCTTTTTATTTTATTTTTATTTTTTATTTTTAGACACAGGGTCTTGCTCTGTCACCCAGGCTGGAGTACAGTGGAATGATCATGGCTCACTGCAGCCTCAAACTCCTGGGCTCAAACAATCCTCCCGCCTGAGCCTCCCAAGTAGCTGGGACTACAATTGTGAGCCACCACGCCTGGCTAATTGAGTTCAAGACCAGCCTGACCAACATGGTGAAACCCCATCCCTACTAAAAATACAAAAAAATATTAGCTGAGCGTGGTGGCACGTACCTGTAATCCCAGCTACTCAGGAGGCTGAGGCAGGAGAATCGCTTGAACCCAGGAGGCAAAGGTTGCAATGAGCCGAGATCATGCCATTTCACTCCAGCCTGGCCGACAGAGCAAGATTCCATCTCAAATAAATAAATAAATAAATAAATAAATAAATAAATAAATAAATAAATAAATTTGTAGAGATGGAGTCTCACTATGTTGCTCAGGCTGGTCTTGAACTCCTGGCCTCAAGCGATCCTCCCACCTCAGCTTCCCAAAATTCTGGGATTACAGGCATGAGCCACTGTGTTTGGCTCATCTTTTAAAATGTATATCCAAACTGGTAACAAAGTAAGGGAAAACCTTAGAGGCCAAAAGTTGAATGCCACAAACTGGAAGAAGATATTTACAACCAACAAATAATACATATCCAAAATATGTGAATAATTCTTAAAAATTAGTAAGAAGAGACTGGGTGTGGTGGCTCACACCCGTAATCCCAGCACTTTGGGAGGCTGAGGTGGGTGGATCACCTGAGGTCAGGAGTTCAAGACCAGCCTCAACATGGAGAAACCCTGTCTCTACTAAAAATACAAAATTAGCCGGGCATGGTGGTTGCATGCCTGTAATCCCAGCTACTCGGGAGGCTGAGGCAGGAGAATTGCTTGAACCTAGGAGGCGGAGGTTGCGGTTAGCCGAGATCGCGCCATTGCACCCAGCCTGGGCGACAAGAGCGAAACTCTGTCTCAAAAAAAAAAAAAAAATTAGTAAGAAGAAGACATACAATCCAAGGAGAGAAATGGACAAAAGATAAGAATAGGCACTTCACGGCCGGGCTCAGTAGCTCACGCCTGTAATCCCAACACTTTGGGAGGCTGAGATGGGTGGATCACAAGGTCAGGAGATCGAGACCATCCTGGCCAACATGCTGAAACCTCATCTCTACTAAAAATACAAAAATTAGCTGGGCATGGTGGCACACGCCTGCAGTCCCAGCTACTCAGGAGGCTGAGGCAGGAGAATCGCGTGAACCTCGGAGGCAGAGGTTGCAGTGAGCCAAGATTGCACCATTGCACTCCAGCCTGGGGACAGAGTGAGACTGTCTCAAAAAAAAAAAAAAAAAAAAAAAATGAATGGGCAATTCACAGAAGAAAAAGAAAACATGGAACATATGATTTCATCAGTAAATCAGAGAAATAGAAAATTAAAACCACAGCATCATTTTATATTTTATACTGATTGAAAATTGAAAGTCTGGCAGTTTCCTGTATAAGCTACACCTCACGGTAATCAAGTAATTGATAATGAAATATTTCTCTTCAGAGAAACAGTCTGCTAATATATTGAAAAGGAATGATAGAATCTCACAATTTTGCAATCTCCGATGAAATAATGAACTAAGCAGTGATTATCAATAATTGCTGCCTTAATACACAAAACAGACACAACAAAATGTTTTGTGCCTCCTAATGGAAGAATATACCACCACTTAAGAAATGTTCTTATTGGAAATTTGATCAACCCTCTGGATCTAACACACATATTGCTGGAACATGTTACACAGCACCATGTGACTGCATTCAACAAAACCCAGACTGGGGCCGGGCGCAGTGGCTCATGCCTGTAATCCGAGCACTTTGGGAGTCCGAGGTGGGCAGATCACGAGGTCAGGAGATCGAGACCATCCTGGCTAACACGGTGAAACCCCATTATCTACTAAAAATACAAAAAATTAGCCAGGTGTGGCGGTGGGCGCCTGTAGTCCCAGCTACTTGGGAGGCTGAGGCAGGAGAATGACGTGAACCCAGGAGGCAGAGCTTGCAGTGAGCCGAGATCGCGCCACTGTACTCCAGCCTGGGCGACAGAGTGAGACTGCGTCTCAAAAAAACAAAAAACACAAAAAAAACACAAAAAAACCCAGACTGGGAAATTGCAGAACACACCACCTGGTGTGTTCACCAAATAAATTGCAAGAAAGGGGACAAGATGGTTTTTATTTGGAACCTGATTTAAGTGACAATAAAACAAGCAACAGATTTTTAAAAATGTGACAGTTGAAATTAGATCATGTAATGGATATTTCATGATATTAAAGAATTATTACAATATTTTAGGCGTGATAGTGGTATTGTTCTTATGTTTTTAAAGAGTGCTACAAAGGAACCTTCTGGAGGAGCTGGAAATAGTCTAGATCTTGATAGCGCTAGTGGTTTCACAGCTGTGTACATGTACCTGTAAAAAAAAAAAAATCACCATTCACTAAGTTGTACTCTTAAGATTTGTGTACAGGTTCGGGCATGGTGGCTCATGCCTGTAATCTCAGCAATTTGGGAGGCCGAGGAGGGCGGATCACTTGAGGTCAGGAGTTCAAGACCAGCCTGGCCAACATGGTGAAACCCTGTCTCTACTAAAAATTCAAAAATTAGCCAGGCGTGGTGGTACATGCCTGTAATCCCAGCACTTGGGAAGCTGAGGCAGGAGAATCACTTGAACCTGGGAGGTGGAGGTTGCAGTGAGCTGAGACAGTGCCACTGTACTCCAGCCTGGATGACAGAGAGAGACCCTGTATCAAAAAAAAAAAAAAAGTTTTGTGTACTGTACTGTATGTTTTATCTCAAATTTTAAAAGGCAGAGTCCTTATTTTTTAGGGATGCATTATGAAATGTTTGCAGATGAAGTAATCTCAGATATCTGAGATTAGCTTTTGAATATTCCAAAATAGCCCATGGTAGATTGGCCATGAGTTGGTAAATGTTGAAGCCAGGGGATAGTTTATAATATAATTCTTGTACATGTGTGAAAATTTCCATAATATAAAGTTTTTAAAGAATGTCTGGCAAGATAATGTTGCTAAGTATAGAACAATGGAAAGACTTATAAACTGCTGGTGACAATGTCAATTGTAAATTGAATGACAATTTCATATTCTCTAATAAAACTGAAGATGGGTGCTATAACTCAGCAATTTCTCTGAGGTTATAACCTACACAAACACTAGCAGGTGTGCTTATAGATGTCTGTGCATGTAAAACACTTCAGACATGGTTTATAATAAACCAAAAGAAAAAGAGAAGGTGCTATAGTCTGAATATGTCCTCACAAATTCATGTGTTGGAAACTTAATACCCAATGCAACAGTGCTGGGAGGTGAGGTCTTTTGAGAGATATGTGGGTCATGTGGGCTCTGCCATCATGAGTAGATTGATGCCATTATGAAAGGAATTGATGGTGGGAGTTCAGCCATTTTCACCCTTCTCTCCTTCCTTCAACCATGTGAGGACCCAGTGTTCCTCCTTTCAGAAAATGTAGCATCAAGGTACCATCTTGGAAGCAGAGGGCAGCTCTCACCAGACAAGGATCCTCCTCGCACCTTGATCTAGAGTTCACAGCCTCCAGACTGTGAGAAAAAAAATTCTGTTCTTTATAAATTACTCAGTCTCAGGTATTTTGTTACAGCAATGGACTAAAACAGAAAGAAACAACTCAAAGATCAATTGACAGAAGAATGAATAAATAAATTGTGATGAGGCCAGGTGCAGTGGCTCATGCCTGTGATCCCAGCACTTTGAGAGGCTGAAGGGGGCAGATCACGATGTCAAGAGATAGAGACCAACCTGGCCAACGTGGTGAAACCCTGTCTCTACTAAAAATACGAAAATTAGTTGGGTGTGGTGGCGCGCGCCTGTAGTCCCAGCTACTCGGGAGGCTGAAGCAGGAGAATCGCTTGAACCCAGGAGGTGGAGGTTGCAGTGAGCCAGATCGCACCACTGCACTCCAGCCTGGTGACAGAGCGAGACTGTGTCTCAGAAAAAAAGAAAAAAAAATTGTGATGTATTCCCCTAATGATAGTCTGTGTAGCAATGAATGAGTTACAGCTATACTTAGTAACACGCATGAATCTCACAAAATTAATGAGCAAAAGTTTTGCAGGTTGCAGAAGAATACTATAGTAATACCATTAATTAAAGGTTCAAAATGTGTAAAATAGAATAATGCATTTTAGGGATCTGTATATGTAGTTAAACTATAAAGAAAAGCAAAGGCATGATAAACACAATGATAAACACAGGGTGGTGTAATTGGGGAGGGGCCTACAAGGTGCTTCCAAGTTTCTGATAATATTCTCCTTCTTAAGCTGGGTGATGATACATAGGTGCTTATCTTAATAATGTTTTATGCCAAACACACAACATGTCATAAACATATATATATATATATTTTATAAGAAAATTGTGGGGTTTTTTGTTGTTTTTGAGACAGGATCTCACTCTGTCACCCAGGTTGGAGTGCAGTGGCATGATCATGGCTTACTGCAGCCTTGACCTCCCAGGCTCAAGGGATCCTGACACCTCAGCCTTTTTTTTTTTTTTTTTCCAACAAACAAGTATTTATTGAGTGCCTACTATGTGCCAGGCACTGTTCTAGACCCTCCCCAGAAGAAAAAACAAAAAACAAGATAGAGGCAGCAAACACAAATTCTGAGGGAGAGGAAACGGGCAGTTGAGTAAGACGGCTAAGGGAACTGAGAAGCCTGAGGTGATGGGGGCTCTGCCTTAGGCCTCCTCTTTGGCCTCCTCACCGAAATCCTCCTCCTCTTCTGCGGTGGCATCCTGGTACTGCTGATACTCAGAGACGAGGTCGTTCATGTTGCTGTCAGCCTCGGTGAACTCCATCTCGTCCATGCCCTCGCCTGTGTACCAGTGGAGGAAGGCCTTCCGGCGGAACATGGCAGTGAACTGCTCCGAGATGTGCTTGAAGAGCTCCTGGATGGCCGTGCTACTGCCGATGAAGGTGACTGCCATCTTGAGGCCACGAGGTGGGATGTCACAGACAGCTGTCTTGATATTGTTGGGGATCCATTCCACAAAGTAGCTGCTGTTCTTGTTCTGCACGTTAAACATCTGCTCATCGACCTCCTTCATGGACATCCGACCACGGAAGTCAGCAGCCACGGTGAGGTATCGGCCGTGGCGGGGGTCACAGGCAGCCATCATGCTCTTGGCATCGAAGACCTGCTGGGTGAGTTCCGGCACTGTGAGAGCTCGATACTGCTGGCTTCCATGGCTGGTGAGAGGGGCAAAGCCAGGCATAAAGAAATGGAGACGTGGGAAGGGGACCATGTTAACTGCCAACTTGCAGAGGTCAGCATTGAGCTGGCCAGGGAAGCGGAGGCAGGTGGTGACACCACTCATGGTGTCTTAGAGGAGGTGGTTCAGATCCCCATAGGTTGGTGTGGTCACCCTCAGAGTGCGGAAGCAGATATCATAGAGGGCCTCGTTGTCAATGCAATAGGTCTCATCAGTGTTCTCTACCAACTGATGGACGGAGAGGGTAGCATTGTAGGACTCGATCACGGTGTCAGACACTTTGGGTGAAGGCACCACACTGAAGGTATTCATGATGCGATCAGGGTATTCTTCTCGGATCTTGCTGATAAGGAGAGTGCCCATTCCAGAGCCTGTGCCCCCACCCAGTGAGTGGGTGAGCTGGAAGCCCTGCAGGCAGTCACAGCTCTCTGCCTCCTTCCGTACCACATCCAGGACAGAATCAACCAGCTCGGCGCCCTCTGTGTAGTGGCCTTTGGCCCAGTTGTTACCTGCCCCAGACTGACCAAATACAAAGTTGTCTGGTCTAAAGATCTGGCCAAAAGGACCTGAGCGAACAGAGTCCATGGTCCCAGGTTCTAGATCCACCAGTATGGCACGAGGAACATATTTGCCATCAGTGGCTTCACTGTAGTACACGGAGATGCGGTCCAGCTGCAGGTCGCTGTCCCCGTGGTAGGTGCCAGTGGGGTCGATGCCATGTTCATCACTGATCACCTCCCAGAACTTGGCACCGATCTGGTTGCCACGCTGACCAGCCTGGATGTGCACGATTTCCCTCATGGTTAAAATTTAATTTTTTTGCTCACTTCAAGGTATGTACGGGGCAAGAAAATAAGTAATTTTTTTTTCTCTGCAGGTCGCAGGCTGGAAGGTTGGAATATGCCCTAGATGCTGGAGCAGCGAGGTGCGAACGCGGCGGCAGGAAGTTTCTCGACACCTCAGCTTCTTGAGTAGCCGGGACTACAGGCATATGCTACCACGCCTGGCTAATATTTGTATTTTTTGTAGAGACGAGGCTTCACCATGTTACCCAGGCTGATCTCAAACTCCTGAGCTCAAGCAATCCTCCCACCTTGGCCTCCCAAAGTGCTGGGATTACAGGGATGAGCCACTACAGCCAGTCAATAAAATTACTTTTAAAAGCCATTTCCTATTGTTTTTCAACAGCCTTAGGACCTGCCTCATAGGTGACGACATGGTATGATGCAAAAATACTGGACCATCAGGAATTTAGGAAACCTGGGTTTTAGACCCAGTTGTGTTACTAAGTAGTCCTGTAACTTGGCACAAATCACTTAACTCACTTAATGCAAGTTCCTTTATCTAGAAAATGAGTGAATCCACATTTCCCAACTATGTTCTTCAGAACACTAGTTCTAAAATATGTTAATAGATATTTTGTGGCAACCAAAAAAAGTTTTGTGGTCTGAGGAACTCCAGATTAAGCAATAATAAGAGTGTTTCCTTATAACAGGACTTCTCAGAGCCTTGAATATACAATTATGAGTTGTGGATCTCCGAAAGAGGAATATAGAATTTTTTTTTTCTTTTTTTTTGAGACAGAGTCTCACTCTGTCAGCCAGGTTGGAGTGCAGTGGCACGATTTCGGCTCACTGTAACCTCTGCCTCCCAGGCTCAAGCAATTCTCCTGCCTCAGCCTCCTGAGTAGCTGGGATTACAGGCATGTGCCACCACGCCCGGATAATTTTTGTATTTTTAGTAGAGACAGGGTTTCACCATGTTGGCCAGGCTGGTCTCAAACTCCTGACCTCAGGTAATCTGCCCATGTTGGCCTCCCAAAGTGCTGGGATTACAGGTGTGAGCCACCGTGCCCAGCCAGGAGTATAGAATTTTCAAAAGTTAGTTTGCACCACAGAATCATGTTATCTCTCTGTGTGTTTTTGTTTGTTTGTTTGTTTGTTTTTTTGTTTTGACACAGAGTCTTGCTGTGTTGCCCAGGCTGGAGTGCAGTGGCGCGATCTTGGCTCACTACAACCTCTGCCTCCCAGGTTCTAGTGATTCTCCTGCCTCAGCCTCCCAAGTAGCTGGGATTACAGGCACCCACGACCACGCCTGGCTGATTTTTGTATTTTTAGTACAGATGGGGTCTCACCATGTTAGCCAGGCTGGTCTTCAACTCCTGACCTCAGGTGATCTACCTGCCTCGGCCTCCCAAAGTGCTGGGATTACAGGTGTGAGTCACTGCGCCTGGCTGACAGTATATATCTTTGATATGACGTGATGAAAATGGCGCTTTCTGTCTCTGGTCTTTCTCCCTGAAACTTATAACGTCAGTCTCAAGAAAAACATCATAAAAATTCTAATGGAGAGAAATTCTGAAAAATACCTTATCAGTGCTTCTTAAAATTGTTAAGCTCGTCAAAAACAAGAATGCTTTGCAGATGCTGGGGCCACCCAGAGCCCTATGCCACAAGTCACAGTCAACCCCACCATGGTCTTTGACATCGCCATTGACGGCGAGACTTTGAGCTGCATCTCCTTTGAGTTGTTTGCGAAGTTCCAAAGACAGCAGAAAATATCCATGCTCTGAGCACTGAAGAGAAAGAATTTGGTTATCAGGGTTTCTGCTTTTACAGAATTATTCCAGGGGTTCTGTGTCAGGGTATGTATGAACTTCACAAGCCACAATAGCACTGGTGGCAAGTCTATCTACAAGGAGAAATTTGAAGGTGAGAACTTCATTCTGAAGCATACGGGTTCTGGCATCTTGTCCATGGCAAATGCTGGACCCAACACAAGCAGTTCCCAGTTTTTCATCTGCACTGCAAGATTGACTGGTTGGATGGCAAGCATGTGGTCTTTGGCAAGGTGAAAGAAGGCATGAATATCATGGAAGCCATGGAGTGCTTCGGGTACAGGAATGGCAAGACCAGCAAGAAGATCACCATTGCTGACTGTGGATCATTCTAATAAATTTGACTTGTGTTTTATCTTAACTACCAGGCCTTTCCTTCTGTAGCTCAGGAGAGCACCGCACTACTGCATTTGTTTGCAGCCTTCTATAATCTTTGTGCTCTCACGGCAGCTCTTTGGGTTCTATATTTTCCTTATTTCCTTTTACATCTAGCTGAATTGCAGAGTTAAGATTATAAAATAAAAACTAAGTAAAAGGGCTGGGCATGGTGGCTCATGCCTGTAATCCCAGCACTTTGGGAGGCTGAGGTCGGCAGATCACTAGAAGTCAGGAGTTTGAGACGAGCCTGGCCAACATGGTGAAACCTTGTCTCTTCTAAAAATATAAAAATTAGCTGGGCGTGGTGGTGGGCGCTTGTAATCCCAGCTACTCAGGAGGCTGAGGCAGGAGAATCATTTGAACTTGGGAGGCAGCCAGAGATTCCAGTAAGCTGAGATCACGCCACTGCATTGCAGCCTGGGCAACAGAGTGAGACTCTGTCTTAAAAAAAGAAACCTAAATAAAACAAACAAACAAAAATAAAAAACAAGGAGAGTTTCAGAAATTGTCACAGCCAAGAGGAGCCTAAGGAGACAAGGCAATTAAATGTAATGTGGTATTCTGGATGGAATTCTGGAATAAGAAAAGGACATTAGGTAAAAATTAAGGAAATCTGAAGAAAGTATAGATTTTAGTTAATAATGTATCAATATTATTCATTAATTTTAACAAATGTATCATGCTAATCGAAGATGTTAATAATAGGGGAAACTGGATATGCAGTATATGAAAACTATGCCATATTTTCAATTTTTCTGTAAATCTAAACTGTTCTAAAAAATTTACTCTCTCTCTTTGGGAGGCTGAGGCAGGTGGATCACCTGAGCTTACGAGTTCAAGACCAGCCTGGGCAACATGGCGAAACCCCATCTCTACCAAAAATACAAAAAATTAGGCAGGCGTAGTGATGCACACCTGCAGTACCAGCTACTTGGGAGGCGGAGGTATGAGAATCGCTTGAGCCCGGGAGGCAGAGGTTGCAGTGAGCCGTGATTGTACCACTGCACTCCAGCCTGGGTAACAGAGCGAGATTCCATCTCAAAAAGAAAAAAAAAAAATTTACTCCCTCTCGATCCCCACCAGAAAAATAAATAAATAAAATTGGGCTTAGATAGTTTCATTGGAGAATTCCACCAAACACTTAAAGAGTAATCAGCACACATTTTACACAATCTCTTCCAGGAAACAGAAGAGGAGCAAACACTTCCCAACTCATTTTATGGAACCAGTGTTACCCTGACACTAAAACCAAAGACAGTACAAAAAAAGAATACACCAATATTTCTCATGAATTTAAATGTGAAAATCTAAACTAGATATTAGCAAACTGCATCCAACAATGTATAAAAAGAATTATGTACCATAGCCACGTGGAACTTCTTCCAGGTATATAAGGCTGGTTCAATATTTGAAAATCAGTCAGTGTAATTCACCATTTAACAAGCTGAAGAAGAAAAATCATACAACTCTATCAATTTGACACAGAAAAAATGTTTGGCCGGGCACAGTGGCTCACTCCTGTAATCCCAGCACTTTCAGAGGCCAAGGCAGGCAGATCGTATGAGCCCAGGAGTTTGAGATCAGCTTGGGCAACATGGTGAAACCTCATCTCTACAAAAAGTACAAAAAAATTTGCCAGGCATGGTGGCGTGTGCCTGTAGTCCCAACTATTTGGGAGGCTGAGGTGGGAAGATCAACTGAGCCCAGGAGGTGGAGGTTGCAGTGAGCTGAGAGTGTGCTACTGCACTCCAGCCTGGGTAACAGAGTGAGATTTCATCTCAAAAACAAAAAAGTTTGGTAAAATCCAACACTGATTCATAAAAAAAATCTCAGTAAGTTAGGAATAGAAGGGAAATATCTAAACTTGATAAATAGCATCTACAAAAACAAAAATCTAGAGCTAGCATCATACTTAATGATGAAAGAATCAATGTTTTTCCACTAAGATCACGACAAAAAGGCAAGGAAGTCTGCTCTCATCACTTCAACATGGTCGTGGAAGTTATTGCAAGAGACAAGAAAAAAATAAAAGTATACAGGTTAGAAAGGAGGAAACAAAACTATCTCTGTTTGCAGATAATATGATTGCCTGTGTAGAAAATCCCAAGAAATCTACAAAGAATCTCTTGGAACTAATAAATGAGTTTAGTGAGGATTTAGAATACAAGATAAACACAAAAAAACTTTTGCATTTCCATATGACACACAGACAAAATGAAATATTTAGATAGATTTCTTTCTTTCTTTTTTTTTTTTTTTTTTGAGACAGGGTCTCGCTCTATTGCCCAGACTGGAGTGCAGTTGCATGATCATAGCTCACTGCAGGCTTGACCTCGTGAGCTCAGGCAGTCTTCTCACCTTAGAGCTGGGACTACAGGTGTGGGTCACCATGCCTGGCTAATTTTTCTATGGTTTATGTAGAGGTGGGGTTTTACCATGTTGCCCAGCCTGGTCTTGAACCCCCTAGGCTCAAGTGATCCACCCACCTCGGCCTCCCAAAGTGCTGGGATTACATGCATGAGCCACTGCACCTGGGCTAGATATATTTCTAAGTATATTTTATTTAATATGTGTGCGGAAAATTACAAAATCCTGATGAAAGAAATCAAAGGAAACCTAAATTAATGGAGACACCTACTATGGTTATAGATCGAAAGATTCAACATAATAAAGATATTCTTCTGAATTAATCTACAGATTTAATACAATTTCTATTATAACCCCAGAAAGCATTTCTGTATACATGGACAAACTTATTCAGAAACTTAAGTGGAAAGGAATGAGCTCTGGAATAGCTAAAATAGTCTTGATAAATAATAAAGTGAGAGGAATCACTCTATCCAATATTAAGGTTTACTACATGGCTACCACAATTAAGACAGTATGGTATTGACAGAGTGACAGATACACAGATCAGTGGAACAGAGTAAAGATTCCAGAAAAAGATCCACTGAAATATGCTTAATTGATTTTTGACAAGAAGGATAACCTTTTCCACAAATGGTACTGCATAGGCAAAAACACAAACCATGACCTAAACATTACACCTTAAATGAAAATTAATTTAAAATGGATGACACCTTTCTTTCTTTTTTTTTTTTTGACAGGGTCTCACGCTGTTGCCCAGGATGGAGTGCAATGGTGTGATCTTGGTTCACTGCAACCTCATCTACTGGGCTCAAGTAATCCTCCCACCTCAGCCTCCTGAGCAGCTGGGACTACAGGTGCATGCCACTATGCCCAGCTAACTTTTGTATTTTTTGCAGAAACAGGGTTTTGTCATGTTGCCCAGGCTGGTCTCGAACTCCTGGGTTGAAGTGATCTGCCTGCCTTGGCCTCCCACAGTGCTGGGATTACAGGGATGAGCCACTTACCTTGGCCTCACCACTGATTTTCAATATTGTACTGGAAGTCCTAGCTAATGCAGCAAGGTAAGAAAAAGGACGGAAAGGGTATACATATTGGAAAGAAATAAAAAAATCTGTTCACAGATGATCTGGTAGTTTATGTAGAAATTTCAAAAGTATTGACCAGGGCTAGGCATGGTGGCTCATGCCTATAATCCCAGCACTTTGGGAAGCTGAGGCGGGCGGATCACTTGAGGCCAGGCGTTCTGCCTGGCCAACACGGTGAAACCCTGAGTCTACTAAAAATGCAAAAAATTATCTGGGCATGGTGATGCAAGCCTGTAGTCCCAGCTACATGGGAGGCTGAGGCAGGAGAATCGCTTGAAACTGGGAGGCAGAGGTTACAGTGAGCTGTGATCATGCCACCACTTTCCAGAAAACCTTTCCAGGAGCTAATAAGCTGTTATAGCAAGATTACAGGATACAATGTTAACATATAAAAGTCAATTGCTTCAGCTGGGTGTTCAGCTGCAGCATGATGGTGCACGCCTGTAATCCCAGCACTTTGGGAGGCTGAGCTAGGAGGATTGCTTGAGGCCAGGAGTTTGAGACCAGCCTGGACAACATGATGAAATCCTGTCTCTACTAAAAATACAAAAGTTAGCCAGGTTTGGTGATGTGCACCTGTAATCCCAGCTACTTGGGAGGCTGAGGCAGGAGAATTGCTTGAACCCAGGAGGCAGAGGTTGCAGCAGGCCAAGACTGTGCCACTGAACACCAGCCTAGGCAACCGAGTGAGACTGTCTCAAAAAATAAATAAATAAATAAAAGTCAATTACTTCCTATATGCTGGCAATTAACAAGGGAAATTTGAAATTAAGAATACAATACTATTTACATCAGCACCTTATCTTAGTCCATTTTCTGTTGCCATAACAAAATACCGAAGACTGGGAAATATATAAAGAAAAGAGGTTCTGGAGGCTAAGAAGTCCAGGACAGGTGGCTGCATCTGGTGAGGGCCTCCTACTGCTTCATAGCATGGGGGAAGCATGCATGTGGAAGCATGAAACATATTAGGAGGCATGTTTCAAAAGTGGAAGGGGAAGTGGGTGCATGCAAAGAGTCCAAACAGAAGAGGCAACCTCACTTTCTAACAATCCACTCTCCTGGGAACTAATCCATCCCAAGAGAACTAACCCAATCTTTTCAGAAAGAGATTGATCAATCTTAACAACCCAATCATGCTTTAAAGGCACTATCTTCCAAAACGCTACATTAGAGACCAAGTGCAACATGAGTTTTTTGGGAGACAAACCATATTCAAATCATAGCACACTCTCAAAAACAAAATATTTAGGTATAAATCTAACAGAATACATATACAATCTAAGTGAGGAAAACTACCAAATTCTGATGAAAACAATCAAAGAAGTAAATAAATGGAGAGATATTCCATGTTCATGGATAGGAAGACTCAATATTTACAACATGTCAGATCTTCACAACTTGATCTGTAGATTCAACATAATCTGACTCAAAATTTTAGCAACTTACTTGGTGGATATTGACAAACTGATTCTAAAGTTTATATGGAGAAGCAAAAGACCCAAAGCAGCTCACAATATTAATAGAGAACAAAATTGGAGGAGTTCCAGGTTTGCTATAAAGGTACAGTAGTCAAGACAGTGTGGTTTGACAAAAGAATACACAAAGATAGATAAATGGAACGGAATAGAGAGCCCAGAAATAGATCCACATAAATATAGTCAACTGACTTTGACAAAGGAACAAAGGCAATATAATTCAGCAAAAGAGCCTTTTCAACAAATGGTGCTGGAACAACTGGACATCCACATGCAAATAATAATAATAGTAATAATCTAGACACAATCTTATACTCGTCACAAAAATTAACTCAACATGGATAACATAATGTAAAACACAAAACTATAAAAATCCTAGAAGATAACATAGAAGGAAATCTAGATGACCTCGAGTTTTGTGATTATTTTTTAGATACAACATCAACAGCATGATCCATGAAAGACAGAATTGATAAGTTGGACTTCATTGAAGTTAAAACTTTCTGTTCTGTGAAAGACACTGTCAAGAGAATAAGGAGAAAAGCCACAGGCTAGGAGAAAATATTTGCAAAAGACAAGTCTAATAAAAGACTGTTATCTAAAATATACAAAGAATGCTTTAAACTCAACAATAAGAAAAAGACAACCTGATTAAAAATGGGCCAGTGACCTTAACAGACACCTCACTAAATAAGATATACAGATGAAAAATAAGCATATGGGCTGGGCGCGGTGGCTCACGCCTGTAATCCCTGCACTTCAGGAGGCTGAGCCAGGCAGATCACGAGGTCAGGAGATCGAGACCATCCTGACTAACATGGTGAAACCCTGTCTCTACTAAAAATACAAAAATTAGCCGGGTGTGGTAGCGGGCGCCTGTAGTCCCAGCTACTCGGGAGGCTGAGGCAGGAGAATGGCGTGAACCTGGGAGGCGGAGCTTGCAGTGAGCTGAGATCGCGCCACTGCACTCCAGCCTGGGTGACAGAGTGAGACTCCATCTCAAAAAAAAAAAATAAAAAAAATAAAGAAAGAAATCCACTCATATGACCTTCAACAGGTGAATAGTCAAACTGTGAAAGAGCTCTACAATGGAGTACTGCTACTTAGCAATAAAAAGGAATGAACTCTTGATATGTGTGACAGCTTTGATGAATTTCCAGGGAATTATACTGAGTCAAAAAAGCCAGTCCCAAAAGGTTGCATAATATGTGATTCAATTTATAAAACATTTTCTAAATGACAAAATTTTAGAAATGGAGGACAAATGGATGCCAGGGTAAAGGATTTAGGGCCACAGGTGCATGGAACAGGAAGAGGTGGATGTGGTTATAAAAGGGTAACCCAAGGGGCATCCTTGTGGTGCTAGAAATATTCAGTATCTTGACCCTGTTGGTGGGCACTTGGACCTACACGGGTGATAAAATTGAATAGATATTAATAAGCAGTCACATACATGTCCATAAATGAATATCAGTAAACTGAGGAAATCTGAATAAGATTAGTGGATTGTCGCATTGTCAATAACCTGGTTGTGATAATGTTCTATAGTTTTTTAAAACGTTCCCCTTGGGGGAAACTGGGCAAAATGTAAGGATCTTTCTATGATTTCTTACTACTGCATGTACATCTACAATTATCTGGATAAAAATTGTAATTAAAAATGTGTAACCCTGGCCAGGTCTGGTGGCTCATGCCTGTAATCCCAGCACCTTGGGAGGCTGAGGCGGGTGGATCACCTGAGGTCAGGAGTTCGAGACCAGCCTGGCCAACATGGTGACACCCCATCTCTACAAGAAATACACAAATTAGCTGGGCGTGGTGGCATGTGCCTGTAGTCCCAGCTACTTGGGAGGCTGAGGCAGGAGAGTTGCTTGAAGGTGCTAGGCGGAGCTTGCAGTCAGCCAAGATCGCACCACTGCACTTCAGCCTGGGTGACAGAGTGAGACTCCATCTCCAAAAAAAAAAAGTGTGAATACCTAGATGCCATGCTTAATAGTAGCACAGATGGTTTTGCAATAGCACAGAAGAGTAAATGACAGTATTCAAAAGGAAGAGAAAGGAATTTGGAGAAGGTGATTAAGAAAAATCTGGCAAGGCGCGGTGACTCATACTTGTAATCCAGCACTTTGGGAGGTCGAGGCAGGTGGATCACTTGAGGCCAGGAGTTTGAGACCAGCCTGGCCAACATGGTGAAACCCTGTCTCTACTAAAAATACAGAAAAAAAAAATTAGTCAGGTTTGGTGGCAGATGCTTATAATCCCAGCTACTTAGGAGGCTGAGGCATGAGAATCACTTGAACCTGGGAGGCGGAGGTTGCAGTGAGCCGAGAATGTGCTACTGCACTCCAGCCTGGGTGACAGAGTGAGACTCCATCTCAAAAAAATAAAACAAAACAAAACAGGAAAGGTGGCCAGTGCAGTGGCTCATACCTGTAATCTCAGGACACTGGGAGGGTGAGGAGGGAGGATCGCTTGAGGCCAGGAGTTGGAGACCAGCCTGGGTAACATAGCAAGACACCATCTCTACAAAAAATAAAAATAAAAAGCTTAGCCACACATGGTAGTGCATGCCTGTAGCTCTAGCTACTCAGGAGGTTGAGACAGGAGGATTGCTTGAGCCCAGGAGTTGGAGGCTGCAGTGAGCTATGATTGTACCACTGTACTCCAGCCTGGGTAACAGAGTAAGACCCCATCTCAAAAAAAAAGATAAAAAGAAAAAATAAAAAGGAAAACGGGAAGGGAGAAGCTGTGAAAAATGCCTGACAAAGCACCTCTGAAGTTTGGATGTATGGATGACATACTAAGCAGCTAAAAGTACTAAAATTCCCTCTTTGTGTGTTGTCTACATTCAATTTCTGATCATTAGAGAAGCTGGTCTAGTAGTCGTATACAGGTGTGCTGCTCTAAATGCACCTGGATCAAATTTGATGGAATTCTTCATCTTATGATGAATATATCTCATTCCCTGGAACCTTTGGGAAGAACTCAAGCAGTTTTAAACATTTCTGACAATGATTAATTATTTTTCCCTGTGATTAAGGTCAGTGGAAAAATGATTAATTTACTTTCAATTTGTCATGTGAAATCCTGTAATTTTAGGTTTTTCTTCTCTCTTGACTTTGTGCTTCCTGATGTTCAATGGTTTACCTTGAAAATTGTCCAGTGTTTCATAAATGTATCCATATAAGGAGTGATCAAAAAGTAATGCCTCCTAATTTTCATCTTTCTTGTCAGCGTCAGGAACTTGCCAAAAATTATTCTTTGATGTCCCTGAATCTCCTGTTTCGACTTCTGAAATTACACTAAAGACCAATGGTTGGATGCTAATTAGAAATAGCTTTGTATCAATGTGATTCCTCAGCTGGTCTGTGTCTCATGATCAACAGCCTTTTAAAAAATACATACCAAATTCTAGGCCCTGTGCCTTGCTTAATAACAATAATTCATTTCACCCTGTTAGCCCCTCTGTCAGGTAGGCTACTGTTATTATCCTAATCTTATAGATGAAGAAACTGATGTGCAGAGATCATAAGTGACTTGCTCACATGCACACATAGTAAGCCAGGGAGCTGGGATTGGAACCAAGGCAATCTGTCTCCAGAATTTATATGCTTGGCCCCTATGCCTCTCATACTTCCTAAATCAGAATCTCTAAGGAGTTGGTGTCTGAGAATCTCTTATTTTAGAAAACAAAGAATCTGCGCAGATGATGTATTGCCGGGTTTTGGACCTCTAGGTTAAAAACTCTCCTGAAGATGAGGTAGTGATAATGTATTAGAGAAAAGAAAAGAGGCAAAAGTGGCCAAGGTAGACACATGTACCAGTAAACGTCATAGTCCTGGGTCACGGCATCAGTCTTCATGCTCTCTAGAAGAAACAGACCTTCCTCGGTAGAGTCTTGTAGCCACGTGCTTTCCCTCCTCTCCAATTTGCTGCACTGTCATCTGTCCCTGGCAACATCAGACCCAGTGTGCAAAGATGAAAGTGGCCAAGACCCCTGATGACTCATGGGCACCTACCCTTCCTGGAGCTAGAAAATGAACATTAAAACCTATCCCTTAAGGCTGGGTGCAGTGGCCCACCCAGCTGTAACCCCAGCGCTTTGGGAGGCCTAGGCAGGAAAATTGCTTGACACCAGCCTGGGCAACATAGTGAGACCTCATTTCTACAAAGAAATTAAGGGTATAGTGGTGCACATCTGTAGTCCCAGCTACTTGGGAGGGTGAGGCAGGAGAATTGCTTGAGCCCAGGAGTTCAAGTCTGCAGTGAGCTACAATTGCATCACTGCACTCCAGTCTGGGCAACAGAGATTGTCTCTAAAAAACAAACAGGCCAGGTGTGGTGGCTCACACCTGTAATCCCAGCACTTTGAGAGGACAAGGAGGGAGGATTACTTGAGCTCAGGAATTCGAGACCAGCCTGGCCAACATGGCGAAATCCCGTCTGTATTAAAAACACAAAAAATTAGCCGGGGGAGGCTGAGGCATGAGAATCGCTTGAACCCTGGAGGCGGAGGTTGCAGAGAACTGAGATAGTGCCACTGCACTCCAGCTGGGGCAACAGAGAACAAACAAACACACCTCTTCCCTAGGCAGAATTCTCTAGCTGGTAAAGTCTTCTGGGAACCCTCCCATTTAGGACCCCTCTCCAGTCTCCCAGGATACCAAGATTGTGAGGGTGTTGATTTCATGGGGGTGAAGTCGGATGTTAGAGGAGGTGCTGACCTGGTCCACCTAGGCATCCCTTCCCTGCAGCTCACAGTTGGCAGAGAAGTAGGGTGCCCAGCAGTTGGAAATACTCTCCCCAGCCCAGCTGCTGGGATGCATCTGAGCTGAGGGAGGCGCACATGCTCGGTGAGGGGCTAACAGCTGCCTTTCAACCCACCTGGTTGTCCTTATATGGGGACCATCTGTTGTGGTTAAGCGTTTTCCATGTATTTTTTTGTTTCCTTTACGACTGCTCTTCAAGGTAAATATTACTATCCTTACTTTATAGATAAAGAAACTGAGGCTTAGGGAAGATAACTTGCCCCAGGTCACTCTCAGCAGAGGCAGGGATTTAATATCTAACGCCTGAGCTCTTAACACTGCTACTGCCTCTTCCCGAAAAGATGCACCAGTCAAGCTTGATCAACCGGTTAGAGCCCCTGCCCCAAGGGATTAGCTAAGAAGTGTTCCTAGAGGTGCTTTGCAATCTTCAAAGCAGAACTGTAAACATGATTAGCCTTCAAGACTATAGGGAAAATTCTTAATGGCAGAACCCCAGGCACTGCGATAAATCTACAGGAAAGATCTGTGGGGGCTGGGAAGTCTGTTTATCACAGCCTCAGAGTATAGCACCTCGGTGCAATCTGTGGGTGCTCACCCGAGCCCTTCCCACAAAGCTGCCCCCTAATGAAAACAGGTTGGTCCTATCTTGATCCTTCTGGCTACCCAAGGGTCTCATTTCTCACTTTTTTTTTTCTTTCTTCGCATCTACCATTAAACTTTGCTGTGTGCCATAAATAGCATGGAGAGGAATTTAAAAAAATGTTCTGCGCATTTATGTTAATGTACACCCAGTTTAAATCAACACATTGTTTATTGTATTGTAAATAATGATGAAACTCATTAACTGCAATAATGGCTTCATGTTCCCTGGTCTAAAATACAGAATATACTCATTACTAAAAATTAAAATCAATCCATCAAAATCTAATGGCTAAATAAGGTTATTAAAAAGTAAGAGGAATCATTTGGACCCATGTAAAATTGTCATGGGATTCATGAAAATAATCGGCAAGTTTTGACATAGGACAGAGAGTCCGGGTAAAAATAAAATCCCTTGCAGATCAAATCACAGATTTGTGATGTCCATTTGGTATAAAGTTTCACCTAATTATACCTGAGTCTCAGCTTGATTGTGTCATCGGCTCCTCCCCATCTCTCAGCCAGCTTTGTCCCAGGGTCACCTGAGGCACAGGCATCAATCTGAAGACACAGTGATCCAGTTGCTTAAATCAGTCATGGGCTTCCTGCACCAATTTTGTCTTCAGCTTTTTCTGATTTTTACTTTATTTTATTATTTTATTTGAGATAGGACCTCACTCTGTCGCCGAGGCTGGAGTACATGGCACCAACATAGCTCACTGCAGCCTCAAACACCTGGGCTAGAGTGATCTTCCTACCTCAGTCTCCCAAGTAGCTGGAACTATAGGCTCGTGCCACCACGCCCACCTAACTAAAAAAATTTTTTTAGAGACAGAGTCTTGAACTGTTGCCCAGGCTGATCTCCAGTTTCTGGCCTCAAGCTATCCTCCCACCCTGACTTTCCAAAGTGCTCGGATTACAGACATCAGCTACTGCACTCAGACCTTTATGATATTTTAATCATTTCAAAATTTTATCTGGCTGGGTCTCTGACTAACTTAGTGAAGCCTCTTTTGCTGTCAGTTACTGAAACTTGTTTCAGCTTCACAGCATTGATATACTGAGCGTGTCTTTACAAAACAATAAATGAGGCACCGAATATTCAGTTTGGGTACATTTATGTGACTTTTTAAACGGTATTTTACCATTAATCTCAAGGCTTGAGATTTTCTCCTGATACATCAGGGAGCTATATTTGATGACTCATGAATTCTTGGTCATTTATCAGTTTTTTAATTACACCAATGCCCTCAAGACATAATAAAAAGAATATACCATCTTTGAAAGTGGAAAAAGAAAATATTTTATTTTACTCAGTAATTCAAAAGAGGAATATGGATTTGGTATTTTTATTATTTATTTATTTTTTAAATAGAAACGGGGATCTTGCTATGTTGACCAGGTTGGTCTTGAACTCTTGGCCTCAAGCAATCCTCCCACTCAGACCCACAAAGTGGTAGGATTATAGATGTGAGTCACCACACCCAGCCAAATTTGGTCTTTTTAAACCATATCTTTCTTTTAAAAAAGTTTTTTTTTTAATTTTACAACTATAAAGTAATGCACACTCACTTTAGGTTGTTTAAGAAATGGATGGGTAGGCACGGTGGCTCATGCCTATAATCCCAGCACTTTGGGAGGCCGAGGCGGGCAGATCACCTGAGGTCAGGGGTTTGAGACCAGCCTGACCAACATGGAGAAACCTCATCTCTACTAAAAATAAAAAAAATTAGCCAGGCATGGTGGCACATTCCTGTAATCTCAGCTACTCAGGAGGCTGAGGCGGGAGAATCACTTGAACCCGGGAGGGGGAGGTTGCGGTGAGCTGAGATCGCGCCATTGCACTCCAGCCTGGGCAACAAGAGCGAAACTCTGTCTCAAAAAAAAAAAAAAAAAATCTGGTATATATTGCCAAATATCTTTCTTAAAGGATTGTATCAAGTTAAATTGCCAAATTGTTGTTCAAAGGTTTCTGATTCATTAATTCTGAAAAACATTGCTTGTCATGTATTTTTAAAATTTTACAATTCCGCAAGCAAAAACTGGTATTTCAGTGTTGTTTAAAAACCACATAATTGTTAGTCCTGTTACTATTTTCTTAAAAAAATATCATTTTCAGATACAAAACTTTAACTTCAACCAAAAATAAATAAATAATAATTCCTTTAACTTCCCACTAAGTAACTTGAAATCATTTTAGTTTTGAACTGATTATTTACCAGCTTTGTGGCCCTGGGAAAATTATTTAACTTCTGTAAGGCTTAGTTTCCTTATATATAACGTAAGGCTAATAATACATGTCCCTTATAGGGTTCTTATGAGGATAAATAAAATAATCCTGGTAAAACTCCTGGCATGTAGAAAGGACTTGATAAATGATAGCTATGATTATTATTATGTTTACTTAATAGTGAAGGGAATCTTCTTGATTTTCTTGTGGTAAAATATTTGCAATTCTTTTTTTTTTTTTTTTTTTGAGACAGAGTCTGGCTCTGTTGCCCAGGCTGGAGTACAGTGGTGCGATCTCGGCTCACTGCAAGCTCTGCCTCCCCGGTTCATGCCATGCTCCTGCCTCAGCCTCCCGAGTAGCTGAGACTACAGGCGCCTGCCACCACGCCCAGCTAATTTTGTTTGTATTTTTAGTAGAGACAGGGTTTCACCGTGTTAGCCAGGATGGTCTCGATCTCCTGACCTCGTGATCCGCCTGCCTCGGCCTCCCAAAGTGCTGGGAATACAGGCTTGAGCCACCGCGCCCTGCCTATTTGCAATTCTTTAAAAATTATTTTTTGGAAGGAATCTCGCTCTGTCGCCCAGGCTGGAGTGCAGTGGTGCGATCTTGGCTCACTGTAACCTCTGCCTCCTGGGTTCAAGCGATTCTCGTGCCTCGGCCTCCTGAGTAGCTGAGGTTACAGGCATGCACCACCATGCCCGGCTAATTTTTGTATTTTTAGTAGTGACAGGGTTTCACCGTGTTGGCCAGGCTGGTCTTGGAGAATTGCTGACCTCAGGTGATCCACTCGCCTCGTCCTCCCAAAGTGCTGGGGTTACAGGCATGAGCCACTGCACCTGGCCCCAGTATTTGCAATTTTAACCTTTTTAAAATGTAGCGTCATGTTGTGCAACCATCACAACTCTCTATCTCTAAAACTTTTTCATCACCCTAAATAAAATTCTGCACCCATTGATCAATAACTCCTTATTTGCACTTACCTCACCCCTTAGGAGCCTCTGTTTGACTTTCCATTTCTATGAATTTATTTATTCTAGATATCTCATGTAAGTGAATCATGCAAGATTTGTCTTCTTATGTCTGGTGTCTGGTTCTTTTTCTTTCTTTTCTTTCTTTCCTTCCTTCCTATTTCTTTGTCTCTCTCTCTCTCTCTCTCTCTCTTTCTCTCTTTGCTTCTTCTGTCTTGTTTTGTTGCCCAGGCTTGAGTGCAGTGCCACAATCGTAGCTCACTGCAGCCACAAACTTCTGGGCTCAAGGGATCCTCCTGCCTCAGCCTCCCAAGTAGCTGGGACTACAGGTGTGTGCCACCACACCTGGCTAATGTCTGACTTAGTTCATTAATGTCTTCACGGTTCATCCATGTTGTAGCATGTATCAGGATTTCATTCCTTTTTGAGGCTGACTAATATTCTATTGTATGTATATAATACATTTTAAAAATCCATTCAACTGTTGATAGACACCTGGGTTGCTTCTGCCTTTGCCTATTGTGAAAAACGCTGCTGTAAACATTGGTGTACAAGAATCTGTTTGAGTCCCTGCTTTCAATTACTTGGAGTATATACCAAAGAATGTGCTACAGAATTGAATGCTTGTGTCCTCTCAAAACCCATATGCTTGTATCCCACCCCATAATGTGATGGGGTGGGATTTCAGCGTATGGATTTTGCAAGGAGGTGGGGTCTTTGGCAGGTAATCAGGATAATTAGGTAATTAGATGTGCTCATGACAGTGGAGGCTTTATGAATGGGATTAGACTTTCAGGCTCCGGAACTGTGAGAAATAAATGTCTGTGGCCGAGCGTGGTGGCTTATGTCTGTAATCCCAGCGCTTTGGGAGCCTGAGGTGGGTGGATCACTTGAGGTCAGGAGTTGAAGACCAGCCTGGCCAACCTGGTGAAACCCCATATCTACTAAATATACAAAAAAAATTAGCCAGGTGTGGTGGCTAATATAGTCCCAGTTACTATAGGCAGGCGCCTATAGCTGAGGCAGGAGAATTGCTTGAACCTGAGAGGTGGATGTTGCAGTGAGCTGAGATGGTGTCACTGCACTCCAACCTGAATGACAGAGACCCTGTCTCAAGAAAGAATAAACAAACAAAAAAATAAATGTTTGTCGATTATGCCACCTAGTTTGTGGCATTTTGTTATAGCTGCCAGAGCTGATTAACAGAGTGGACTTACTGTATATATGGTAATTCTATGTTCTACTTTTGGAGGAACTGCCAGGCTGTGTTTCACAGTGGATATATTATTTTACATTCCCATCAGCAATACCATGAGGGCTCCAAATTCTCCAAATGATCTCCAATGCTTGGTTATTTTCAATTAAAAAAAAAAAATTATGGCTGGGCCTTGTGGCTCACGCCTGTAATCCTAGCACTTTGGGAGGCTGAAGCAGGAGGATCATGAGGTCAGGAGTTCGAGACCAGCCTGACCAACGTGGTGAAACCCCATCTCTACCAAAAATACAAAAATTAGCCATACATGGTGGCGCGTGCCTGTAATCCCAGCTACTCAGGAGGCTGAGGCAGGAGAATTGCTTGAACCTGGGAGGGGGAGGGTGCAGTGAGCCGAGATCACGCCACTGTACTGCAGTCCGGGCGACACAGCGAGACTCCGTCTCAAAAAAAAAAAAAAAATTGTAGCCACACTACTAGATGTGAAGTAGTATCTCATTGTGGTTTCAGTTTGCATTTTCCTAATGTCTGTTGATGTTGAACATGTTTTCATGTGCTTTTTGGCAATCTGTAGATCTGCTTTGGAGAAATGTCTAGCCAAGTGCTTTCCTCATTTTTATTTATTTTTAATTTTATTTTATTTTATATTTTGAGATGGAGTCTTGCTCTGTCACGCAGACTGGAGTGCAGAGGCACGATCTCAGCTGACTGCAACCTCTGCCTCCTGGATTCAAGTGATTCTCCTGTCTTAGTCTTCTGAGTAGCTAGGGTTGCAGGTGCAGGCCACCATGCCCAGCTAATTTTTGATTTTTTTGTAAAGACAGGGTTTTAACATGTTGGCCAGACTGTTAACTCCTGACCTCAGGTGACCCACCCGTCTCAGCCTCCCAAAGTGCTGGGATTACAGGCGTGAGCCACCGCGCCTGGCCGCTTTCCTTATTTTCAAATTGGGTTGTGTGTCTTCCTGTTGTTGAGTTATAAGAGATTTTTATGTATACTCTGGATATTAAACCCTTATCAGATATATGCTTTGCAAATATTTTCCTGTTCCGTGGATCATCTTTTCATTCTCTTGATAATGTCCTTTGATGCACAAAAATTTTTAATTTAATTTTAAAGTTTTTAATTTTAATGAAGTCTAATGTCTCCTGACATTCATATGCCACTCCCATTCTCCAGGCATCGAGACCACAAACCCTGGAGCCATCTTGGATTCTTCTTGTCCCTCACTCATTCCATCTGACCTTCCAAGAAAGACCTGTCAGTTCTTCCTTCACATGTCTGCATTTATTCCTTCATTATCATTGTCACACTAGTTCAGGAACTTGTAATAATCTCCTGACTGGCTTCTGTGCTTAATCTGCTCTACACACCACAAGTTGTTTAGCTCATGCTGCTGGCTTGAAAACTTTACAGTAACTTTCCTTTGCTTATAAGATAAAATCCATAGACTGTAGCATGGCCCTCTGCACCTTCCATAACCTGAATCCAACCATCTTTCCAGCCCTACTTTAACTTTCTCACACAGATCTTCAGCTCTAGTTGGATTGGTTCATTCAGTTTTCCACAGTCATACCTTGTACGCTTTTCTGTCATCTTGCTTCTTTTTTTTTTTTTTTTTTTTTTTGACAGAGTTTCACTCTTCCGTTGCATAGGCCAGAGTGCAGTGGTGCGATCTCAGCTCACTGCAACCTCCACCTCCCAGGTTCAAGTGATTCTCCTGCCTCAGTCTCCCAAGTAGCTGGGATTACAGACATGCGCCACCATGCCCGGCTAATTTTGTATTTTTAGTAGAGACAGGGTTTCACCATGTTGGTCAGGCTGGTCTCGAACTCCCGACCTCAGGTCATCTGCCCGCCTCGGCCTCCCAAAATGTTGGGATTACAGGCGTGAGCCACTGTGCCTGGCCATCTTGCTTCTTTACTTATGTTGTCCCCACACCTCTAATGTCTTTCCTTCCATTTCTATCAAAATCGTATTCATCTGGGTTTCTGTGGTTGGGGAAGTAGGAACATACTGCTGGGCTCCTGGTGGCTGCTGTCTGCTCTGCAGCAGAAAGCCCTTTCCCCACAGTACATCAATGCAAGTTTGAATAACAAAGGCAATTTTTTGGCCAGGCATAGTGGCTCATGCCTATAATCCCAGCACTTTGAGAGGCCAAGGCAGGAGGATTGCTTGAGCCCAAGAATTTAAGACCAGCCTGGGCAACATAGGGAAACCTCATCTCAGGAAAAAAATAAAATAAGATAGAATGAGTCCAGGCATGGTAGTGTGTGCCTGTGGTCCCAGCTATTGAGGAGGCTGAGATGGGAGGATTGCTTGAACCCAGGAGGTCGAGGCTGCAGTAAGCTATAATTGTGCCACTGCACTGCAGCCTGGGCAACAGAGCAAGACCCCGTCTCAAGGAAAAAGAAAAAGAAGGCCAGATGTGGTGGCTCACACTGTAGTCCCAATATTTTGGGAGGCCAAGGTGGGCAAATCACTTGAGGCCAGGAGTTGGAGACCAGCCTGGCCAACATGGTGAAACTCTGTCTCTACTAAAAATACAAAAAATAAAAATAAAAAAATAACTGGGCATGGTAGCACATGCCTTTAATCCCAGTTACTCTGGAGGCTGAGGCGGGAGAATTGCTTGAACCTGGGAGGCAGAGGCTGCAGTGAGCCGAGATCGTGCCACTGCCCTTAAGCATTGGCAACAGAGCAAGACTCTGTCTCAAAAACAAACAGACAAACAAAAAAGCTAAAAAGAAAAAGAAAGGCAGTTTGAGCAATTTTTCCTAAGCCATGGCATATCAGTTATACAGAAATACCGCTTTGGGAAACAGTCTTCAGGTGAGCCTAGATGAGCTCATACAGTCTCAACAGACCACCTACAAGTTCTACTTCAGTTTGATAAGGCTATAAATTCAGCATTGGCTCAGAGGGTTAGGAACAGAGTCAATTTCAGGAGCTTTCTAAATATGTACAGATTCTGTGATAATCTGTGGACTTTCGTATTGAATGATGTTGAATTCAGAGAAGTGACAAAATTTATTAAAGTGGATGAAGCAAAAATAGTAGACTGTGATGGTAAAAATACTGGCTCCAATACTACAGAATGATGGGAAAAAATGGCTTTTTAATGCTGTCTTCTGTTATTATTCATCACTTTTTGAAGAGAAGCAGAGAAGAAACTTAAAACAAGTTATTTTAGCATTGCAGAAATGACTATACTGTGCTCTCCCAGAGAATTCCAGTAGGAAGAAGCTTGTAACTCATAGCCTCTTACACGTTACCTTTATTACACAGCATGAAAAAAACATAACTTTTAAAAAATGACAATTCAAAAGTTGTTGGCTTCTTAAGAATATTCTTCAATAAACTCCTTTTAAAACTTAAAAAAAAAAATCTTATCCATCCATCAAGCCCCATCACCCATATCCAGTCTATTTGGAGTCTCAAGAGTAGTCTCCAGGGCCAACCACGATGGCTCATGCCTGTAATCCCAGCACTTTGGGAAGCCTAGGTGAGTGGATCACTTGAGGTCAAGAGTTTGAGACCAGCCTGGTCAACATGGTGAAACCACCATCTCTACTAAAAATACAAAAATTTGCCACGCCTGGTGGTGTGCACCTATAGTCCCAGTGACTCAGGAGGCTGAGGTAGGAGAACTGCTTGAACCCAGGACGCAGAGGTTGCAGTGAGCCAAGATCGTGCCACTGCACTCCAGCCTGGGCGACAGAGCAAGACTGAAAAAAAAAAAAAGTACTCTCTAATAAATAGCGTCTCTCTCCTCTCTGCCCAGAGTTAGAGAAATAAACCAAAGAGTAAATATGGTGGCCAAGATATTACCTTTACCGATAGAGAAGTGTGGAGAACTTAATCCAGTGTGAGGGCCAAATGGACCTGCATCCAAACTACAATAGAAGACAGAGATCCACTCACCCACCCACTCCTGGGCAGCACTCCCAGCTCTGTCAACGCCAGGAGGACCTGCAGAGAATTCCTCTCTGAGGCAGCTCACTCTTAAGAGGAAGAAGAAGGGCTGAGACAAACTCCTTTCATAGGAAGGAAACACTGGGATTGAGGAAAACACCTTCCACGCTCTCACAGTCTGTTCCTAAGAACTGATACCAGCTTTTTATTCTCAAGTATCTGACACGTACATCCACTTTTCTCCTCCAATCCCACCATTATCTGTTGCCTGGATCAGTATAACTGCCTACAGTTGATCTTTTGCAACTAACTCCAGAGCCCTACAATCAATCATTCCCCACACTGTGGCCAGAATAATGTTTCTGTTTTATTTTTTGTTTTGAGACAGGGTCTTGCTCTGTCGCCCAGGCTGGAGTGCAGTGGTGTGATTGCGGCTCACTGCACCCTCAGCCTCAGTCTCCAGGGCTCAAGTGATCTTCCCGTTTCAGCCCCCCGAGTAGCTGATACTACAGGCGCACACCACCACACTTGGCTAAATTTTGTATTTTTTGTAGAGACAGGGTTTCACCATGTTGCCCAGGCTGGTCTTGAACTCCTGACCTCAAGTGATCTGCCAGCTTTGGCCTCTCTAAATGCTGGGATTACAGGCATGAGCTGACACACCTGACCTATTTGGTTATTTAGTTGTTTTTTTTTTGTTTGGTTTGTTTGGCTGGTTTTCTTTTTTTGAGACAGAGTTTTGCTCTGTTGCCCAGGGTGGAGTGCAATAGCATGATCTCTGCTCACTGCAACCTCCACCTCCCAGGTTCAAGTAATTCTCCTGCCTCAGCCTCCCGAGTAGCTAGGATTACAGGTGTGCACCACCATGCCTGGCTAATTTTTGTATTTTTAGTAGAGATGGGGTTTTACCATGTTGGCCAGGCTGATCTCAAACTCCTGAGCTCGTAATCTGCCCACATCAGCCTCCCAAAGTGCTGAGATTACAGGCGTCAGCCACTGCACCTGGCTTGTTTTTTAAGTTTAGAGACAGGGTCTCTGTTGCCTAGGCTGGAGTGCAGTGGTGTGATCATGGCTCACTGCAGCCTCAAACTCTTGGGTTCAAGTGATCCTCCTGCCTCAGCCTCCGAAGTAGCTGGGACTCAGGCATGTGCCACCATGCTCAGATTATTTATTTATTTATTTAATTTATTTATTGCAGAGATGGGACGTCATGATGTGACCCAGGCTGGTCTCAAACTCCTGGGCTCAAGCACTCCTCCTGCCTTGGCTTCCCAAAGTGCTGGTATTACAGGCATGAGCCATTGTGCCTGGCCAGGATATGTTTTTAATATGCAAATCTGATCATTTCTCCTCTTATTAAACCCCTTCAGTAGATTCTCATTCCTCTTGGGATCAAGACTCAAGTCCTCACCAGGGCCCACTAGATCCCATGGTCTGGCTCCAGTCTTCTCTTCTCCCGGTCATTTTTGCTCCACACACACACACACACACACACACACACACACACACACACACACACACACAGAGCATTTCTCATTGTTTAAATTGCCATGCTTACTCCTACCTCAGGAACTTTGGACATGCTGTTCCCTTGGTCTGTAATGCTCACTCCCCTCTCTCTTTCCTCTCTTTTTTCTTTTCTTTTCTTTTGTGGCCTGGTTAACTCCTACTCATCTACAGATCTTAGCTCCCACATCCCTTCCACGGGGAAGCCTTCCCTGACCCCATAGGCCCCCATAGGCCCTACTACTTCCTTCAGATAATTTACCAGGCGGTATAATTATATAATTGCATGATCATCTGGTTAATATCTTTTCCCCTATAGGTTCTCATCAGAACCACAAACGATGTCTGTTTTGCCCACTCTTGTGTTCCTTAGCAATTGGCACGGAACTCAGTCCAGTCCTCAGAGACACCCAATAAATATTTATTGAGAAAACAAAAGGCCAACTAGACTCGAACTTCCTCTGTTAAGCCAGACATCTTCTCCCCCTCCTCTGAAATCCTACGGCATTTGAGATCCCACCACTCATGTACATGGCATTTATGGCATCTGCCTGATAGTGGCTGATAGTAATGTCTTATCTCCCCGGCTAGACCTGTGAGTAGCTGTGGGCCAGGGAGCATGGCTTCCATGTGACTGTAACTCTCACAATGCCTAGCCCAGCTCCCAGCACTTGATGTGTGCACAATAACAATTTATTCAAAGAGTTAATAAAGATGTTGGCTTTTCTTTTTTGGTCTGTAGCAGTGTTGGTGGTGATGGAGGGAAGTTATAATTCCCTGATGCTTGAGAATGCAACAGAGACTGCGTTTTATAGGGCAGAACTAGGAAAGGATATTAGAATGTTGTGTCCTTTTATTGCAAGAACATTTTCTTGCCAATTTGCTTGGCAAAGCAAAGCAAAGCCTTTTCTGTAAACACAGCAAACTAGTTCTAATTTTATGCAAAAAGAGGCAACTATAACCAAAAAGCTGAAGAGCCACAGAAAGTGAACTGCTTTTACTTATTCATTTGAGTTGTATTTTACTATATTTTGTTTGCTAATGACCACATACATTCTAATCACAATTGGAACTGTTTCAACCCACAACTTTTCACTCATCTTCAGAATGGAAGATATGAAGGTAAGATTGTCAGAAATGTGGAATTCACGGGCCAGAGGGAGGGGATAGACAAACACTAAATGACCAGATCTCTTTCTGGGACACACTGGGCAGGGCCTGTTTGCAGGGAAAGTGCAGAGATCCTAGGGCCAGGTTAAGCATGTGCTCCAAAGAATGGTTTTCTGAGAGTGCCGAGTCAAAGAAGATGCAGACATTGCCTAAGGACACCAGAAGATATTGGATGTGAGGGATAAGGAAAGCAAATAACTGTAGATGGAGAGTGAGGTGGTTGCCTGGCAGAATGAAGGGAATGGTGTCAGGAACAAAGTAAAGCAAGGGCAACGCCCTTGTGATGTAGTAAACCAAGTTCTTAAATTTGGGACGTCCTTAATTCAGACCCAGGTAGCAGAAAAGCTGGAGTTCCTCCAGTGTTCCAGGACAGGCCATGAACAGTGGGCTTCTGTTTCATCCCTGCCTTTGAGAAGCTTACAATCTGGTTATTCACAGACAGCCAAAACCACAACTGACTTTAAGGAAAGATACTAAAGTACACACAGTGCTGTGGTTTGAATGTTTGTCCCCATCCAAAGCTCATGTTGAAATTTAATTGGCATTGTAATGGTATTGGGAGGTGGGACCTCTAAGAGGTGTTTAGATCACAAGGGCAACACCTCAAGAATGGACTAATGTTGTTATCAAGGGAGTAGGTTTGTTATTATGGGAGTGGGTTTGTTATTGTGGGAGTGGGTTTGTTATTGTGGGAGTGGGCTTGCCTCTCCCTTGCCCTCTCTTTTTGTCCTTCCACCATGTGACACCTTCTGCCATGTTATGATGCAGCAAGAAGGTCCTCACAAGATGCTGGCCTCTTGACACTGGGCTTCTGAACCATGAACCAGTAAATGTATGTTCATTATAAATTACCCAGTCTGTGGTATTCTGTTACAACTGCACAAAATGACTAAGATGCATGGGAACACACATGCCCTGAAGCATATTCCAAAGCCTACAATACAGGTTGAACTATGAAGAGACAGTGTTAGAACTTTACTGGGACAGGAATGTGGAACTAGAGGGCTAGAGGTTAGGGAAGCCATCATATGTTATACCTTTCCCCCTTATTCATTAGACCTGGTGCCCTCCTTGTGTAACCCATTCCATTTGGTATCTTGTGGTTTCCACCAGGCAACCACATACCTTCACACATGCTGCCTTCTGAGCAGGGTTTTTTCTTTTCTTTTCTTTTCTTTTCTTTTTTTTTTTGAGACAGAGTCTCGCTCTTTCACCCAGGCTGGAGTGCAGTGGCGCGATCTCGGCTCACTGCAATCTCCGCCTCCCGGGTTCAAGCGATTCTCCTGCCTCAACCTCCTGAGTAGCTGGGATTATAGGTGCGTGCCACCACTCCTGGATAATTTTTGTATTTTTAGTAGAGGCAAGGTTTTACCATGTTGGTCAGGCTGGTCTCAAACTCCTGACCTTGTCTGGGCACAGTGGCTCATGCCTATAATCCCAGCACTTTGGGAGGCCGAGGCGGGTGGATCACGAGGTCAGGAGATTGAGACCATCCTGGCTAACACAGTGAAACCCGGTCTCTACTAAAAATACAAAAAATTAGCTGGGGGTGGTGGCGAGCGCCTGTAGTCCCAGCTACTCGGGAGGCTGAGGCAGGAGAATGGTGTGAAGCCGGGAGGCGGAGCTTGCAGTGAACGGAGATCGTGCCACTGCACTCCAGCCTGGGTGACAGAGCGAGACTGTCTCAAAAACAAACAAACAAAACTCCTGACCTCGTGATCCACCTGCCTCAGCCACCCAAAGTGTTGGGATTACAGGCATGAGCCACTGCGCCTGGCCTGAGCAGGGTTTTCTTTGAAGCCCTACCTCTGCACTCACCCTTGGCTCCACGCTTTGTGTCATGGAGCCAGACCCTCCATCTCCAAGCTTAGGCCAAACCAATTCATGTTGGGTAAGAACTGCACTTGCAGAGCCTGTGTGCCAGTGATACTGAGTTCTCTACTGTTCAAAGTGAGTTAAACAGACACATTCTTACCTTCTGGGAGTGCATAAGCTAGAACAAACAAACAAAGGACAGAGAAAAGGCAGACACAGACAAGACCTCAACAATTGACTATGTACTGGAGAAAAAGGCAATGGAAAGATTTATATTGTGAAACTCAAAGGGGTTGTCATCATCAGCGATGTTTCCTGTCCACATTCCCTTATTTGCTCAAAGACTCAAACATCACCCCTATGTGGTGACTCCTAAATCTGTCTCCAGGTGAGCTACCTTACTCAACTTCCAAGTGGAAATCTTTCATTGTGTCTGGTACATCTCTGCTAAATACCTCACTCTTCAAGATGGGAAGTTCCCAGCTGAACTCATTGCTCTTGTTGCTAACCACATCCACCTTTCCTAGTTTTTCCTCTCTGTGTTCCTGGACCTATAACAATCACGGACATTGTTGTAGCACTTTGCAGATGATAAAACCTGTCCTCTCACTTTCACTCATTAATTTCCCCAACTGCCTGGGCTTGGAAGCTGTAGCATCCACATTGACTCCGATTTCTCTTCCATCCCTTTCCTCACATTTTTAACCTATGTACTTGGTTTGATCTATAAATAGCGTGATTTTCATTTTTTTTTTTTTGAGGAAAAAAATCCTATCTTTCTTTCTTTTTTATTTATTTATTTATTTATTGAGATGGAGTCCTGCTCTGTCACCTAGGCTGGAGTGCAATGGCATGATCTCGGCTCACTGCAACCTCTGCCTCCTGGGTTTAAGGGATTCTCCTGCCTCAGCTTCCCGAGTAGCTGGGATTACAGGCACGTGCCACCATGCCCGGCTAATTTTTGTATTTTTAGTAGAGATGGGGTTTCACCATGTTGGCCAGGCTGGTCTCGAACTCCTGACCTCAGGTGATCCACCCACCTCAGCCTCCCAAAGTGCTGGGATTACAGGCGTGAGCCACCAAGCTGGGCCTCATCTATTTTTAGAGAGAGAGCTAAAGGGCTTTTGGAAATGGAGATATCTGCCATTGAGCGTAGGCAAGCACTGCAAATTTGAAACCAGGTCCCAGTAAAATGCATGGCTTATGAATATAATGGAACACAAACAGGTAATTTGAAGCTGTTCTCCTTTATTGATTTTGTTTCGTTTTGTTTTTTTGGAGACAGGGTCTCACTCTGTTGTCTAGGCTGGAGTGTAGTACCATGATCATAGCTCACGGCAGCCTTGAACTCTTGGGCTCAAGTGATCCTCCCACCTCAGCCTCCCAAGTAGCTGGGACTACAGGTGCATGCCACCATGCCCAGCTCATTTTAATTTTTTATTTTTTCATAGAGTTGGGGGTCTCACTATGTTGTCCAGGCTGGTCTTGAACTCCTGGCCTCAAGTGATCCTTCCACCTTGATCTCCCAATATGTTGAGATTGCAGGCATTGAGCCACCCCACCTGGCCCCTTCTGATTTTTTAAATAAAAAATAGTTGTGTTTTAATAGACCCTTTTACAACTTAAATCACACCTGTCAGATATTTATTTACATTCATAGCAATACACATATCCACAGCTAGATTAATTCCTTGCATTACCTCACCCTGCCTTTTTATGGTTGGGGGATATTTTGCTGCAAGAATCCTTCCAAACAGCACAAAGAAGTCACGTTAAATTCAGTATTTACATTTCTAACCACAGAGCTAACCAGAGAAGAGGAAGGACTAAAGCAAATATATTTGGTGGAGAGATTAGGGAAGAATCCCAAGTAAACAGAATTTCGAGGAAAAGGCAACCTGGTAGGCTACAAGATAGACTCATTTACAGATAATTTCCCATAGAGGAAATGACTTGAACCAAAAAAAGAGGAAGTGTGGTGAAGACAGTGACTGCTTCGACAAACATGCTGGTTATTTTTGGAGGGAATCTGGGTATCTTTCTACCTTCCTCAACCCTGCGGTTAGCACTACCAGCCAGTAGAAACATGAGTGTTGGTAGCACTAAGCAGGTTCAATTCATTCAAGGTGTCTCACATTCAAGGCAACTAAAGAAAATGTTTTGAATGTTTTCTTAACTGGGAAGCTCTGCTTAGTGTAAAGTGTGACAAGAGAAGGACCAAGATACAAAATTACTGATAACAAAGTCTAACAATAGAAAATTGTAATATACTGTACTTGGCTTACAAGGCTTACACACTTTTTTGTTTTGGAAGATCCAATGCTTTCTGATTAATTTTCCTTCCTTCCTTCCTTCCTCCCTCCCTCCCTCCCTTTCTTTCTTTCTTCCTTCCTTCCCTTCCTTCTTCCTTTTTTTTTTTTTTTTTTTTTTTTTTTTTTGAGACTAGGTCTCACTCTTTTGCTAAGGCTGGTCTTGAACTCCTGGGCTCAAGTGATACTCCTGCCTCGGCCTCCTAAAGTGCTGGGATTATAGGTGTGGGCCGCCGCACCCAGCCTGCAAGGCTTATACTTTTTTTTTTTTTTGGAGACAGAGTTTTGCTCTTGTCACCCAGGCTGGAGTGCAATGGCACAGTCTCAGCTCACGGCAACCTCCATGTCCTGGGTTTAAGCGATTCTCCTGCCTCAGCCTACTAAGTAGCTGGGATTACAGGTACGTGCCACCACACCTGGCTAATTTTTGTATTTTTAGTAGAGACGGGGTTTCACCATGTTGGCCCAGACTGGTCTCGAACTCCTGACCTCAGGTGATCCACCCGCCTTGGTCTCCCAAAGTACTGGGATTATAGGCATGCGAAGACTTATACTCTTAATATGCCTTAGAGAGATTCACATGAATATTGCATTTATAACAATATAAATTGGCTAACAACTGATCTATGTGTACCTATGTTTCAGCAGCAATTCTGAACCCATGAGACATACTGTACTTTGATTTTTGCTAAACTGAAGTTTTATGTATAATATTTCGTCTAAATTCATTCAGTTATCCAGATTCTTGCATATTTAGTATCAGCTCACTTCCCCTTTTCTTTCACTTTTGGAAAACACCCTAAAAATCCATTTGGTTCTTTTTGACCACGTTAAAAATGGTGAAAACATTTCCCTTTTTTTTGTCAGAAAAAAACAGCAGATGCACTTTTACACTCAGAGCTTAAAAAATGGCTTTGTTTTTAATGACTTTGGTATGTGCTAAATTTGGTCCTAGATGAGGAGCAAAGCCTTATTTTAAGAAAGCAGATTTTGAGTATCTCTATTTGTGAAAGTTTTCATAATGTCTTTCTGCACAGACCCAGTGCAGTCTGCTATTTTTGTTTAAATGTTTCTCTCCTCTTGTTCGTTGTAAACATGACTCAGTGAAGCCTTGTTTCTGTGAACAACATTTGAAAAGTATGCTATCTCAGTCAATATGAATATTTAAAAATTTGGTTCCACTTATATTTTATTAATTCGGAAGCCAGGAAAAAAAAAGGACATTAAAATCATAAACAGAAAAAATAGAGAAAGATGTCTTTCTAATGGAACCAGGAATAGTAGAGACACTTCTAATATAAAAATGTTGTCACTTCACAGTACTATAGAAATGTAATTTTAGTCATTTTCAGTAATTGTTTATGAACTTAAACCAGGTAGAAACCAAATGTGCCAAAATTCGAGGGATGAATTCTTGCATATTTAGTATCATTTGTCATATATATATTTGTCAAATATATGACAGTAGTCCTTCTTTGAGACGAATTTGTGGCACTAGGTTATACATCATCACAATACTTTTGACTAACAGAGAGAAAGGAGTCATTTAAATTATAAAATTTGAATTACAGAACACTTCATTATTAAGAGATAATTAGGTTTATCATTTAATAAGTATACAGTAGCTCATACTGATGACTATTACAGTGATGTCAAATATAGGGCTTCTATATGATAAGCACAGACCATATTAATTGTGTGCTTCTTATCAACTCAACATGGCTTAAGGTATCATTTTATGGAGCAAACTGTGCCTGGTTACAACATTCAGCCATTAGCCCTATTCCATATACCACATCATTAGCACTCTATTTTCAGATTGTCTGTCTTTTTTAAAACAAACAAACAAATAAACAAACAAAACCCTCTCTATGCTAAATTTGTAGCCCATTAAAAAATTCCCTGAGTTGTTTTTCTGAAATCAAAGTTGATATTAGGTTAATTCTCCCCTAGGCTACCTTTGCATACTTTATTTATTTTTAATTAATTTATTTATTTTTTTGAGACAGAGTCTCCCTCTGTCACCCAGGCTGGAGTGCAATGATGCGATCTTTGCTCACTGCAACCTCCGCCTCCTGGGATCAAGCGATTCTCCTGCCTCAGCCTCCCGAGTAGCTGGGATTACAGGCACGTGCCACCACACCTGGCTACTTTTTGTATTTTTAGTAGAGACGGGGTTTCGCCATGTTGGCCAGGCTGGTTTCAAATTCCTGACCTCGAATGATCAACCCGCCTCGGCCTCTCAAAGTGCTGGGATTACAGGCGTGAGTCACTGTGCCCAGCCTCCCTTGGCATACTTTAAAATAAGATGTATATCTGTCCTATTACATTTTACCTTGGATTTTTAATCTATCAGTCTCAGCTATTGAGATGATATTGAATCCTAGCAGTTTCTGAAGAAGTCAACATTTATTGATGCTCTCTTGGTATTTTACTTCTGTTGCGTAGTTTAATTCTCACAAAGCCTCTATGAGGTATTCTCATTTGGCCAACACTCTGAGAAGGAAATTGAAGCTCAGAGAAGGTCCAGCAGCTGGTGAGTAGGTGAGTGGACCCCTGTGTGGCACTTTTCAATATGTCAGCAGTTGCTTAGCATGTGGTCAGTCATAAACCTGATAAGGTGGTCTTTGTTTCCATTTAGAAGCTTGACAATGTGATCAAAATGGACAGGACTAAGGATAGACACTTTACAGGCTTCTGGGATCTCTCTGCAGGCTCGTATGGGGCCAAGAGCCCAGTTTAGCTGTTCTGTCAACTATGGAAGCTATTACCTCTCAGTGGAGGCTGCAGACCTCCTTTGGACCAAGGGGAGGTCACGAGAGATTCTGTTAGACATCTATCACAAATCACAGTACACAGGCTTCCCCTGTTTTATTTTAATTAATCAATGTATCTTGCACTCGTTCCTTTTCTCAGTGCTTACTTGCCATCTGTTATTTGTTAATTTTGAGGATTTGCTAGAGATCAAAATCAAAAGCAAAAGAATATTTTCTGGAATATATTCTTCTTCCCTTGAATGTTGTCACATTTGGTTGCTACCTGGTTTAATTTCATAAACAATTATGAAAATGGCTCAAATTACATTTCTGTAGTACTGTAGGATGTATTTCATGTTACTTTGAAGTTACATTTTTATATTAGAAGTGTCTGTGCTATTCCTGGTCCCATTAGAAAGATACCTTTGTCTATTCTTTTCTGTTTATGGTTTTAATGTCCAATTTTTTACTGGCTTCAGAGTTATTGCTCTGTAAACAAAGTCAAGGGGCTTTCCTCCTCACTTTTTCTTCATCGGAGATATTCAGAACAGAAATGAGTGTTAACTATACTGCTGGGAGCTGTGCTCATGGTACTTGGTCTTCCACAAGACTCTAGAATGTGAGACAAGTTTGACTTTCAAGGGCAGATTTATAGTTTTCATGTTCAATCTAAAATGTGTACTGGGTGATTTCTCTTTGAGCTTTCTTGTCATCTTAGTGCATATAAAAAGTACGTGAAACTAAACAGCAAATGGCAAGTGTTTTGGATTCCAAACTTCTGAGGGTTAAGTGAGTTCGCAGACTGCTCAGCGGCTGTGCCCTGCGTGGAGCTGCCACCGCAGTACCTGCGGGGCCATCTGGAGTCACTTAAAACGTCATAACCACTTATTCGCTCCCTCACTCAGCAGAGCTCTTCCTCAAATTCCTGACAGCACTTAGCTCGACCTAATGGACAGAATGTGATTCCCAGATGATGCTGATCATAAATCCAACCCACCCACCAGACATTAATGTCTGCAGTGGACCTGAAACCTACAAAGTGCTCATTCCAGAGTCTTACATTTTGAGATAGAGCAGGTGCCCCTGCTGGGAATTCGGACAACTTTGAGCAGATAGATGCACAGTTTTCTTTGATACATCCAGGTGTGGGTTATGGTAACCCTGCTCAACTAGGAAGGTTCACCATTGGAAGAACTAGGGGGCGGCTTGTCTAGAGCAAGGTTTTTATTTTTTTAGACAGTCTCATTCTGTCACCCAGGCTAGAGTGCAGTAGTGCCATCTCAATTAACAGCAACCTTTGCCCCCCAGGTTCGTGCCTCAGCCTCCCCAGTAGTTGGGATTACGGTGTGTGCCACCATGCCCGGCTAATATTTTTGTATTTTTAGTAGAGATGGGGTTTCGCCATGTTGGCCAGGTTGGTCTCAAACTCCTGACCTCATGTGATCTGCTCCCCTCGGCCTCCCAAGGTGCTGGGATTACAGGTATAAGCTACTGCCCCCAGCCTCCTCTTACTTTTGTGTCATCCACAAGAGTTCCTAGGAAGCCGTAACTAAGGAGAGGAGCTTGTACGTGCACAATGAATAGGGTATCAATTGCCCAACAATAAGAAAGCTATTCTCAGAGCCACTTGTCTGTTCACTTCACGTGTATTGAGCATCTACAATGAGTAAAGCTCTGCTCTAGACTCTGTAGGGAGCATTTCAAATAGACACGATGAGCTCCAAAGGCATCTGAAAGATGAGTTTAAGTTTCCCCTCTGGTTTAGAGGAGTTTTGGTGTCATGCGTTGTGTCTGGCAATGTACTGTTTCTCTCTTTCCCATCTTCTGGGTGGCAGTCTCTTCTCTGTCTTCAGCTTTTAGGATAAATAACACTTCCTTGAGAGGCCTGCCCTGAGAACCTTATTTAAAGAAGTCACCTCCTTCCTCCCTTCCCCCTCGATCACATCAGCTTGCTTATTTACTTCATAGCACGGATCACAATTTGCAATTAGATATTTGTTTCCTTGCGTGTGTATTTTCTGTCTCATACACTTGTTTATTATCTCCACAAGTTCAGATCCTCTCTTCATTTTTCATCGTGGCTGGCGTCATGTAAGTTTCTTGAAGGCTGGGATCATGGCTTAGATTTTGGATTTCTCAGAGGGCATAGCATAACTACTGGAAAATACAAATAGCTGATTGATGGTTGTTTGCTTTATTAATAAAGTCAAAGATCACAGATGTTGCTCAATGCCACACAGTTAAATTTTCATTAAAAAACAAAAATCAACAGATTGTACCTCTAGTTGTCTGTAGTTCACCACCACATCACTCTGTAAACACTTCTGACCAGTCCTGGGAAAACAGCTGAAAATGGAATTCCCATGCACAGTGGGTCAATAGAACTAACTTAGCATCTGACAAGCAGATAATTCCATTTTTACCATATGCCTTTCCCTCAGAGCCTTACGAATCAGCAAAACTATGTCCCCCGGTAGAAGCATAAACCCGTTTAAGTTGCTGGAAGTCAAATTGGAGGGTCATAGAAAAAGAGACCATTAGTTGTTCATGTGATAGAATCTTTTGTGCTTTGCTTACACACTTCTAGCAGTGTGGATCCCATGGCCTCTTTTGAACAACCCGGATCCTCATCTTGACTTAAACTCTGCTTCTCCATAACTTCTGTACACAAGTCTTGGTGCTCGTGTACCATGAGTTGGTGCCCCAAACAAGCCTAACCTTCCACACGAATCCTTCCCAAGGGCTACAGAGAAGCTTCTTGGGTCTCCAAGAGGTTTCTCTGCTGTAGGCTAGACATCCTCAAGTCTTTTCAAGATTTTTTTCATGGTCTTTAGTCACTATCCTCCTTGAAGTGAGCCCTAGTTTGTCAGTCTTCCCTGAAATATGGTGCCTACAACTATACGTACTGTTCGAGACGTGGCCTAGTGGGCATAGGCCAGATGTTTTGAAAGCTGTATTATTATTATTATTATTTTTGCGACAGCTTGTTTTGAAACTTGTTTTTTTTTTTTTTTTTTGGAGACGGTGTCTACTTCTATTGTCCAGGCTGGAGTGCAATGGCGCAATCATAGCTCACTGCAGCCTCAAATTCCTGGGCTCAAGCCATCCTCCCACCTTGGCCTCCCAAGTGCTGTGTTTCTGTTACGTAGATGAACACTGAGTGGGCTGTTCTTGCAGACACATTACACTGCAGATGCACGCTGACCTTTCAGATGAGGAAATCCCCTCACCACTCACCATGAGCAAAAGGAGATGATGGATCTTTTTTCCACTATCTTGCTCCACACCAAAAGTTAGTACTTTCATGGTACTGTGAACTTTAGAAGAAAAAACAATGCTATAAATCTAGAGTACCAGCTATTTGCAGCACCGTGTTCATTTCTGATCCTTATCAATGAGCATGCCGACTGATTTATATTTGTAGCCCAAGCATACTTTTTTTTGCATTCTTTTCTCTTAACATCTTTTGCATGCACTTTGATCCATCCACAGAATCTGTAAACTTAATTCCTTTTAATAGCAACATAACATTCCATTGTCTTAAAGTACCATCGTTTGCATAACCTTTTCCCAATTTTGGGCATTGGGTCATGTCCCATGTTTCCACTGTTATGAACGGTGTTACCATAAACAGCTTTGTGCCGTTTGCTTTCTTTTCTCTTCTGCATGTTTCCTTGGGGTATATTCCAAAAGCAAGATGATTGGGTCAAAGGATAGGAACAATTTTATAGCTCTTTTCATATATTGCCAGACTGATTTCGAGGGGATGGATACTTTTTGAGAGCACCAAATAAGACAATGCAGGCCTGCAGAAGTTGTAGTTTAACTGGAAAAGCTGGGCCTGTGTGTGGCATCAGATCCCTTCTAAGTGACCCTTTCTGAGTCTTCTACTGTTAGCTCCAGTTATCTCAATGGGTGGAGAAAACCAGCACCCTCAGTAAACCTCTCTAAAAATACCCAGAAATGCAACTTGCTTCCTTTTCATGAGAGGATTTTTATCTCTGAGATGGAGTTGCATGGCCTGACCTGGGTCCTAAGCCCAGATTTGCCACCTCCTTGCTGTGTGCCCTTAGGCAAGTTACCTAACCTCTCTGAGCCTGATTCCTTCCTTATCTGTAAATGAGGTTCGCTAGCACTGCACTGTTATTGTTACTTATGAGCCACCTAGTGTGTGGGGATTGACCACGTGTTTCTTCCTTCTCCTTTGTACAACCAGCATCCAGCTCTGTGCCGCCCCATGCTTAGGGGTAATAAATGTCTGTTGTGGACTGGACAGATTGTCTTTTTCCATGATCTTGCTTCAGTGTTTAGGAATTAGAAAAACAGAAAAGTTTCTGGGCCAGGAGCAGTGGCTCACACCTGTAATCCCAGCACTTTCGGATGCCAAGGCAGGAGGATCGCTTGAGCCCAGGAATTTGAGACCAGCATGGGCAACATAGCGAAACCATATCTCTACCAAAAAATTTTTTTTTAAATTAGCTGGGCATATTGGGGCTCACCTGTAGTCTCAGCTACCCAAGAGGCTTAGGCAGGAGGATCACTTGAGCCCAGCTGGTCGAGGCAGCAGTGAGCTATGATGAAAAGAAAAAGAAAAAGAAAAGAAAAGGAGAGGAGAGGAGAGGAAAGAAGAGAAGAGAGAAGAGGAGTTTCTGAACTTGCACATGCACTTGAGTGTTGGTAGGATGTGCCAGGTCCAAGCCTAATCTGTTGCTGCAGGAAGAGCAGCTCCAGTTTTCAAGACCTCCAAAGGGGCTGGGCGCGGTGGCTCACGCCTGTAATCCCAGCACTTTGGGAGGCCGAGGCGGGCGGATCATGAGGTCAGGAGATCGAGACCATCCTAGCTAACACGGTGAAACCCCGTCTCTACTAAAAATAGAAAACATTAGCCGGGCGCAGTGGCGGGCGCCTGTAGTTCCAGCTACTCGGGAGGCTGAGGCAGGAGAATGGCGTGAACCTGGGAGGTGGAGCTTGCAGTGAGCCGAGATCACACCACTGCACTCCAGCCTGGGCGACACAGGAAGACTCCATCTCAAAAAAAAAAAAAAAAGACCTCCAAAGCTATAAAAGGTTTGTAGAAGAGAGGGACTAGAAGCTTAGGGGGACAGATCAGAGAAAGTGGTTCCTTACAGAGAAAGCTGTTCCCAGAAGGCCCTGGGTCTCCAGGTCTCCAGGGATGTTTGCAACATCCTCTAAGAGGGCTTGGGAGGATGTGTTTAAGACCTGCCTGGCATCTCTCTGGTCTCCTTCCTGCTGCGGAAGAAGGATCTGGAGAAGTGAAACGATGTATGTGCAGGTGGTCCACAACTGCTAAGTAAAATTCCTTCTGCTCTGCAATGTTCCAGGCTAATGACGGCCACAGTTTCATACTACTTCTCTCATTGAGAAATGGCACCTAATGCTCCTGCTGTTGGAGCTGGGCTGTTCTTAGTGACTTCCTAGACCAGTCAAATGCTACAGAAGTGACATTCTAGAACCTCTGAGGAGAGGACATAAAGAAGCTTTGCAGCTTCTACCCAGGTCTCTTACAACACCTTTTCCGGGAGCCCTAGGCCACCAGTCTAGGCCACCTAGACTACCCTGAGACTGCCATGGCACAGAGGCCCTGGGAACGTGCTCTGGTCGGTGGTTCCAACTAGTCCCACTGAGGCTCTAGAGATGTGAGCGGAGCCATGCTGGATACTGCAGAGGAGGCAGTCGGCTTGTTGAACACCACTGCCTGACCCCAGCTGATACCATGCACAGCAGAAAAATGGTCTGATTGAACTCTGGAATTCCTGACTCACAAAGTCATGAGCTACAATGCTGTTGATTTAACCCACTAGGTTCTGGGCCATCGATTACGCAGCAAAAGATAACTAAACGCCAGGGCTACCTAGGCTGTGCAGAGCCTCTGCTGGGCTGCATTTCCGTCACTCAGCTCTGCTTAGCGGAACCAACACTGGGAATTGTGATTTCTCTTCTTATTGTTTGAAGTAAATATCAGAGGCCATGCAGAAGTCATTGACGTCAGTTATTCTATTGGACAGGATTCCCCAAATGTATTTTTGGACTAGAGTCTATTATTTATGATCCCTTGTTGAATTTTACAGTCAGATAGGGCAGGAAGAGCTGGCAGAGTTCCAGAATCCTAGCTAAATGGATTTTTCTGTCGTATTTAAAGAGGAAATGGCGATGCAAAAATCCCTAGAGCTTTTCCTGTTAAAGCGAGCTCTCCAGTTACGTGTGGGGTGACTCTGTTCTATGGGAGTTCTGTCCTGAGAGCTCAAATCCTAAAATTTGAGGATCTGTTTATAGGCAGTCAGTACACCTTCTTTTTTTTTGAGATGGAGTCTCATCCTGTCGCCCAGGCTGGAGTGCAATGGCGTGATCTTGGCTCACTGCAATCTCCGCCTTCCAGGTTCAAGTGATTCTCCTGCCTCAGACTCCCAAATAGCTGGGATTACAGGTGCCTGCCACCATGCCCAGCTAATTTTTGTATATTTTTGTAGAGACAGGTTTCACCATGTTGGCCAGGCTGGTCTCAAAATCCTGGCCTCAAATGATCCACCCACCTCTGCCTCCCAAAGTCCTGGGATTACAGGTGTGAGCCACTGCATGCAGCCTAGTACACCTTCTTGACAAATTTCATTACTCTTCAGGTAAGCAAGGAGATTGTATTTAAGTTTATTTGAATTTTAGTTAACTATTCCAGAAGGTTAAAAATGTGCCTTCCCTCGCTAATGTTTCCAGGTATCACCTGGTGACTATTATCAGGACCTCGACATACAAGAGAATCCAAAATGGTGAAATAACTGACTTACCAGTTTTCAGCTTTCTGTGTTATGACATGTCAATTATTAACTAGGAAACTAATCATTAAAGGCATTAACAAAATTGGTCTCGTTGGGTCACATTGCTCCTTACACAATGGGGCTGGTTAACATTTGGACTTTCGTCGCTTCCCTAGCGACCTTGTCTCTCTCTTCTGTGTATTTTTAAGGGAGTCCACTCTTTTATTCCCATTTACTTTCATGGATGTGCTAGTGACTGCTAGAGACATCAAAACTTGCCCGGGTACAGTGGCTCATGCCTGTAATTCTAGCACTTTGGGAGGCTGAGGTGGTAGAGTTGTTTGAAGCCAAGAGTTTGAGACCAGCCTGGGTAACAAAGCAAGACCCTGTCTCTACAAAAAATAAAAAAAATTATCTGGGTGTGGTGGCACGTGCCTGTAGTCCTAGCTTCTCAGAAGGCTGAAGCAGGAGCATCATTGAGCCCAGTGCTGCTGTAAGCCGTGATCATACCACTATACTCCATCCTGGGCAACACGAGGCTCTGTCTCAAAAAATAAAAAACAGGCCAGGCATGGTGGCTCACACCTGTAATCCCAGCACTTTGGAAGGTCGAGGCAGGCAGATTACCTGAGGTCGGGAGTTCGAGATCAGCCTGGCCAACATAATAAAACCCCATCTCTACTAAAAATATAAAAATTAGCTGGATGTGGTGGCATGTGCCTGTAGTCCCAGCTACTTGGGAGGCTGAGACAGGAGGATCACTTGAACCTGGGAGCCGGAAGTTGCAGTGAGCCGAGATCGTGCCACTGCACTCAAGCCTGGGTGACAGAGCAAGACTCTGTCTCAAAATAAATAAATAAATAAAAATAAATAAAAATAAAAAACAAACAAACAAAACCTAAAGCTTCATCTTCACCTCAACTCTTCCAAGAAGATTTTCAAACCTTAGTGCTTCTATATTGATTCATTTCTTCCTCTTCATTCATTTATTTTTTTCCCCACCCATGCATTTATTTACTCATTCCATAAGCATTGGTTTGATGTTTAAGATGTGCCAGATACAGTGCTAGGCATCTTGGGTACAAGATGAACACAAGGCTCCGCTTTACAGGGGCTCATTCTTCTCAGTAGCTCCTCAATAAACAGAAAGCGACCCCTCCCTGAGAGGCCGTGCTAGGAATCCGTGTTGGAGAAACAGAAGCTCTGAGTGAAAAATGAACACAAGTCTGGATGGTAACAACACAGGAAGGAACCGAGGGCTATCTGCCTCTGCATCCTGGCCACATCGCTCTGCTCCTTTTTCTCCCGCCTTGCTCTCACTGGTCCCTCCACTGCACTTAGTCACATATTGATTCAAAGTTCGATGCTTCCAATGTTTGTGCTGAAAAAGTCCTTCTCTGAATTCTACTACACCAGTGTCTCCTTGCTTCAAGGCCGTGCTTTTCGGAGGATCCTACTGCAGTCACAGAGCATTCTCTACTAACCAATTATGGAAAAGCAGCAACTGTATTCCAATAAAAACAAAAGATGGCTCAGGAGAAATTTTAGTCCACAAAAGATGCCACAGCCCCAATCAGAGGGCAAGATAAGGCCCACCCTTGCCTTTGAAGCCAATAAGTTGGTTGGCACTGAAAGCTTGCTCAGGGGTACCCTTGTGTAAGGAGGCTGGAGGTCCTGAAGCCCAAAACATGACTGCACTGTGAGCAGGCCTTGGAGACCTCGGGACAGAAGAATAGTCTGAAACCCAGCTGATTCAGTAGCATCAAGGGCATTACCATTAACTCCACCCCTCACCCAGCCTCTTATTTAATGATGATTCATCCTTTCTTTAGAGCATTTATTAGTCCTTTCTCACACTGCTATAAAGATACTACCTGAGTAATTTATAAAGAAAGGAGGTATATTAGTTCATTTTCATGCTGCTGATAAAGACATACCTGAAACTGGTAACAAGAAGAGGTTTAATTGGATTTACAGTTTCACATGGCTGGGGAGGTCTCAGAATCATGGTGGGAGGCAAAAGGCACTTCTTACATGGCGGTGGCCAGAGAAAAATGAGGAAGAAGCAAAAGTGGAAACCCCTGATTAACCCATCAGATCTTGTGAGACTTATTCACTATCACAAGAATAGCACAGGAAAGACTGGCCCCCATGATTCAATTACCTCCCCCTGGGTTCCTCCCACAACACGTGGGAATTCTGGGAGCTACAATTCAAGTTGAGATTTGGGTGGGGACACAGCCAAGCCATATCAGGAGGATTAATTGGCTCACAGTTCCACATGGCCGGGGAGGCCTCAGGAAACTTACCATCAGGGTGGAAGGCGAAGGGGAAGCAAGGTACATCTAACATGGCAGCAGGAGAGAGCAAGCACAAGGGAAAATGGCACTTTTAAACCATCAAATTTCATGAGATCTCTCTCACTATTAGGGAGAGAGCATGGGGGAAACCACCCCCATGATCCAATCACCTCCTGCTAAGTCCCTCCCTCAACACATGGGGATTACAATTCAAGGTGAGATTTGGGTGGGGACACAGAGCCAAATCATATCAGAGTCCCTTTTCCCTTTTCCATTCTAAGCAGAGACAAGGCCAATCAAGGCCAGGTTTCCCAAAGAAAGGGGAAAGCTTGACCCACAGCCAGGCAAACAGAGTGGGGCAATAATTGAAGCGATTCCCAGAAGCAGTTACTAAAGAAGTTTTACATAGCAAAGCATTTACCATGACTCACTTTCAAACTGTGGTTCAGCAGCTCAGGACACATGAAGTTATACACACTGCAGCCTGGCAGATGAGAAAGTTAAAGCACAGAGAAATAAAGTCCCTGAGTTTCAGAATAGAGGCTAGAGGTCCCATCGGTCAGACCTGCTGGACACTCAGCCTGGGTGTCTGGTCTGAGTGGACTCTGAACCTGGGCTCCCCCTCTGCCCAGGTCCTTGGCTCATCTCTTAAGAAGCACTCAAACTTCCTTTCATCATGGATTTCTGGTCCTAATTTTTTGAAATAAGAGTCAGGTGTTCCAATGGAAGCAGCATTGCTGGTCCAGTCTGTGCTGGTGTCGAACTGCTCTCTCGCCCAATCCCAACTGAAGCTTCCACTTGTTTTTCTATCTCTCTTTGTGATGATGGCTGCCAGCTGTCTAGGGCTCCTTCACAACCTGTTCTCTACCCGATGTCCTGGACCCCATCCTACCACTCCCCAGAGCACACAAATGACATCTTCCTGCAGTGGTAACTTGAATCATCACAAATTGGTCTGAATCAAGTTGATTAAGAAATATTGGACTTGTAGAGTGAAAACAGCCTGTGCCTATTAAAAATCATGTTTTCAGTGAGAAAAAAGCAGAGTGTAAAATTGTACAACAGAACATAGACTTAAGAGATGACTTCGAAGAAATAACAATCTTTAATGGGTATGTTCCTAACAACAGTGTCAAAATGAAGCAAAACTGATAGAATTGCAAGGAGAAATAGATAAATTCACTATTATAGCTGGAGATTTCAAAACCCCTCTATTAGAAATGAACAGATCCAGCAGACATGAAAATAGTAAGGGCCCAGTTGAAGCGAACACCACCATCAATCATCTGAATATAATTGACATTGATAGACAGCAGAATACACATTCTTCTCAAGTTCATGTGGACCATTCACCAAGATAGATCACATTTTGAGTCATAGAACTCACCTTAAAAATTTAAAAGACTGCAAATCATACACTGCCCTCAGACCACAATGGAATTAAAACGGAAACTAATAACAGAAATATAGCTGGAAAATCCCAAAATACTTTGAGATTAAGCAGCACCCCTCTAAATAACATATAATTCAAAAAAGATATTTCAAGAGACATTTTAAAATATTTTGAACTAAGTAAAAATGAAAATACAGCTTATTAAAATATGTGAGATACAGCAAAGTCAGTTCTCAGAGGAAATGTTATAGCATTAAATGCATATATTAAGAAAGAAGAAAGATTAAAAATAAACGATCTAAACTTTCACCTTACAAAATTAGAAAAAAAAGTGGAAATTAAATACAAAGTAAGCAGAGAAAGGAAATAAAAATTGGGACAGAAATCCAGGAAATTGAAAATAGGAAATTAATAGAGAAAATCAACAAAACCGAAAGCTGATTCTTTGACACGATTGGTAAAATTAATATGCCTCTAACTAGGCTTAAAAAAAAAAAGAGAAAAGATACAAATTACTAATCTCAGCAAAGAAAGAGAGGACATCATTAGAGATCCCACAGACATTAAAAGTATAACAAAGGAATACTATGATCAACTCTATGCCCATAAATTTGATAGCATAGTTGAAATGAACCAATTCCTTGAAATTCGCAATCTGCCAAAACTTACACAAAAAGAAATAGACAATTTGAACAGGTTTAAATCTATTACATAAATTGAGTTCATAACTAAAAACCTTTCAAAACAGAAATCACCAGGCCCAAATGGGTTCACTGGTGAATTCTATCAAATATTTAAGGGAGAAATTATACCAATTCTCTACAACCTCATCCAGAAGATAAAACCCTAAGGAATGCTTCCTAACTTATTATACGAAGTCAGCATTTCCCTCCTACCAAAACCAGAGAAAGACATTACAAGAAAAGAAAACTATTAACTAATATCCCTCATGAATGTAGACGTAAAAATCCTCAACAAAATATTAGCAAGTGGAATCTAACAATGTATAAAAAGAATTATACACTACAACCAAGTGGGATTTATCCCAGCTATGCAAGGCTGGTTCAACATTTGAAAATCAATGAATATAATCCATCATATCAACAGGCTAAAGAGGCAAATCCATGATCATATCAATAGATATATACATATATATCTATATATATAGATAGATATCTATACATATATATCTATAGATAGATATATATCTATATATATAGATAGATATCTATCTATAGATAGACATCTATATCTATCTATAGATATATAGATAGATATATATAGATCATATCAATAGATATACAGAAAAAGCATTTGACAAAATCCAACACCCATTCATGATAAAAACTTTCAGCAAACAAAGAATAGAAAGGGAACTTTCTCAACTTGATAATGGATATGTATAAAGAACCTACAGCTAATATCATATTCAATGATGAGAAACTAAAAGCTTTCCTACTAAGATCAGGAAGAAGGAAAGAATATCTCACCACTCCTTTTCAATACTGTACTGGAAGTACTAGTGTCATAAGACAAGAGAGGGAAATAAAAGGTATACTGACTGAAAACAAAGAAATAAAATTGTCTTTGTGTGCAGATAATAAGATCATTGATACAGAAAATCCAAAAGAGTTGACAAAGAAACTCCTGGAACTGATAAGTAACTATAGCAAGGTTGAAGGATACAACATCAATATACAAAACTAAATCACTTTCCTATATACCAGCAATGAACAAGTGGAATTTGAAATTGAAAAGATAATTCCATTTACATTAGCACCATATTTATATTCAGGTATAAATCTAACAAAATATATAATATATAATATATATTATATATTTCCCATATATGTTTTTTGTTTTTTATAGATAGATAGATAGATAGATATAGATATGGGAAAACCACAAAACTCTGATAGAAAGTCTCAATATTGTCAAGATGTCAGTGCTTCCCAACTTGATCCATAGATTCAATGCAATCCCAGTAAAAATTCCAGCAGGTTATTTTGTGGATATTGAAAAACTGATTCTAAAGTATATATGGAGAGGGAAAAGACCCAGAATAACCAACATGCTATTGATGGAGAAGAACAAATTTAGACACTGAGACTACCCAATTTCAAGACTTACTATAAAGATAATATAATCAAGGCTGTGTGGTGTTGCTGAAAAATAGACAAACGGAGCAATGGAGCAGAATAGAGGGACCAGAAATAGATCACATAACTATGATCAACTGATCTTTGACAAAGGAGCAAAATAGTCTTTTCGACAAATGGTGCTGGAACAACTGGACATTCACATGCAAAAAAAAAATGAATCTAAACATAGACAATACATCCTTTGCAACAATTAACTCAAAATGGATCATAGACATAAATGTAAAACACAAAACTGCAAAACTCCTAGAAAGTAAGAGGGGAAAATCTAGATGACCTTGCGTTTGGCAATGACTTCTTAGATAAAACATCAAACACATGATCCATCAAAGAAAGAATTGATATGTTGAATATCATTAAAATTAAAAATTTCTGCTCTGTGAAAGCCACTGTCAAGAGATTGAGAAGAAAAGCCACAGACTGGGAGAAAAGATTTGCAAAAGGCATATATGATAAAGGACTGTTATCGAAAGTACACAAAAAACTCTTTAAACTGAACAATAAGAAAACAACCCAATTTAAAAAATGGGCCAAAGACCTTAACAGACACCTCACCAAAGACATACAGATGGAAAATAAGCATATGAAAATATGCTCCATGCCATATGTCACCAGGAAAAAGTAAATTAGAACAGCAATCAGATAGCACTACACACCTGTTAGAATGGCCAAAATCCAGAACACTGACAACTCTAAATGCTGGTGAGGATGTGGGGCACTAGGAACTGTCATTCATTGCTGGAGGCAAATGCAAAATGGTATAGCCACTTTGGAAGACATTGTGGCAGTCCCTCACAAAACTAGACATACTCTTACCATACCACTCAGGAACTGCACTCCTTGGTATTTACCCAAATGAGCTGAAAATTTATGTCCACACAAAAACCTGTACATGTATGTTCATAGCAGCTTTACTCATAATTGCTAAAACTTGGAAGCAGCCAAGTTGTCCTTCAGTAGGTAAATGGATAAACTGTGATGCATCCAGACAATGGAATATTATTCAGTGCTAAAAAGAAATGAGCTATCAAGTTATGAAAAGACATGGAGGAAACTTAAATCCATTTCAGAAGCCAATCTGTAAAGGCTACATACTATATGATTCCAACTATATGACACTTGGAAAAGGCAAATCTGTGGCAACAGTAAAAAGTTCAGTGGTTGCCAGCAGTCTGGGAGGAGGAAAGGACGAATAGACAGAGCATAGAGGATTTAGGGCAGTGAAACTTCTTGGTTTGTTACCATGTTGGTGGATATGTATCATTATACATTTGTGCAAATCTATAAAATGCACAACACCAGGAGTAAACCGTAACGCAACTATAGACTTTTGGTGATATGACGTGTCAATGCAAGTTCATTCATGTCATTGTGATATGACGTGTCAATGTAAGTTCATTCCCTCTGGTTTGGGAATGTTGATGATGGGGGAAGTTATGTATGTACATGGGGAATGGATGTATGAGAATTCTCAGTAGCTTCCATACAATTTGCTGTGAACCTAAAGCTGCTCTAAAAAATAAAGCTATTTAAAACAAACAGGCTGCGCCACGGTGGCTCATGCCTGTAATCCCAGCACTTAGGAGCCTGAGGCAGGCAGATCGTTTGAGCCCAGGATTTTGAGACCACGCAGGCAACATGGCTAAACCCTGTCTCTACCAAAAATACAAAAATTAGCCGGGCATGGTGGCACACACCTGTAGTCCCAGCTACTCGGAGGCTGAGGTGGGAGGATCACTTGATCCCAGGAGGCGGAGGTTGCGGTGAGCTGAGATTACACCACTGCACTCCAGCCTGGGTGACAGAGTGAGACAATAAAATAAGTAAATCAATCAAATAACCAAAGCAACAGCAAAAAGGAGGTGATCTGCATTCACGGATTCAACCAACCTCCGATCAAAAATATTCAGAAAAACAATTACGTTTGTACTGAACATGGACAGATTTTTTACTTGTCATAATATCCTAAATAATATAGTATAGCAACTATTTACATGGTATTTACATTGTATTAGACAATAGGAATAATCTAGAGATGATCTGAAGTATGCAGGAGGATGTATACAGTTTATATGGAAATACTGCACCAATTTATACGAGGGACTTCAGAATCTGTATTTTGGTATCCATGGGGGTCCTGGAACCAATCCTCTGCAGAGAATGAGGACAACTGTACTAAAATATTAATGGTTGCTATTTCTAGATGGTGGAATTATAGGTGGCTTTAATTTTATATTTTATGTTGTCATTTCTAAATTTTTTATAAAGAACATATATTACTTAGACATTTGGAACAACAACAACAACATCATTTATTTTTAAATAAAAGGAAATAAAAGAGCACAGACTTTGGGCTCAGAACTGAATTCAGTCCAGGCTCTACCTCTTACTAACACTGTGACCAGGCTAGGGACTTAGCCTTGAAAATCTCAGTTTTTGCATCTATAAAATGAGGAAAATAAAACCTACTCCACAGTGGGTTTTGTGGCATGAAGATAAAATTATACAAGGAGTATGAACGTGAAGGGCTCAGTGCAGATTGGTTTCTGAGCACTTAATCACATTTGGGTGCGTCTTGGTTCCCAGGAGACTTTGCCAGGCACACACAAGGCCTTTTTTTCATCCTTCTCCCTTTATCATCCTTCTGCTGAAACAACCAACCAGGCCTAGGTGGCCCATTTTTCACCTCCACCAAGCTCCTTTATTTTGGAGAAGAGAATGGAGCTCTAGAAAGGAAGCTGTAGGCCAGACACAGTGGCTCAGGCCTGTAATCTCAGCACTTTGGGAGGCCGAGGCCGGAAGATCATTTGGGGTCAGGAGTTCGAGACCAGCCTGACCAACATGGTGAAACCCCGTCTCTACCAAAAATACAAAATTAGCCAGGTGTGGTGGCACATACCTGTAGTCCCAGCTACTTGGGAAGCTGAGGCAGGAGAATCGCTTGAACCTGGGAGGCAGAGGTTGCAGTGAGCGGAGATTGCACCATTGCACTCCAGCCTGGGTGACAGAGAGAGACTCTCAAAAAAAAAAAAAAAAAGAATGGAGGCTGTAGTGTAGCAAATGCTTCTCCTGTGAAGCCCCCAGAACATGCCAGGCTCTGAAGTGGGCTGGTGTTTGTGGCTTTTCTCCCTCTGCTCTTCTTCGAGTCTGTTTCTATGTATCCTGTCCCTAGAGAGAAGCCAAGGGCACATGTCACCAGAAAATAGCTGCAAGGCCAGAGTCTTACACAAGGATTTGGATACGGAACAGGCTTGGACAGACAAGGAGGGGACTGTTGCAGACATGGGGCAGCGAGCAAGGACGCCCAGAGCCACAGGGAGGATAGGAACAAAGGACTGAGTCTCACAACAAGCCAGGCTAAGTCAAGCAGAACTGGAGGAGTCAGGAGGGGAAAACAGTCGGGCCCCTCCAGCTAAGAGTGAGATGTGGAGTGTGAGAGGAAGGTGAATGGAATGGAACAAAGGGGTTTTGCTGCTGCTTTAAAAATTCCTGTTAAATTTTATTTTAGATTCAGGAGGTACATGTGCATGTTTGTTACATGGGAACATTGCATACTGGTGGGACTGGGATTCCAGGGCACCCATTAGGACTTTGCTTCTTATACACAGTTTTTACTCTGAGCTATTTTGAACGTGGTGGAACAAAGCCTGTTTGGAAATGATTTTTCTCTGAGGCCAGGGCAGGATGGAGGGATGGGGGAGGCGTTTGGGGTGGGAGTGATGGCTCACAGCTCAGAGAGCACTCCAACTTGGAAATAAGTGGAGGCAGAAGGTCAGGGATGATTCCTTGGAAGTCCAAAGAGCTGCTTGCCTCCTGAGGGGAATTAACATGAGGAACACAGAGAACTCTTGAGGCTACAATGGTCCTTTCGTAATGCTGAAATAGATCAGTCGCTGCCAGGTTTCTAAAGGAAGATCCTTTTCATCCAAATTTTAATTATAGAGGCCGGATGCAGTGGCTCACACCTGTAATCCCAGCACTTTGGGAGGCCGAGGCGGGCAGATCACCTGAGGTCTGGAGATAGAGACCATCCTGGCCAACATGGTGAAACACCGTCTCTACTAAAAATACAAAAATTAGCTGGGTGTGGCGGTGCGCGCCTGTAGTCCCAGCTACTCAGGAGGCTGAGGCATAAGAATCTCTTGAACCTGGGAGGCGGCAGAGGTTGCAGTGAGCCTAGATTGGGCCACTACACTCCAGCCTGGGCAAGAGAGGGAGAGTCTGTCTCAAAAAATAAAATAAAATAAAATAAAATAAAATAAAATAAAATAAAATAAAATAAAATAAAGGGAAATTTGGACACAGAGACAGACATGGACAGAGGTAAGACCATGTGATGACACAGAAGGACACCTGTCCTCTACAAGCCAAAGAAAGCCTGAGGCTGCCAGGAGCTAGGAGAGAGACAGGGGACTGATTCTCCCTCATACCCTCAGGAGGAGCAAACCTGCCGAAACCTTGATTTTGGACTGCTGTGACACAATAAATGTCTGTTGTTTAAGCCACCTTGTTTGTGGTACTTTGTCACAGCAGCTCCAGGCAACCAACATACCTTCCTTGACCAGCATTATTGAAATCGTATGCGCTGTTTCCCTTCTCTTTTCCAGAGTACTTATTACCGCTAAACACGCTGTATATTAGACGATTTCTACAGTGTCCCACGCACTTGTTTGCAGTCTGGCTCCATGCACGGGAATGTAAGCACCATCAAAGTAGAGAAGTTTGTACATTTCCTTCCTGTATTCTCGGCTGCTAGATTTAGTACTGCCTTTGCATCCAGTCAAGCTTTAGGGGCCGTCTCTGGCCCTCACCTGCTGCTGCCCCATCTCTCTAGCTGAGAACTTTCTGTGGCCAAGTGGATGTACCACAGGAGCCCCACTCCCCACCCTGGACGACGTTCCAGGAACTCACTCCTTGCACTTACTTGCACAAATGGCCCCAAGCCAACCTCAGGGTCTCACGGGCCACTTCCTCAGGTCTACCCCCCTCTTAGCCTTTAGCCAAGGAGTATGGACAGAGCTTAGGTTGGTTGGCTGGGGTGTCCACACAGTTTGCACAAGGCCCCTCCTGGTATGAGATAAAGCAGAGGGCGGGATTGGGGGAGATGTGAAGGAGAATGCGCCGCGGGTCAGGGTCTCCATTTGTCCTCTTCCTCCATGACCACAAAAACTAGGGGATTATGGGTGGGCCTGACTCGTAGGATACCTGGCACATGGTGAACAACATGGACAAATAATCAAATACTCACATGTGTAAACACACAACTGCAAGCTGAGGCAGGGCCCGGTGGCATGCCTATAATCCCAGCACTTTGGGAGGTCAAGGCAGGTGGATTGCTTGAGCCCAGGAGTTTCAGACCAGCCTAGGCAACATAGGGAGGCCCCACCTCTACAAAATATAGAAAAATTAGCCAGGCATGGTGATACATGTCTGTAGTCCCAGCTACTCAGGAGGCTGAGGTGGGAGGATCACCTGAGCCCAGGAGGCTGAGGCTGCAGTGAGCTGTGATTGCACCACTGCACTCCAGCCTGAGTGACAGAGTAAAAAGACCCTGTCTCAAATAAATAAATAAATAAATAATAAATTGCAAGCTGGATGCTGTGGCTCGCATCTGTAATCCAGCTACCAGGGAGATTGAGGCAGAAGAATTGCTTGAGGCCCGGAGTTTGTGACCAGCCTGGGCAACATGGTAAGATTCTATCTCTAAAATAAATAAATAAATATATATATACATATATCAAAATAAAAAAATGGAGAATATGACAAATGCTGTAAAGGAGAGGCAAATGGTAGCATGTAAGTCCATAAAATTTGGTTTAAAAAATTCTTATATTATTCTATAATTGTTTTATGTGTATGGGTCTTGTTACTTAACAAAATGCTAAACTCCTTTTAATTGATCCAGTTCTAAGAATTGGATCTTAGAACTGAACTTAGAGTTGAATCTCCGTTGCGCTTGAGCAGCCAACAGATTCTCCAAAACTGCCTGCTGGGCTTGGGGGAAATAGTCTCTTCCATCTTTGTAATCTAAACCTTTCTCATTAAATATCCTAAAGTATAAAGAATGATTGTTCAAGTTCTGATTGAGTGTTTCCAATGGGTGGAAAAATCAGAGCTGAAGATAGATTTCCTGGTGTTATTTTGTGAGTCAGGTTGTAAATCTAAGTTCAGCCATCCCTACTCACTCCTACATCTTTTCCTGGAACTACCTCCTAGTTCAGTTCAGCAGCAGCATGGAGGAGGGTGTGAACCTGGCTTCAGAAAGTGGGTTGGGATCCGAGCCCTCTCGGATAAATGATTGGAGTATGGGTACCCTACACTCAGGGCGATCTAGCAAAGGATACTTGTTCTGTCTCATCTTAGTGTTCACTGAATTCTTTCTTCTTACATCCATATTTTTATGGCGCTTGTTACCTCCCAACATGGTACATATTTATTTGTATTGTCTGCCTCCTCTGACTAGAGTGTAAACATCCTGAGAGCAAGAACTTGTTTTGTTTCTAGAAACATTTTTACTGAAGTAAAGCAAAGATGCAGTGACTGCACAAATCATAAGTGAATGGCTTGATGCAGGTTTGCAATGTAAACACACCCATAGAATCAGCACCTGGTGATATGGAGTGAGACATTACCAGCCCCGCAGAGGCCCTTTCATGCCGCCCACCCGCAGCGGTGACTTTGCTTTGTGCATTGCTGTATTCCAGCACCTTCTTCAGAATCTGGCATACGATAGGTGTTTAATACTTCTTGTATAACTCCAACATTTTTTTATGCATACTTATTAGGTGCCCCGTCTGTGACAGGCACTGTTCAAAGTGCTGAATACACAAAGAGAAAGAAGATACTTTTTTTTTTTCTGTAAAGACTTCCTGGTTAGGGGAACTTCTGAGTTTGAGGACCCTCACAAGGCAATTGGGAAAACATGGACCTGGACCCCTGTGGAAAACGGGCAACTTTGAGTGACATTTGCAGCTGGAGAGAAGGAAGGAATGTACCCTGTGGCTCTGGAGAATTTCTCTGGGGTCTCAAGGTTGGGTATATGGTCAACTCTCTTGATGTAGGTGTTGTTGCAATATGGTTAATACTGACTTATCACATCTCATATTAAAAGTATTATACTTTTTGTGGTGGAGTTCTTTTTTTTTTTTGAGACAGGGTCTCACTCTGTTGCCCAGGCTGGAGTGCAGAGACACGATCACAGCTCACTGCAGCCTTGATCTCTTGATCTCCTGGGCTCAAGCGATTCTCCCACCTCAGTCTCCTGATTAGCTGGGTCTACAGGCATGTGCCTGCATGCCTAGCTAATTTTTAATTTTTTTTTTGCAGAGACCTGATCTCCCTATGTTGCCCAGGCTGGTCTTTAAGCTCTTCTATTAAGAACTTCAGCCCAAGAACTGGAGTTCTTAATAGAATCATTGAATGTTAAAAGCTGAAATGGGCCGGCACGGTGGCTCAAGCCTGTAATCTCAGCACTTCAGGAGGCCAAGTGGGGCAGATCACCTGAGGGTACAAGTTCGAGACCAGCATGGCCAACATGGTGAAACCCCTATCTCTACTAAAAATTAAAAATTAGCCAGACATGGTGGTACACGCCTGTAGTCCCAGTACTCTGGAGGCTGAGGCAGGAGAATCACTTGAATCTGGGAGGTGGAGGTTGCAGTGACCCAAGATCATGCCATTGCACTCTAGCCTGGATGACAGAGCAGAACTCTGTCTCAAAAAAAAAAAAAAAAAAGCTGAAAGGAGTCATTATTAATCATAATGTCTACACCCCAATTAAATTAGTTAGGATTCTTTTGGTTGCAAGTAACAAAAATCCAACCCAACCACCTCACACAATAAAGGAAAAAAATTACTGGCTCATATAACTGAGAAGTTCAGATATATGTTTCTCAATAATCTCGACACAATGATCCAGTTTACTTTCATATCTTTGTCTGCTTTCCAAGCTGCCTGTTGTATCTTAAGGTTGGCTTCTTTGTGGTCACAAGAAGACTGACAGCAACTTTGGGCTTTTTTTTTTTTTTTTTTTTTTGAGACAGAGTCTCCCTCTGTCACCCAGGCTGGAGTGCAGTGGCACGATCTCGGCTCACTGCAACCTCCTCCTCCTGGGTCCAAGCAATTCTCCTGCCTCAGCTTCCTGAGTAGCTGAGACTACAGGCATGCACCACTACATCTGGCTAATTTTTGTATTTTTAGTAGAAGTGGGGTTTCGCCACATTGGCCAGGCTGGTCTTGAACTCCTGACCTCAGGTGATCCACAGGCCTTGGCCTTTCAAAGTGCTAGGATTACAGGCGTGAGCCACTGTGCCCGGCCAACTTAGGCTTCTTTATTCATATCAGGGTAGAAAAGAGCATCTCTGTCCATAGCATCCACAGACGAATAACAAAGTTTCTTTCCTTGAAATCTCCAGCAAGCATCATCACATCTTGCATTTCATTGGCTTGGAGCAGGGAACCTGCTCATCTTTGACCCAATCCCTGGGGCCAGGAGGATGATAGAATGTCATAATTGGTCTAAGCCAAACAGGATTTGCCCCTGGAGCCAGAAGTAAGTTCAGGTTTTCCCCAAAAGGTACAGATTGCATGGGCAAGGAATAGATAACCAATAAAAATTTGGATTCTGACATTGAGAAGTAGGAAGAACAAACACTGGCAAGATGAAAAGAACAAGCATCTGCTACACTTGAGTTCATCCCATCTTTAGAGGCAGAGTCACATCTAGCATTAATATGTGCACTCCATGCAGTCCCTTATTAATTATTGCCTGTGATAGGCAAGTCATTGTGCTAGGTACTGTGGTAAAATAACACCCCAGATCCCAAGAAGCCAGAAGTTGAGTATGAGATGGAAGGCACACACAAATAGCTAGAGTGAAAGACAGTGTATAGGCCAGGTGCAATGGCTCACACCTGTAATCCCAGCACTTTGGGAGGCTGGAGCAGGTGGATCAATTGAGGTCAGGAGTTTGAGAACAGCCTGGCCAACATGGTGAAACCCTGTCTCTACTAAATACTAAAAATGCAAAAATTACCCAGGCGTGGTGGTGCAGGCCTGTAATCCCAGCTACTTGGGAGGCTGAGGCAGGAGAATCGCTTGAACCCCAGAGGCAGAGGGTGCAGTGAGCCGAGATCGCGCCACTGCACTCCAGCCTGGGCGATAGAGTCAGACTCTGTCTCAAAAAAAAAAAAAGAAAAAAAAAGAAAAAAAGAAAGTGTATAATACACACTATCAAAGAGAAGGACATGGAGTGCTTTTTCCTGCAGAAATACCTCCCCATGTGGACACATGTGTTTCCTTTCCTAACAGAGTTGCATGGCACTTTTGTTCTGTGTTCTGAGAGTCCTCTTCTCATGCACAGTGGGTTTCATAGAAACAACATGTTGTACAATCTTTCCTTAAAGTTAACATGCAAGATGAACTACTATGGAGAAAATGCAAATCTCTTATGTAGAATACTCTTACCACATTCTTCAGAAAAACTAAAGATTTAGTTGAGTGGTGTATTATTCAAGCTTGAGCTTTAAATTGTGCCCTTGAGCCTCCAGGAAATATTTCTGAAATATTTTTCCCTATATGGCATAATGTCTATTGAAAACCTTCCTTCCTTAGTCCTAAAATAGTTTTCTTTTTTCACATTTCCCTGCTCAACACCAAAGAAGGGGCATAATTCTTTTGTTCTGAATTTAATGGGTTCTGCCTTTTAAAATGCCCAGCCTAGGCCAGGCACAGTGGCTCATGCCTGTAACCCCAGCACTCTAGGAGGCCGAGGCAGAAGATTTTTTTTTTTTTTTCTTGAGATGGAGTCTTGCTCTGTCGCCGAGGCTGGAGTGCAGTGGCGCAATCTCCACTCACTGCAACCTCTGCCATCCAGGTTCAAGCAATTCTCCTGCCTCAGCCTCCTGAGTAGCTGGGATTATAGGCACCCACCACCACACCCGGCTAATTTTTGTATTTTTAGTAGAGACAAGGCTTCACCATGTTGGTTAGGCTGGTCTCGAACTCCTGACCTTGTGATCCACACCCCACTTGGCCTCCCAAAGTGCTGGGATTACAGGTGTGAGCCACCGTGCCCGGCGATCTCTTGAGGCTAGGACTTCGAGACCAGCCTGAACAACATAGTGAGATGCCGTCTCTACTTTAAAAAATAATAAATAAATAAAAATTAAAAAATCAAAATGCCTGGCCTAATGCCTACTGCACAATAGGTATTTGGTAAATGCTAGCTGAACTTGAATCTGTAGCTGCAAATGATTATCATGACTGTCTTCTCTTTGAGATATTCTACTTAAGCAACATCTCATTTCAAAGTCTTCCTGGCTAAATATTTCATTCCCCTGTGCTATTTAAATGAAAGTTCCCATCTCCTCATTGAGTTCATTCTCTTGGGTACCTAATATTACCATCATCATCAAGGGTTGCAAGTTCCAGTAGCTACAGGGGCCAAACAGGTAAACAAATGAGTAAGTAAAGCAGATATGCTCAGCTTTCCGGGGGCAGTCTCAAACCAATCGTGACATCATATTCATTAATTTTTTTTTCATCTCCACCAAACAGAGACAATTCAACACAAGTTAACCATGAGAAATGATTAACTTGCTCAAAATCCTATGGAAAGACAGGGAAGGGCATTTGAACACCAAGAGCAAAAACAATCAAATTCTCCATCTTCTCCTTACCAACTCTCTTGCCTATCTGCCTTCTTTTTCCCACACAGCCTCGATATATGTCTTAGTCTGTTTTGTGTTGCTATGATAGAATACCACAGACTGGGTAATTTATTAATATAAACAAAATAAATTTATTCCTCATAGTTCTGGAGGCAGGGAAGTCCAAGATCAAGGTGCTGACAGGTCTGGTGTCTGCTGAGGGCTGCTCTCTCCTTTCAAGATGGTGTGTTGATGCTGCATCCTCTGGAGGGAGGAATGCTGTGTCCTCACTTAGCAGAAGGCAGAAGAGCAAGAAGGATGAGCTCCCTCTGTCAAGCCCTTTTATTAGGGCACCTAACCCCATTCAAGAAGACAGAGCCCTCATGATTCCATCACATTCCAAAGGCCACACCTCCTGATACTGTTACCTTGAGGATTAAGTTCCAACATGAATTTTGGAAGGAATAAAAACACTTAAACCCCAGAAATATGGATGTAGCCAATTCAAAAACAAAACAAGGATAGAACCTGCTTTTGCAAGGTGCAAGTGCCCCTCTTTCTTGAGGCAAATTCCACTCATGAGGAATAAAGTGTGAACGGGCCATATATCTACCATGATGGGGGCCAGAGACTGTGGGGGAAAGTCTACTATAGGTAGGTCACCCACCAGATGCTTCCTCTTTCCAGGTGTGGAATTTATACGTGGAGGGAGCCCTTTTGGTGCAGGATGGGAGAAGTATTTTAAAGACCTCAGAATGAAAAATCTGGCCACCTGCAAGGTTGTTTTTTTAGAATTATTTGCCTCAAGACAGTTACAAACCTCTAGTCTTCCAAAGATCACTAAACACTTGATTGATGCAGAGTGGGTAGCTTTGCCTCCCAGCAGAGGATGCAGTGTTAATTTCCCAGAGAGAGGTTAAACTGGCTGAAGTGTTCACCCTATGTGTCCAGATGACTTCTTCATGGTAAGTCAGGTTTTTCAGAGCTACCCTTTGCTGAAGAGTATTTAAAAATTATGACAAGGCTGGTGCAGTGGCTCACGCCTGTAATCCCAGCAGTTTGGGAGGCCAAGGAGAGTGGATCACCTGAGATCAGGAGTTTGAGACCAGCCTGGCCAACATGGTGTAACCCCATCTCTACTAAAAATACAAAAATTAGCCAGGTGTGGTGGTGCACACCTGTAATCCCAGCTACTTGAGAGGCTGAGACAGGAGAATTGCTTAAACCTAGGAGGCGGAGGCTGCAGTGAGCCAAGATCCTGCCACTGCACTCCAGTCTGGATGACAGAGAAAGACTCCGTCTCAAAAAAATAATAATAAAAATAATAAAAATAATGACAACAAATTTTTTAAATCTTCATAAAATTACTGATCAATTTTTAAAAAAATATCAGGTTAAAAGTTAAGAAAATGCAAAAAATCCAGAGGCCAGCAGAGCACTCTGAACTACTTTTGTCCTGACAGTGTTTGCCAAATTGGTCTGAGAAACAGAGCAGTGGTTTTCACAGACCCTCAGTGTGAGAAGGGCAGAAGCTAACATGCAGTTCCCTCTGAAGACAAAGATTTAATGGAAGCCTCTGCATGAAAAGAGACTCTCAAAGGTGAAACCACCTTCCTGCTTCTACCCTTGAGATGTTTGGGTCAATTTAACTCGGCCAGAAGGAGCAAGGGATAAATATAAAATCCATGGGAAGTTGTAATTACAGTTCCTCCCACGAATTCACAAGATGTGGGTAGTCTAAGGAACCTTAAACCCTGAATGAAGCTTAGAGTAGTACCAGACAGAAAGGTACCTCTGTACCTAAAAGAGGCATACACAAATTCTCCTGGAAGAAGGGCACCTTCATCTTAGGCCACAGAGCATCTCCCCAGATCATTTTCTAAGGCCAATAGCAGCACATAATTAAAGATATCCAGGCCCACAAGGAAACCAACAGAAACAAAAAAGAGCCAAAAAAATTCATGTAGACTTTATATTATTGAATGAGCAGTTATAAATTATAAAACATCTTTGCTGACTGTGTCAAATATTTTTTAAATAACTAAGGATGTTAAAAATAGCTAAGGATTGGCTGGGCATGGTGGCTCATGCCTGTAATCCCAGCACTTTGGGAGGCTGAGGTGGGCGGATCACCTGACATAAGGAGTTCAAGACCAGCCTGATCAACATGGTGAAACTCCATCTCTACAAAAAATACAAAAATTAGCCGGGCGTGGTGGCACTTGCCTGTAATCCCAGTTACTTGGGAGGTTGAGGCAGGAGAATCACTTGAACTCAGGAGGCGGGGGTTGCAGTGAGCCGAGATCACACCACTGCACTCCAGCTTAGGTGACAGAGTGAGACTTCGTCTCAAAAATAAAATAAAATAAAATATATAAAAATAAAAGTAAAAATAAAAAACTAAGGATTTTAAAAATAACTAAGGATTTTTAAAATATCTAAGTTTAGGCTTTCGCCAACATTAAAAGTTCGGTGATGGGTTAGACACAATTGAAGAAACAATTAGTTAAAGAGCAAAATTAATTTTTCTGAAGGCAAAAAGAATTAAAAATGGAAAATATGACAGAGAGGTTAAGAGACATAAAAGATAATGTTAAAAGGGAATTTTAGAAGGAAGGGGAGAAAGAATTGGCCAGAGGCAGTATTTGAAGACATAGTAACCAGACATTTTCAGAACAGATCCAGATACTGATCTAGACATCCAAGAAGCCCGTTGAATCCCAAGCAGGATAAGTAAAACATAAGTAGAAACATTGTATTAGTCTATTCTCACATTGCTGTAAAGAAATACCTGGGTCTGGGTAATATATAAAGAAAAGAGGCTTAATTGGTTCACCATTCTACAGGCTGTATACCGTCTCACACCAGTTAGAATGGCGATCATTAAAAAGTCAGGAAACAACAGATTCTGGAGAGGATGTGGAGAAATAGGAACGCTTTTATGCTGTTGGTGGGAGTGTAAATTAGTTCAACCATTGTGGAAGACAGTGTGGTGATTCCTCAAGGATCTAGAACTAGAAATATCATTTGACCCAGCCATCTCATTACCCAGCAATCCTATTACTATATACCCAAAGGATTATAAATCATGCTAGTATAAAGACACATGCACACGTATGTTTATTGCAGCTCTGTTCACAATAGCAAAGTCTTGGAACCAACCCAAATGCCCATCAATGATAGACTGGATAAAGAAAGTGTGGCACATATACACCATGGAATACTATGCAGCCATAAAAAAGGACAAGTTCATGTCCTTTGCAGGGACATGGATGAAACTGGAAACCATCATTCTCAGCAAACTATCACAAGGACAGAAAACCAAACACTGCACGTTCTCACTCATAAGTGGGAGTAGAACAATGAGAACACGTGGACACAGGGAGGGGAACATCACACACCGGGGCCTGTCGGGGGGTGGGTGGCTGGGGGAGGAATAGCATTAGGAGAAATACCTAATGTAAATGACGAGTTGATGGGTGCAGCAACATGCCACATGTATACCTATGTAACAAACCTGCACGCTGTGCACATGTACTCCAGAACTTAAAGTATAATAATAAAATATTTTTAAAAAGAAAGAATAAGCAAAAGAGGTGGCTGAAAAAAAAAATACAGGCTGTATAGGAAGCATGATGCTTGCATCTGCTTGGCTTCTGGGGAGGCCTGAGGAAACTCAGGAAACAATCATGGTGGAAGGGAGAGGGAAGTCAGGTAGGTCTTATACGGTGGGAACAGGAGCAAGAGAGAGAGGGGAAGGTGCTGCACACTTTTAACCAACCAGATCTTGTAAGAACTCACTCACGATTATGAGAACAGCACAAGGGGATGGTGCTAAGCCATTCATGAGAAACCCACGTCCATAATCCAATCACCTCCCACCGGGCCCCACTTCCAACACTGGGGATTGAAATCACAACTTGACATGAGATTTGGTGGGGACACAGATCCAAACTCTATCACACATCATAGTGAAGTTGCATAAAACTAAAGAGAAAAATCATAAAAGTAGCCAGGAAAAAGAAAGAGACAAAGAAAGAAAAGATTGGCTTCAAAGGAGCAGTAGCTAGACTGACAGCAGATTTTCTTTATTTTTTATTTTATTTTTATTTTTATTTTTTCCATAGGTTTTGGAGGAACAGGTGGTGTTTGGTTACATGAGTAAGTTTTTTAGTGGTGATTTGTGAGATTTTGGTGCACCCATCCCCTGAGCAGTATACACTGCACCCAATTTGTAACCTTTTATCCCTCACCCCTCTCCCTCCCTTTCTCCTAAGTCCCCAAAGTCCAATGTATCATTCTTACGCCTTTGCATCCTCACAGCTTAGCTCCCACTTATAAGTAAGAAAATATGATGTTTGGTTTTCAATTCCTGAGTTACTTCACTTAGAATAACAGTCTCCAATTCCATCCAGGTTGCTGCAAATGCCATTATTTCGTTCCTTTTTATGGCTGAATAGTATTCCATGGTATATGTATATATACAACAATTTCTTTATCCACTCATTGATTTATGGCCATTTAGGTTGGTTCCATATTTTTGCAATTGCAAATTGTCCTGCTATAAACATTCGTATGCAAATATCTTTTTCATGTAATGACTTCTTTTCCTCTGGGTAGATACCCAGTAGTGGGACTGCTGGATCAAATGGTAGCTCTACTTTCAGTTCTTTAAGGAATCTCCACACTGTTTTCCATAGTGGTTGTACTAGTTTACATTCCCACCAGCAGCATAAAAGTGTTCCCTTTTCACTGCATCCCCACCAACATCTATTATTATTTTTTAATTAATTTTATTATGGGCATTCTTGCAGGAGTAAGGTAGTATTGCATTGTGGTTTTGATTTGCATTTCCCTGATCATTAGTGATTTTGAGCATTTTTTCATATGTTTGTTGGCCATTTGTATATCTTCCTTTGAGAATTGTCTATTCATGTCCTTAGCCCATTTTTTGATAGGATTGTTTGTTTATTCTTGCTAATTTGTTTGAGTTCTTTGTAGATTCTGGATACGAGTCCTTTCTGAAGGCAGATTTTCAATAGCAACGGTGGAAGCCAGCAAAGCAGTGATATGATATCTGTGATATACTGAAAAAATAATTTACCAGCCTAGAATTGAATACCAAGTAAAAATATCTCTCAAGAATAAGGACAAAATAAATGTTCCAGATAAATAAAAATTGTTAGTTCATTACTAAAAAAACCTCCTAAAGGAAATGATGGAGGATATACTTGAGGCAGAAATAAAGTAATCCCATATAACATGTTTGAGACACAAAAGGAGTGAAGAGCAAAGAACGTGGTAAATGCAAATAAACTGACAATTGAAGATCATAATTAGTAATGTTTAGTTGTGTGTTAAAAATTGAATTAAAATAAATAAAAAGTAATAATTTATAAGTAGATAAGGGGGAGTGGAATTTAAGTATTCCAAGGTTTTTGTATTGGTTGGGAAAAGATACAGATATTGATTAACTGAAACTTTGGCATAGTAAGTATCCAAATTGAAATTTCTAGGGTAACCAACAAAAGAACAGAAACAGAGTGCATAACTTCCAGGTTAGTGGTTGTGGGGGAAAGGTAGAGGGTAATCTTTTCTTGTCTCTCTCTCTTTCTCTTTCTCTCTCTCTCCTTTTTTCCTGGTGGCTTTCTATAATTTTTCTCTTTAGTTTTATGCAATTTCACTATGATGTATCTAAGAACGTTTACTTACTCTGCTTGGGATTCAATGGGCTTCCTGGATGTCTAGATCAGTATCTGATCAGTTCCGAAAATGTCTAGTTACTATCTCTTCAAATATTGCTTCTGCCCAATGGAATGGAATGAGGAAAATCTTTCAGTTAATCAAAGAGAAAGATACAGCAGTGCCATAGTTTAGATGTTTGACCCCTCTAAATCTCACATTGAAATCTGACCCCCAATGTTAGAAGTGCGGCCTAATGGAAGGCATTTGGGTCATGGGGGGTTGTTCCCTTACATGAATAGATTAATGCCTTCCCTGGGTGTGTGTGGGGAGGGGTGAGTGAATTCTATTAGTTCCTGTAAGAGCTGCTTGTTAAAAAGAGCCTGGCCCCACTCCTGCTCCCTCTTGCTTCCTTTCTTGCTGTGTGATCTCTGCACATGCCAACTCCCCTTCCCCTTCTACCATGAGCAGAGGCAGCCTGAGGCCCTCACCAGATGCCCAGTCTTGAACCTGCTGGACAACAGAACTGTGAGCTAAATAAACTTCTTTTCTTTAGAAATTACTCAGCCTCAGGTATTCCTATATAGCAACACTTAACAGACTAAGAGAAGCAGTATAAGCATCCAAGATTACACTACTTCCATTTAGCCATGAGATAGGTGGGAGACATGAAAACAAGAGACTGCCCAATCAATCAATCCCTCCATGGGCCACTTCTGCATTAACTGTTCTCAAGGGGTAGAAACCTCTGATTCAAACTATACTCTCACAGAAACTTGAAAACATGAACAGAGATGATAACTAAGTAGGGCTGAAACACATGATGGCAGCAGCCCAGAAAAATGTCTACGACCCCCCCGAGGCCACTAGAGGAGCCGTGGTCCCTGTCGCTCTTTCCTTCCCAAGGCCTGGCTGTTCAGCAATTCCTATGAGTGTGTGAATTACTCCATGTAATTTCAAGATGGTCTAACCAGCAGTCTCTTCTCCCTACATCCTCTCTTTTTTTCTTGTCTAACCAGCCTTGGTTTGCTTGAAACAAAAGAAACTTAATGATGCCAAGGACCACTGTGGCTCCTGCCAGGCTATTTTCACCCTCTTAAACAAAAATCCAGATATTTGGCACAGATGGTGAGATTGTCTTCTTAGCAATTTAATCTGAAATGCAGCTAGATTCCTTGTCTCTCTTCGGGGAGGTGAGGCTTCCCATGATGTAACCCAGATAGGGTGGGCCTCCCATTGAAGGCCTTGGCTTTTACTTTACATCCACTTTGAGGCCATACTCATCACTTTGTCATATCATCCAAAACACATTCTATCTCATAACACATTCAAGAGAAAATTGATGTTTTATTGAAGAGTCTATGGAATCTGTGAAAAAGAGGTTACATCGTATGCATACCACCAACAAAAAAAAAGCAACAACAAAAAAACAAACAAACAAAAAAAAACCAAAAAAAAAAAAAAAAAAAAACCAAGCAATAGAAAAAGGAGTCCCTATTCAATAAATGGTGCTGGGAGAACTGACTAGCCATATGAAGAAGATTGAAACTGGACCCCTTCCTTACACTATACACAAAAATCAGTTCAAGATGGATTAAAGACTTAAATGTAAAACCTAAAACTATAAAAACCCTAGAAGAAAACCTAGGAAATATCATTCTGGACATAGGAACTGGCAAAGATTTCATGAGGAAGATGCCAAAAGCAACTGCAACAAAAACAGAAATTGACAAATAGAACCCAATCAAACTAAAGAGCTTCTACACAGCAAAAGAAACTATCAACAGGATAAACAGACAACCTACAGCATGGGAGAAAGTATTTGCAAACTATGCATCTGACAAAGGTCTAATATCCAGAATCTATAAGGAACTTACACATATTAGCAAGCAAAAATCAAACAACCCCATTAAAAATGTGCAAAGGACATGAACAGATAGACACTTTTAAAAACAAGACATATATGTGGCCAACATGCATATGGAAAAACAGTTGAACATCACTGATCATTAGAGAAATGCAAATCAAAAACACAATGATATACCGTCTTACATCAGTCAGAGTGGCTATAATTTAAAAGTCAAAAAATAACAGATTCTAGTGAGGTTGCGAAGAAGAGGGAACGCTTATATACTGCTGGTGGGAAGGTAATTTAATTTACCACTGTGGTAGCCACTGTGGAATTAATTTAGCCACTGTGGAAAGCAGTTTGGTAATTTCTCAAAGAACTTAGAGCTATCATTCAACCCAGAAATTCCATCAATGGGCATATGCCCAAAGGAATATAAATCACTCTGCCATAAAGACACGTGCACGTGTATGTTCACTGTAGCACTATTCACAATAGCAAAGACATAGAATCAACCTTAATGTCCATTAACAGTAGACTGAATAAAGAAAATGTGGTACATATACACCATGGAATACTACGCCGCCATAAAAAAACATGAGATAATGTCCTTTGCAGAGACACAGATGGAGCTGGAGGCCGTTATCCTTAGTAAACTAAATCAGGAACAGAAAGCCAAACACCACATGTTCTCACTCATAAGTGGGAGCTAAATATTGAGTATACGCGGACACAAAGAAGGGAACGACAGACACCAGGGCCTAGTTGAGGGTGGAGGGTGGGAAGAGGGTGAGGATCAAAAAACCACTTTTCAGGTACTATGCTTATCACCTGGCTGATGAAATAATCTGTACACCAAACCCCGGTGACATGCAATTTACCTATATAACAAACCTGTACATGTACTCCTGAACCTAAAGTAAAAGTGAAAAAAAAAATTTAGCTTGTATATTCCATTCAGGAAAATGAAACCCTGGCAGTTAGCAGAATAGCATGTCCTTTGGGGTCAAGGATCTTGGTTTCTTCTACCACCCTCTCTGATGTGTCCTCCTCAACTCCCTTGTTCCTCAAGGGTGGAAACTCTATCACACTCCTAACACCTTGAATAGTGCTTGGCACCATAGGCTTCAAATATAGAGTCACTGAATGAAGTTTATGAATCTTTGTATGCCCCTAGAGTCTAGAAATGTGCTTTACATGAAATATACGCTTGACAAATGGTCCTTGAATAGAAGACTGCATCATCACTATTTAGAAGCATAAAAGAGGGTGAAAGGTTGTGACCCTGGACTAAACACTATGATGCACTCGAAGTTAGAGGCAAATTAATAAAGAGCACACTAACAGAATGGAGCATTAACTCAACTTATCCATTATTAAACCATGCTTTAGTGCCCCATGCTGAGGCTGTGAGCTATATCAAAGAAAGGCTTGGAATGAAGAAGAACAGTCTAAATTTCAATTTCAAAGACAGTGGATAAACCATGGGAAGAACTTAGCTCCTATGGATATATATCTTTAACAAAGTCATTATTAGCTTAAAAGTAAAATTCAGACTGTGCCTATACAAGGCCAAAATATCTGATCTGTGCAGGGTTACCAGATAAAAGACAGGATACTTGATTAAATTTGAATTTCATATAAACTACAATTTTCAATTACAAATTTATTCTTTAGTATAATAAATATTGTATTCATGAAGGTTATGCAGAGAAACAGAACCAATAGATCTATCTATCTATCTACCTACCTACCTACCTATTTTAATGAACTGGCTCACGTGATATGGAGGCGGAGAAGTCCCAAGACCCATAGTTCAAAGGCTTGAGAATCAGGAGAGCTAATGGTGTAAGTTCCAGTTCAAGTTTCAAGGCAAGAGAAGATCAATGTCCCAGCTCAAAGACTGCCAGGCAGAGAGAGGGAGTGAATTGTCTCTTGCTCAAGACTTTTGTTCTATTCAGGCCTTCAATGGATTGGATGTGGGCCACCTACACTGAGGAGGGTGATCTGCTTTGCTCAGTCTACTGACTCAAATGTTAATCTCATGCAGAAACACCCTCACGGGAACACCAAGAATAATGTTTAACTAAATATCTGGCACCCTTTGGACAGTTAAATTGACATATAAAATTAACCATCACAGTATGTTCCAAGTATTGCTAAACTAAACTATGGGACATAGTTATACTAATGCCCATCTATCTATCTGTCTATCTATCTATCTATCTATCTATCTATCTATCTATCTATCTGCCTGCTATAAAATGGTTTATTTCAGATTCGAATTTAACTGGGCATTATTATTTTTATCTACTAAATCTGGCAACCCCAAATCTATGGGGAAACAAATTCAATTCATTGTGTAGATATTTGGACTATGTGTCATCTGGCTAAATTAATTTCATTTTCATACATTAATAGATGCTTGGCTTTTGCATAAAGTGCTTCCTTCCTTTCTTCCCTTGCTTGTAAGTGTTTGGCTGATACAAAAGATTTTTCTTGCCATTCCTCCAACCCTCAAGGACCCAAGGGCCAGAAGTTCTGGGTAATTCATTTATTTACTTTCCATGGAGAGGGCATTCATAAAAGGGGTCAAAATGTGTGCCTGGGCTTTCAAAGAGCTCAAAGTGTAAAAAAGCTAAAAGTGACAAAACCAACTCATTCCTCGACACACTTTCCAATCTGAGAGTCACACAGCCCTGGCCATAAGGAACCATGCTAGAAAACCTAGTCTTAGGGAACATGCTCATAATTTTTCATAACAAATAATAACGTGGACAAAAGACACAGAGATACTCTCCCATATAGCAAATCAAACCCAGAAATGCTGGGGTTTGAGGTATAGGATGCCCATGGACTTGGAGAAGAAGAAATCAGTAAAAATGGAAGGAATTTGTGCAACAATAAAAAGTTGTAATTTAAAAAGGCAACAGTGGGCTTGATGTCATTTTTAGTCTGATATACCTACATGGAAACTTTACCAATCCATTTTAGCTGGAGGTAAGATCTCCAGCTAAAGTTTCATTTTAAGAGTTCTTTAAGAAAGAGCCAAGTTTATTCCTTTCAAGCATATATACTAATTGAAATTAAGCTGATCAAGTGGAACTATTAGAAGTCCTGTGTTAATGAACGGGCAAGAATAAGGGATATGGTTAAAATGACAGAGGCACCCCAAGCAGTAACTGACTTCTTATAGCACAACTACATAATTCATGATAATACAAATATTAATGACACATATTTATTATACATTTATTGGGTACAAGTGTGCTAGAATTCTTGGGGTGCTCATGAAGATTCACCCTTTTTTTCTGATACAGAGTCTCGTTCTATCGCCCAGGCTGGAGTCTAATGGCACGATCTCGGCTCACTGCAACCTCTGCCTCTTGGGTTCAAGCAATTCTTCTGCCTCAACCTCCTGAGTGGCTGGGATTACGGGTTCCTACCACCATGCCCGGCTGATTTTTTTGTATGTTTAGTAGAGACAGGGTTTCACGATGTTGGCCAGGCTGGTCTTGAACTCCTGACCTCAAGTGATCCACCTGCCTTGGCCTCCCAACGTGCTGGGATTACAGGTGTGAGCCACCATGCCCGGAAGAAGATTCCCCCTTTCTAAAAGTGACTCTAGAACTCAGGAGTGGGCTGTGCATAGACTGAGTCACCCAATCCCCTGGCCATAGCTGATGGGTCCAGGGGCAGACACCTGACCCACACTGGACCCATTAGAGCACTTCTCTAAGATTTTTATTGCATTAATTTTTTTCTCTAAGATTTTAAAAAGAGGAACTGAGGGAACAGAGTCCATAGTCTTTGGGGCTAGAAGCCTGGTATGTGTGACCTGGGGGTCCTCAAACTACATGGGGGTATCCTGGCTGCAGCAGAATGACTCCACATGCAGAGAGAAATAGTGATAGAGCAGGAACATGTATCCTGTTGAATTCCAGCCCCTGGCTCCAGGCTTCTCTGAGGCCCAGCAGTCCGTGTACTTCCTACTGCTGTCTGTAAGCAACTGTGCGTGTGTTTATCTAATGTACTTTTTTTTTTTTTTTTGCCTTTGTTAGAAAAGCATCTTGGGCTGGGCATGGTGGCTGATGCCTATAATCCTAGCTCTTTGGGAAGCCAAGGTGAAAGGATCACTGGAGGCCAGGAGTTCAAGACCAGCCTGGACAACATACAGAGCCCTCAATTCTAAAAATGAACAAACAAACAAACAAACAAACAAAACAAAACAAAATTGGCCAGGTGTGGTGGCATGTGCCTGTAGTCCCCAGTACTTGGGAGGCTGAGGTGGGAGGATCTCTTGGGCCCAGGAGGTCAAGGTGGCAGTGAGCTATTATTGTGCCACTGCGTTCCAGCTTGTGCAACAGAGTAAGATCCTGTTTCAAAAAAAAAAAAGTTAATTAATGAATTAATTAAAAATAAAAATAGAAACATCCTGAATAGACTAGCATTGTGGCTCATATACTGTGCTACTGCTGTGGGGTCTGTACCGAGGTGTAGAACGGGCCCTGGCCCTTAAGGAACTTACCTTCCTGTGCATTAACTGGAGGATAAGGTGGAAGGTTATAAATGCTGCAGGAGGATTCAAGAGCTGTAAGAAAGCAAAAGTGGGAGCAGTCCCTTCTAGCAGGAGGGTTTAGGGACAACTTCTTGGCCAAGATGGGTTTTGCGCTGGCCTCTGAGGTAAGACAAGATTAGATCATGTGGCAATTGGGAGAGAAGGCCCTGGAGCTAGAGAAAATAGCACAAGCAAAGATTTAGTGGCAGACAAAATGGGGTATGTGGGGAAAACAGCCATGCTGGCAGGTCAAGGCATTTAGATTTTATTTGGTGGCCAGGAGACATCTAAAGATTTCCTTCTTTCCTTTCCTTCCTTCCTCGACAGAATCTCACTCGCTCTGTTGCCCAGGCTGGAGTGCAGTGGTACAATCATAGCTCACTGCAGCCTTAAGCCCCTGGGCACAAGTGATCCTCTGCCTCAGCCTCCTAAGTAGCTGGGACTACAGGCATGCACCACCATGCCCAGCTAATTTAAAAAAAAAATTATTTTGGGGAGGGGCAGAGATGGGGTCTCGCTCTGTTGTCCATCTGGTCTTGAACTCCTGGCCTCGAGTGATCTTCCCACCTTGGCCTCTCAGAGCACTGGGACTATAGGTGTGAGCCACCATGCCTGGCCTACCTGAAGATTTTTAGGCAAGGGAGGAATGTTGTCTTTGAAACAATAAGTCCAACAGTGCACTGGAGTGAGGAGAGAATGGGGTCCTGCAGTCAGGAGGTTATGACAGTGTTCCAGGCTGAAAATAAATATTCTAACTAAGAGAAGGCTGGCAGGGAGATAGAAAATGAGGCAACCTCTTACTTCAGATAATCACAATATTTTCAGTAAAGAAGGATATCTGAGAAGGAGAGGGCAGAAATGGGCTGGGACTCAGAGCAATGTGAAGGAGCCAGAGATGCCTAAGGACTGCCAGGAGTTATTGAAACCTTCATGGAAGTTAAAGTAGGCCAGGCACAGTGGCTCATGCCTGTAATCCCAGCACTTTGGGAGGCTGAGGCACGCAGATCACTTGAGGTCAGGAGTTCGAGACCAGCCTGGCCAACATGGTGAAACCCTGTCTCTACTAAAAATACAAAATTAGCCGGGCGCAGTGGTGGGCGCCTGTTGTCCCAGTTACTCAGGAGGTTGAACCAGGAAAATCACTTGAACCCCAGAGGCAGAGTTTGCACTGAGCCAAGATTGCAACCACTGCACTACAGCCTGGGTGACAGAGCGAGACTCTGTCTCAAAAATAAAATGAAATAAATAAGAGCTAGAAGTAAACCCAGCCACCAAGAAGGACCCTCTGTCGGTGGCCTCCCAGCAGAGGAGAGAAAGTGGAAGGGACAGGTTATCCAGAGTGGGGACCACATAAGGTCTGGGAAGGAGAAAGTGGGAAAGATGAAGCTGGGACCCTGGAGGGAGAGCCTCACAGAAACCAGGGAGGCGGGGGGTGGGGGTTGGGACTCATCAGGGAGTAGGGGGATGGCTCAGAGGCGGAAGTCTCTAGGCTGGGTGAGCACACAAATTAAGACTGGAGTCATGGAGGAAATAGTGAGAGGGGAGTGATGAGATCTCTGGTTGAGCAAGAGGAAGACAGCGTGAGACGTGCAGGGCAGAGGAGAATTTCAGGAATTCAGAGCGTGGGGCTGGAGCAGCTCTGCCTGGTCATCTGTTTGTGTCTTGATGATGTGGAATGAGTGGAGATAAAGGTCTCTAGACCTGTGGAGGCTGAAGAACTGCAAGGAAAGGAAATTTATGGATGTTTCTAGAATGGAAAGGGGAAAGACTAAGACCTCTGAAGAAGATCCTAGAGCATGTTGAGCAGGAAGAAGGATTGGGAAAGGCGCGTGAACAGAATGGTGTGGACATCCATGGAAGCTGCCGAGAGTTGATGAAAGAACTAGTTGGGAAAAGGGACGGGGACCCAGGAAAAGGAGAGGCCCCTAGGAAGGTGGAGAGTGAGAGGAATGTCATACCAGGGGAGGAGGGAGCTATCGTCCAGCAGATAAAATAGATTTTGATTAAAGTGAAGTGTTACAGAAAGGAAAAGGGATGGTTTACTTCCCAGGATACCCCGAGGAGAGCACAGACTGAGCTGAGAGAAGCAAGAATACAGACAAAAATGAGTACAATTGATCATTTTCCACGTTAAGTTTAATGAAGTGAGGGGTGGGTCAGGACTCACGCAAGTGATGAGGACACAGATATATGACGATGGCTTCTCCCCAGATTCTCTTTAAAAGATTGTTTCTGGGCGGCTGAGTTGGCTCACGCCTGTAATCCTAATACTTTGGGAAGATTGCTTAGGAGTTTGAAACCAGCCTGGGCAACATGGCAAAACACTGTCTCTACAAAAAAATACCAAATTAGCCAGGTGTTGTGGTGCTTGCCTGTAGTCCCAGCTATTTGGGAGGCTGAGGCAAGAGGATCACTTGAGCCCAGGAGTTCAACGCTGCAGTGAGCTATGATTGTGCCACTGCACTGCAGCCTGGGTGACAGAGCAGGACCCTGTCTCAAAAATTGTTTTTTAAATAAAAAAATAATAAAACAGGCTAGGCACAATGGTTCATGCCTGTGATCCTAACACTTTAGGAGGCCAACGCAGGCAGATTGCCTGAGCTCAGGAGTTCGAGACCAGCCTGGGCAACATGATGAAACCTTATTTCTACTAAAATACAAAAAAATGAGCTGGGCGTGGTGGCACACACCTGTAGTTGTAGCTACTCAGGAGGCTGAGGCAGGAGAATTGCTTGAACCCAGGAGGCAGAGATTGCAGCGAGCCGAGTTGGTGCCACTGTACTCTAGCCTGGGCGACAGAGCAAGACTTGTCTCCAAAAAAAAAAAAAAATAATAATAATAATAAAAGTTTGTTTCCAAGTATAATATCTCCCCTCCCATCTTGCATCCTTTATTTGTTTGGCAAATCGTGTGTGTGCGTGTGTGTGCACACGCATGTGTGTGCATGCTTGTGCATATGTGTGCACATACCTGTGTGTGTTCATGTGAGGTCAGAAGGGCTCACCTGACCTTTTGACCTTTGGTGTTTGTGTGTAGAGGGCCTGTGTCCCCTTTTTCCATCACTGCAGTGGACAGTTGAGTATTAAAGACTCCAGAGTAAACAAATCCCTTCCCTTACTCTCTTACTCCATCTTCTGGAATGGGGAAAACGACAAAGGAATGCCAGGACCTACTGTGAGCTGAAAGTGGAAGCAAGGGCAGCTTTCTGAGATAAGCCTGTTTTCCACTGGGGGCATCTTTCCCAAAGCCTCAAAATCTGAAGATTGTCACCTCTTTTGTTTTTTCTCTGCCTCATGGGTGTATGGTAACCCTGCTAAGCTCATTCTCAACCTCACGTGGCAGTGTTCTGGGGGCCCTAGCACCCCAGCTCCAGTGCCCGGATGCAAGGAGTCCTGTTTGGTGAGGCTGTAGTCTCACACAGAAGACAATTAGGCACGGGTTCCAGAACTGTGCCCAGAGTCCAAGAAGGTGCCCACTCTTCAGATCTCTGGGCATTTGCCACCTGTGCTCTTAACGGGGCACAAGCAGGGTGCCATAATTAGAGTCATCAGCTCATTTCTCAGAAACTCGGTGTCCTTCCTTGGATTGCAGTATGGTGGCCACACACCCCATCTGTGACGATTCATGTTAGCACAGTGCCCAGTGTAGAATTTAGCAGGTGGGCAATATTATTATTATTGATTCAATAAGTTTCCATGGGAAGCAGGAGGAAGGCAGTATGTGTAGGGTCACTCAGTCCTTGGGCAGAACAAGAACAGAACACAGACCAGGAGTGCTGGACGTGGGGGCTTATGCCTGTAATCCCAGCACTTTGGGAGGCCGAGGTGGGTGGATCGCCTGAGCTCAGGAGTTCTAGACCAGCCTGGGCAACATGGTGAAACCCCATCTCTACTAAAAATTGCTAGGCGTGGTGGCGTGCACATGTAGTCCCAGCTAGTTGGGAGGTTGAGACACAAGAATTGCTTGAACCCAGGGGGAGAAGGTTGCAGTGAGCCAAGATCATGCCACTGCACTCCAGCCCGGGGCACAGAGCGAGACTCCATCTCACAAAAAAGCAAAACAAAACAAAACAAAACAAAAAACATAGACCAGGAGTTCCAGAGCAGCCAGGAGAGCTTGAGTCCATGGGGAGGAAGGGGAGCTTCACAAAGCTGGATGAAATCCGCAGGTGTGCTCTGGACACACAGCGCTTCTATAACGAGGTCCTCCGGGCCTTGTCTTTCCTTTTTTTTTTTGAGACAAGGTCTCACTTTGTAACCCAGGCTGGAGCGCAGTTGCACAATCGCGGCTCACTGCTACCTCCACCTCCCAGGTTCAAGCAATTCTCCTGCCTCAGCCTCCCAAGTAACTGGGATTTCAGGCATGCCACTATGCCCAGCTAATTTTTTTTTTTTTTTTTTTTTTGGATTTTTAGTAGAGACAGAGTTTCACCATGTTGGCCAGGCTGGTCTGGAGCTCCTGACCTCAGGTGGTCCACCCACCTCGGCCTCCCAAAGTGCTGGGATCACAGGCGTGAGCCACCGCGCCCGGCCTGCTTTTCAAAGTGTTGTTTGCACCAAGCCCTGGCGTCCTCTGGAAGCTGATTAGAAATGCTGACTCCCAGGCCAGGAGCTGCTCCCGGCTACTCGGGAGGCTGAGGCAGTAGAACCACTTGAACCTGGGAGGTGGAAGTTGCAGTGAGCCGAGATTGCACCATTGCTCTCCAGCCTGGGTGACAGAGTGAGACTCTGTTTAAAAAAAAAAAAAAAAATCTGACTCCCAGGCCCCAGCCAGCCCTCCTGAATCAGAGTCTGCGTTTTAAACAAGATGTACATGGGAGTCTGAGAAACCTTGCTGTTGGGATCTGTGGAAGCCTACAGCAGCCTTCCAACAAAGGTGAGAAGAAACTTGCAACCCTCCTGCTGCTTCTGGGGAGTTACTGAGAGGAGGTGATAATCAGGAAGAAACCTCTGGGCTGGCTGCCGCTACTTGGAGACATTTCACTGACCTTTGTCCAGTAAGGCCACTAATACGGCAAAAGAGTGGGACCGACCCTTTAGAACACCCTTACTGGTGACCAGTGATTGCAGGCCTCAGACAAAACAGGGAAACACTTCAGGGAAGCAAATTAATGTCCTAACCCAGGTCTGCCCTGAATAGGCACATGTTTACAAAGTGCCTAGTGCTGTACTCGCGAGAGAGAGTGTGTGTGTGTGTCTGTGCGTGTGTGTGTGAACAGTCCTCCCCTAACGTGCATGGCCAGAGACAATGTCTGCTTTCTTTTATAAACAGAACCCATGTGTCTGCATAAAAGAGGAATACTATTTTATTAACATCTCATCTAAGGATACAAAAACTTCTGTCTTAAAGAAAAAGCCATTTCCAAAAATCAAGAATTTTTTTTTTTTTTTTTTTTTTGAGACAGTTTCGCTCTGTTGCCCAGGCTGGAGTGCAGTTGTGCAATCTCGGCTCACTGGAACCTCCACCTCCCGGGCTCAAGTGAGTCTCCTGCCTCAGCCTCCCAAGTACCTGGGATTACACGCCTGGCTAATTTTTTGTATTTTTAGTAGAGACAGGGTTTTGCCATGTTGACCAGGCTGGTCTTGAACTCCTGACTTCAGGTGATCTGCCTGCCTTGGCCTCCCAATGTGCTAGGATTACAGGCATGAACCACCACGCCCTGCCAAGAATTTCTTCTTACTGTGAAATATGACTGGTCTCTCTGAATCCATCTCTTTCTCTTTGCCCTTTCCCCAATAGATTTCCTTTCTCTTTTTTTTTTTTTTTTTTAACAGAGAACATGAGTTTCCAGTTGACAAAGTCTGTGCTCAGCTCCTTCACTGAACATTGCTCTGAGCCAACGCATGTCAGCGAGAGGACGCGGTGACACCGGCCTGTGGTTGCACCCAGAAACAAACAAGTAGGGAGAGCAGCCCCAGTTCTCCAGAATGACCTCTTTCCTCCGAATCCCACTCCAGGAAGAGAGTCCAGCAGGGGCCCCTGAGCTTGGGGCTGGCCCTGTGCGCTGTCAGCAGAGACCCCTGTCCATCAGCACTTTGCATGGGTCTGTCCTGCTTCAGTGGGGAATGTTCCTCAGCAAAAGAACTGAGTGCAATGCAGGGATGCCATCGGAGTTGGCTGGGGACAGCCTGGCTTTGTCATGTTAGGGGGCATGGAGGGGCATGCAGTGCTCAGGGTGGACACCACACACAAGGGTCACACTGAGCTCAGAGGAACAAATCGCAGGGAGAGAATGTGCCAATGGTGCTTTCTCCAAGACACCTCTGACCTGGAACTGCAAACCACCGCTGATTCCCCTGCCCAGCTCCTCTGTTAGAATGACCCCGTGGGGCTGCAGATGACTTAACAGCTATATTTAGCAAGTCATGGGAGGGATGGGCCAGTTCCAGCCAGCTAGCCTGCCTTCAGAGGCCCTAGATTCCTTTGTCCTTCCCTTCTGCCTCCCCTCCTAGTTTTTCCCACTGGCTGGCTCTTAACCCCTTCATGGCTTGAGGACTCCTCTCAAATATGGGCAAAGCAGATAGAACGTAAGGGAGGCCACCCGAGTATCCCAGCCCCCAAATTTCTCACTCAGCTGCCTGGAACTCTGCTTTACGAACTCCCTTTCTTCAGTCCTGAACTTTTCTTTTTTTTCATCATTAAGTGTTTCCTAATAAAATTATGCAAGTACCCTTGGGAAGGGGATGACTCAAGCTTTTCTTTGATCAGCTCACAGACTCCGCAGAATGGGCACAGTCGAGGCTTTGGAGGGGACGGGACTGACTTCGGGAGAAAACGGAAGATGATTACACACCCAAAATCAGTAAAACAAAGCAAAGTGATGCAAAAGGGCAAAAGGCACGGAAGAAGGCACAGAGGAGTTCTCTCTGGCTGGTTCTGCTAGCCCTGAATGAAATTGACAGTTAGAATAATGGAAACCCTACATATTGATTTAATCAAAATCTGTGAGAGGAGGAGTGTAGGTGGGAGCTGGTGCGGATGAAACACTCTAGATCTTCATCTTTCACACGAGAAAGATACGGAAAACTGAAATATTGAGAGAGCTTGAAATATTCAGAGAACTGGATATGCTTGTATTTTAAAAATAAGGAGTAAGGCCGGGCGTGGTGGCTCACGCCTGTAATCCCAGCACTTTGGGAGGCCAAGGCAGGTAGATCACTTGAGGTCAGGAATTTGAGACCAGCCTGGCCAACATGAAGAAACCCCGTCTCTACTAAAAATACAAAAATTAGCTGGGTGTGGTGAAAGGCGCCTGTAATCCTAGCTACCCAGGAAGCTGAGGCATGAGAATCACTTGAGCCCAGGAGGCGGAGGTTGCAGTGAGCCGAGATCGCACCACTGCACTCCAGCCTGGGCAACAGAGTGAGACCCTGACTCAAAGGAGAAAAAAAAAAAAAAAAGACACTGAGTTTGGGGGTGGCTTTTTATGCAGCATTATTGTGGCAATAGCTAACTGACATATTGCCTGACCCCAGAGCTATGCTCTTGAACGCTGCTATATTGTCAATATGAAATTTAAAGGGGAATAAAAGAAAAATAAAAACAAACATAAAAAAAGAAAGAAAAGAATTTTTTTTTAAAAAAGGAGCAAATAGCAGAAAAAACAAAAAGGAGGAGAATTAGAAGTGAAGAGGAATGCACTAGGGACCCTTTTTCTTTACAATTCTAGGAGTATTTAGCTTCTAAACTATTTTTAAAAGAATTAAAAAGAGGTCAATGCCCCTTAATTTCAGATTTCTACACAGGGTTCTCAGCTGGGTTTTTCTTTTTTTTTTTGAGTCGGAGTCTCACTCTGTCACCCAGGTTGGAGTGCAGTGGCGCAATCTCGGCCCACTACAACCTCCACCTCCCAGGTTCCAGCGATTCTCCTGCCTCAGCCTCCCTCAGCTGGGTTTTTCTAAAGCCTGTGCCATTCAGAGGCCCAGCACTTTGCTGAATGGGTTGAACAAGATCCACCACACCCTCGAGAGGATGGCAGAAAGCACTGCCAGGGTCTTTCCCAAGAAGTAGGACTCATAAAGCTGGTCTTTTTTTGTGATGACCCCAGTAGCGTTAAGCAAAGAACCAGCTTTGTGAAATGTATTTTTTTTTTAAAAAAAGAAGAAGTAGCACCAAGAAGACAGAATTCTTTGTCCTGGTTTGGCTTGAAAAGGGGCAAACCTGGGTGAATCCACAGGACTTGAAGCCGCAGGTTTGTCTGTGTGTGGGGTTGCGGGGGAGAACTTATAAACGGGCAATTCCAATGGAAGAACTTGCACACCCTTTGCCTCCCAGGGCTTCATAGTTTCCATGCTCGCTGACCTGTTGTGCAGAGAAACCACACAAACAGATAGACCTGGCCTTCCTGTAATTCCTGTCCTTGTGACTGTACTCTTAGGGGGCTCAGCCTGCCACATGCAGCAAACACTGCTCGGCTGATGTTCAGATGGCGGGGTCCACGCCAGATAGGAGCCCCAGCAAAGATCCAGCACAGCCCCTTTCCACAGGTATCTGGGGATCTGGGCTCCTACAGCTCCTGTCCCATGGGTAAGCCAGGCTGGACAGTGGAAATCCACTTCCCTGGTTTCTGTGCGCAGTTTTCTTCTCTTTATTGCATCAAAACCTGGAACCCAGCTGCTAGCATCCCTAAACTATAACTCAGACACCACCATTTCACAGTGGCATTGTACCCAACTTACAGGCGTAATGCCTGGGAGAAAAATGGACTGAAACGCTGTGTATGGGTGGGCTTTACAAAACATATAAAATGAGATCGTGCAATGCACTTAAAGCCCTTCCCCTAGGCTGGGCGCGGTGGCTCACGCCTGTAATCCCAGCACTTTGGGAGGCTGAGACGGGTGGATCACGAGGTCAGGAGATCGAGACCATCCTGGCTAACACGGTGAAACCCCGTCTCTACTAAAAATACACAAAATTAGCCGGGCGTGGTGGCGGGCACCTGTAGTCCCAGCTACTCGGGAGGCTGAGGCAGGAGAATGGCATGAACCCGGGAGGCAGAGCTTGCAGTGAGCTGAGATTGCACCACTGCACTCCAGCCTTGGGGACAGAGCGAGACTTCGTCTCCAAAAAAAAAAAAAAAAAAAAAGCCCTTCCCCATATAGTCAGCACTTAGCATTAAAATAAAGCAACAAAATAGCATGCAGCTGTAATCCTAGCTAGTCGGGAGGCTGAGTCCAGGAGTTTGAGACCAGCCTGGGTAACATATTGAGACACGTCTCTAAATAAATAATATTTAGAGCATGTGCCTGAATAAAATAAAACAAAGAATATTAGTCATAAATATGATAATAATTATTATCACCTACTTTGATCAGGAAATATGCTAGGAACTGAGATTAATTTACATGTATTCTCCTACCACAGTACAAACTTTACATTTTTTAATTAAAAAATAGCTTAATAAACCCATTGTTGGATGATAAATCTCTGAATTCCAGGTTGTAACAGTATGTGTAAAACAAAACAGTCAATTCTACTCAGCAGGTTTTAAGGGAGACCTGCATTCTTTTTTTTTTTTCTTTCAAGACAAGGTTTCGCTCTGTCATCCAGGCCGGAGTGCTGTGGTGTGATCATAGCTCACTGCAGCCTCAAAATCCTGGGCTCAAGCGATCCTCCCATTTTGGCCTGCCAAAGTGCTGGGATTAAAAGCATGAGCCATCATGCCCAGCCAACTTGCTAACTTTCTACAACTTTCTCAGTCTTTGCCCTACAGCTAATTAGATGTGATCATTGCCAGTCCTTTAAGACAATATGATATTGTACTGAGTGAACTTACTGCACTTTTTATAATTATTCCCCCAAGTGCTGGATATTTAGGTGGTTTCTTACTTTCATACTATTTAGAATACTGGATGAGCATCTTTGTTCAAAAGCTCTTTTCTATCTTTAAAATTATTTCCTTGCTTTAGAGTCATAATCAGGGAAATGTTAAAGGGGAATGAAGACTTTTAAAGGCTTTTGAATTTCATTCCTTAAGAATTGTACTAATTTATGATTATCACTGGGAGAATTTGAAAGTTCCCATTTTATTGAACTCTTGCTAGCATCAAATATTTTCATTTAAAAAATAATTTTAGGCCAGGCGTGGTGGCTCACGCCTGTAATTCCAGCACTTTGGGAGGCTGAGGTGGGTGGATCACTTGAGGTCAGGAGTTCAAGACCAGCCTGGCCAACATAGCAAAACCCCATCTCTACTAAAAATACAAAAATTAGCCAGGCGTGGTGGCACATGCCTGTAGTCCCAGCTACTCAGGAGGCTGAGGCAGGAGAATCGCTTGAACCCAGGAGCCAGAGGTTGCAGTGAGCTGAGATCACACCACTGCACCCCAGCCTGGGTGACAGAGTGAAACCCTGTCTCAAACAAACAAACAAAAAATAATTTTAAGTACTTAAAATACTTATATGGCATTTTCTTTTAGCTTGTACTTCCTGGATTACTGGCGAGATTGAACATTTTCTTATTTGCCTGCTAATTAGTAGGATGTCTGTGTTTGCTATTTTTTTCTGGTCATATCCTGAAGGCAATTATGCATATTTAGGACCAAATATGATAAATGTAAATACTGAATATCCTGATTATCCAAAAAAATCACACCTTTAATTACTTGGAGTTTTTGCAATTTTTTAACTCCTGGGAGAAAGTGGTAAACTGTCAACTAAAATCTAACAACATGAATGAAGCTCATGGACATGACGTGGAGGCAAAGAAGCCACACACAGAAGTGCACATGCTTTCGTTCAGACGAGCTCCAAGGACGAGCTCCTGAATGAGGGCATTGACTGGGGGTGGAGGGTGGGGGTTGGGCAAAAGGAAGCAGTTTGGGAGACTGGAAATATTCTATGTCTTGATCTACATATATATGTATACACACACATGCACCCTCACATACATATTTTTAAATCCCCCTAACGTGAGAACATTTCACATTTTACTGGGTCTCTATTCTCTCTGTATGTGCATATGTGTGTATGATATGTACATCCACACATACACAAACTTTTTCTCTCGTAAACTTACTTTTATAGCTTCCATAAGGCTTCCTAGGGTCAGAACTCTGAGGATCCAACAGTGGCCCAGGGGTTGTCAGTTCCACTGCAGAGTCTAGGGAAGAGGCAGCAGAGTGACCCCCCAATCCCCAGCCCTATGTGAGAAACCGAGAACAAAAGCCCATTGTGAACACAGAAGGGGAAAAATCCTAGATTTCACGAGGCTCTGAACTAGGAAGTATTATGAGGTCCACAAGACTCCAGTACTCGAAGACCACAGACAATGTGGCCCAAGATCTGGAGCTACTGTTAAGTCAGAAGAGACCAGAAATGGTAGGGAAGAGAGTTAGGAAGCTGTGTTGACATTTTGTCAGAAACCAAGATGTCTGTGAAAGATCTCAGGTTAGTCTTCAAGGACACCTCCTGAAAAGCAACAAGCGATACCCTGACACTCCTCTGAGATGTGAGAACGAATGTTTAGAAGGTGACCCTGTGTCCCTGCAAGAAACTGCCTGAAGAAAAGATCCATTTGGCTGGATCTAGACAGGGAACATAATATAAATATGTTAAAGGGTTTTCGTTGATAAATATTGACTTGGATTAACCTGAGTGTTCTGTTGGCAAGGCAGCCGGAAGGGACCCCTCCGTAGGCATCTGGATCACCAAGTTCTGTGTCTACATTCCCTCATCCATCATTAGTGTCACCTTCAGCAGATGCTTCACACCTGAGCCTCCTTACCTCCATTTGGACTATTATGTTTGGGGTTTGGACTATTATGACCTCTCAGGTTTTCTCAATCTCTTACTGTATTAGTCAGTATAGTAAGGTATAGTCACAGGCATGTAGCCTAACCCACTCCAATCAGAGTGAATGCAATGCATTAGTCAGTTCTCACAGTGCTCTAAAGATACTACCTGAGGCCGGGCATGCTCGTTCACGCCTGTAATCCCAATACTTTGGGAGGCCGAGGTGGGCAGATCACCTGAGATCAGGAGTTTGAGACCAGCCTGGCCAACATGGTGAAACTCTGTCTCTACTACAAATACAAAAATTAGCCAGGTGTGGTGGCAGGTGCCTGTTATCCCAGCTACTTGGGAGGCTGAGACAGGAGAATCGTTTAAACCTGGGAGGCAGAGGTTGCAGTGAGCCGAGATTGTGCCACTGCACTCTAGCCTGGGAAACAGAGTGAGACTCCATCTCAAAAATATAAAAAAATAAAATGAAGATACTACCCAAGACTGGGTAATTTATAAAGGAAAGAGGTTAATTGACTCACAGTTCCACATGGCTGGGGCTGCCTCAGGAAACTTACAATCATGGCAGAAGGCAAGGGGGAAGCAGACCTTCTTCACAAGGCAGCAGGAGAGAGAAGTGCATGTGTCAGCACAGAAAAAACTACCATTTATAAAACCGTCAGATCTCACGAGAATTCACTCACTATCACGAGAACAGCATGGGGGAAACTGCCCCCATAACCCAATCACTTTCCACCCGGTCTCTCCCAAAACACCTGGGGATTACAATTCAAAATGAGATTTGGGTGGGGCCACAAAGCGAAACCATATCACTTATCATTCTGTTATTTTATGCAACATATTGCTGGAGAGTGCACAAAGACCAGGATGTGGTGTGTCTGGGACTGCAGTGTGTTTTACAGCTATGATCCAGGATCACTTGAGCCCAGGAGGTTAAGGTTGCAGGGAGCCATAATTGCACCACTGCACTCCAGTCTGGGTGATAGAGCCAGACTTTGTCTCAATAAAAAGAGTTTGGGGGGAGCAACAGACTCCTCTACTTTCAGATTCCCCTGAATATACATGAGATTCTGTTGTTCTCATTTCCCAGGTTTTGAGAATGAAAGTAGAGCAGGGTGCAAGGGCCCCATTAAGAGATAAGCAGCATATTACTCCTTTGTTGCCTAGCTCTCTTCCTCTAGCCTAGAAAACCATTATCTGGCCTCCCCAGGTATAGGGTATCTATTCTCTCTTCAGCCTATTGTTTATGACCCTAATTTTATGATTCCTTAATGATTTCCTTTTGACACTTAAAACCAAGCTCTTGGAACTAAAAATTACTTTCATCATAAAAAATCTTTTAATTAAGAATGGGGATTTCTATTCATTATCCACGGAATTCATGCACCCCAGGAATGGGTCACTGATTTAGTTTCCTAAGGCTGCTGTAACAAATCACCACAAATTTAGTGGCTTCAAACAACACACAGTTATTATCTTACAGTTCTGGAGGTTAGAAGGTCAACACAGGTTTCTCTGCGCTAAAGTCACGGTGCCAGCTGGGCTGTGTTTCCTCTGGAGGCTCTAGGGGAGAATCCTTTTCCTTGACTTTTGCATCCTCTAGAGGTCATCTGCATTCCTTGGCTCGGGGCCCCTTTCTCTGTCTCCAAAGCCAGCAGCATAGAGCCGTGTCTCGCTCACTCTGCCATCCCTCTGGTTCTTTCTCTTCTGCCTCCCACTTCTACTTATAAGGACCCTTATGAAGACTGTGGGCTCACCAAGATGATCCAGGATAATCTCCTCATCTTAAGATCAGCTGATGAGAAAGTTTAATTCAATCTGCAACTTTCCTTGTCCTCTGTCATGCAGCCAAATGTGTTCATGGGTTCTAGAAACTGGGACATGGATATCTTCGGAGGGGGACATAATTCTGCATACCAAAGTCATGCCCAACTTTAGCTGATTGGCACAATCCATACCTCTGGCTACAGTCACTGGCGTAAAGTCACAGACATAGAGCTGGAGCCCGGTAAAGATTCGCTGGTATAGTCACAGGCATGTAGCCTAACCCACTCCAATCAGAGTGAATGCAAACTCTAGCTGAGTGTGGGGACAGAACCACATTCCCTCTTTCTCTAGACCTGTGCTGCCCAGGACAGTAGCAAACAGCCACATGAGGCTGTTGAGCACTTAAAATGTGGGCACTGTGGGCCAGGCATGGTGGCTCACACCTGTAATCTCAGCACTTTGGGAGGCTGAGGTGGGTGGATCCCCTGAGGTCAGGAGTTCGAGATCAGCCTGGCCAACATGGTGAAACCCCATCTCTACTAAAAAACTAATAATAATACAGAAATTAGCCAGGCTTGGTGGTAGGCACTTATAATCCCAGCTACTTGGGAGACTGAGGCAGGAGAATTGCTTGAATCCGGGAGCAAAGATTGCAGTGAGCCGAGATCACACCACTGCACTCCAACCTGGGCAACAGAGTGAGACTCTGTCTCAAAAAAAAAAAAAAAAAAAAAAAAAAAAAAATGTGGCCACTGTGAATCAAGATGGCCTGTAAGCATAACACACATACTGAATTTTTTGGAGGGGGAGAGGACAGTGTCTCACTCTGTCACCCAGGCTGGAGTGCAATGATATGATCACAGCTCACTGCATCCTCAATCTCCCAGGCTCAAGTGAACCTCTTGCCTCAACCTCCTGAGTAGCTGGAACTACAGGCATGCATCACCATGCCTTTATAATTTATTGTATTATTTGTTGTAGAGATGGGTTCTCACTCTGTTACCCAGGCTGGGCTCAAACCTCTGGGCTAAAGCAATCCTCCTGCCTCAGCCTCCCAAATTGCTGGGATTATAGGTGTGAGCCACCATGCCTGGCCCACACTGAATTTTGAAGACTTGGTACAAAAGAAAAGGAATGTAAAATATCGCATTAATTTTTATATTGATTATACACTGAAATAATAGTTTATATACATTGGGTTAAATAAAAGTATTTTTAGGATTAATTTTACCTTTTCTTCTTACTTTTTTTCTTGAGATGGAGTCTCACTCTCCTACCCAGGCTGGGATGCAGTGGCACGATCCGGCTCACTGCAACCTCCGCCTCCCAGGCTTAAGCGATCCTCCTGCCTCAGCCTCTTGAGTAGCTGGGACTACATCTTACTTTTTAAGAATGTGACTACTAGAAAATTTAACATCACACATAAGGCTTATGCTATGGTTCGAATGTGCCCCCTCCAAAACTGAGGTGTTACCAGTGTGGTAGTATTGAGAGTTGGGCTCTTTAAGAAGTGATCAGGGACCGGGCACTGTGGCTCACGCCTGTAATCCCAGCACTTTGGGAGGCCGAGGCGGACGGATCACTTGACGTCAGGAGTTTGAGATCAGCGTGGACAACATGGCAAAAGTGTCTCTACTAAAAAAATACAAAACAATTAGCCAGGCGTGGTGGCACATGCCTGTAAGCCCAGCTACTGGGGAGGCTGAAGCAGGAGAACTGCTTGAACCCAGGAGGCAGAGGTTGCAGTGAGCCGAGATTGTGCCACTACACTCCAGCCTGGGCAACAGTGAGACTCCGTCTCAAAAAAGAAAATTAAAAAAAAAAAAAAAAAAAAAAAAAAAGGAAGTGATTAGGCCAGGAAGTCTCCTTATTGGTGGGATTAAGGCCCTTTTAAAAGAAGCTTCACCCTCGTCTAAGAGGAGGGTTTTGTTAGCTCGTTAGCTTGCTCTGTTCTGCCTCTGCCCGATGAGGACTCCGTGTTCTTTCCCTTTGGAGGAGGCCGTCTTCACCATACAACGGAACCTAGCAGCTCCTTGATCTTAGACCTCTCATCCTCCAGAACTGTCAGAAAATAAATTTCTGCTCTTTATCAATTTCCCAGTCTGCGGTATTGTGTTATAGCAGCCACAAGATGGACGAAGACAGCTTGCATTGTATTTCTCTGGACGGCACTGTTCTAGATGGTGTAGTGAATAGACATGAAGTGTGGAGCTACTATAGCAATTTTTTATCCGTATGTGGGAAGTCAGTTTAGGATGAAGGCGAGACCGAAGAAGGCAGAAAAAGAAATCAGCCTCTTTGAAAAAAAGAAAAAATATATTTTGGGCCGGGCGCGGTGGTGCACGCCTATAATCCCAGCACTCTGGGAGGCCGAGGCAGGCGGAACTGAGGTCGGGAGATCGAGACCAGCCTGACCAACATGAAGAAACCCCATCTCTACTAAAAATACAAAATTACCCAGGTGGGTGGTGCATGCCTGTAATCCCAGCTACTCGGGAGGCTGAGGCAGGAGAATCGCTTGAACTCAGGAAGCGGATGTTGTGGTGAGCCGAGATCGTGCCATTGCACTCAAGCCTGAGCACAAAGAGTGAAACTCCGTCTCAGAAACCAAAAAAAAAAAAGTTATTTTGGAGAGATGGAGTCTTGCTCTGTCATCCAGGCTGGAGTGCAGTGGTGCCGTCAGAGATTGCTGTAGCCTTGAACCCCAGCCCCAGCCATAGACAAACCATCTCCGGAGCGCTTGGCTAGAGATTCCCTTTCCTAGGGAATCATAGGTTGGTCTGATAAACACCTAATTAGAAAGTTTTCTGGTTTTCTTTCCCCATAATCAGAGGAAAGGAGTAGGTGCCTAGTCCACCTGGGGGCCAATGATAGTTGTTTCTGTCCGCCTATCCATGGTGCTGTCTCTGCCATCTAGTAACCGGGATGCTGGCGTTGAGTCCAATCATTTCAGTAAAAGTCTCTCGCTGCTCTGTTCCCTTCTTTACATCCTGTAAGTGGACCTGCCTTAGACATCCAGTTTTTCTATTTATGCCCACTGCTTTTGAGATGACATAAGTTGGGGGGAAAGCTGGGTTTTACAGTCAACTCAGCTATTTTCCTGTACATCACCTTCTCGGATAAAAAGCACTTCCCTTCTGGGTGCAGTGGCTCACGTCTTTAATCCCAGCACTTTGGGAGGCTGAGGTGGGTGGATCACTTGAGGCCAGGAGTTTGAGACCAGCCTGGCCAACATGGTGAAAACCTGTCTCTACTAAAAATACAAACATTAGCCGGGCACGGTGGTGCATGCCTGTAATCCCAGCTACTCGGGAGGCTGAGGCAGAAGAATCGCTTGAACCTAGGAGGCGGAGGCTGCAGTGAGCTGAGATTGTGCCACTGCACTCCAGCCTGGGTGACAGAGCAAGACTCCATCTCAAAAAAAAAAAAAAAAAAAAAAAAAAAAGCACATCCCTAATTATGGCTCCTAACCACAGGAGTTATTGGGGCTAGGAAGTTCCAAGGGACAACTATGAAACAAGATGTGAAGCAGGATTTTTCCCATCAGACTGGAATTGTGGCTGAGGCTGAAAGCTGAGGACAAGAGTTGCTAATACCATGAGAAGTTGCTAATAACTGGGAACTAGAAGCATTCCTCGCAGCTTACCAAGAAGTGGAAGAACGGGCTCTGCTACCATCACCCTCCTCACCGTGGATTCTATTAGAGAATACCTGGGTGGGCCTCCGGGCTCAGAATGAGGGGAGAATCTCTCCCCATCCACCAAGGAAAGAAATGCTTCCCTTCCGTGAACCCCAGTGAAGATAAGGTGCTTCTCAGAGAATAGTTTACAGGAAATGAGGGTGCCCACAAGAGGCTGTTGTTTGGGCATCTCATTTCCCGGTTGGACATTGACTTAAGCCACAGATTTACTTGCTGACAGCCCCTGTGCTGGTGTGAGCAGGGACAAGGGAGTTGGGAAGAGGTGGCTGGACTCCAGGAAGGGGTTAGGCAAGGAGCAGCCACAGTCCCAGCACTGGAAATGGAAGGTAGCACCGCCGCCACCCACACAGAGTCAGTTTTGTGAGGGGTGGCTTTGCGGTGCCAACTCAGCTAGGCTGAACTAGACTCCTGTCATTCCCTTTCTTATATGTTTCTGGTTAGGGTTGGCCACAGGAGGAATTTGCATGAGATTTGGATGATGGAAACTCAGCAGCACCTGTGTTTTTGTCTCAGAAGGCCCAGGTGGGTCAGGTTTTAGCGGATGCAATGGGTCCATTGTTGGTGTGGGAAGCAATCTGGCCTAAAGCCCCAGCTCCCATGGGATCACTTCCTTCAGCTTTTCTGAATCCCGAGCCAGGTGCAAGTATGGCTCTGGGCAAGACAGCAGCTTCTCCTGCAGATAGTCTGCGGGCCCGGAGTTGGAGGCTCTGAGATGGGAAGGGGCTGACATGGACGCCAGTGAGAGACAGACAGAAGTCCAGCTGCCTGCCTCTCTCCCAATTTGTGTTCCCCTTTCTTCCCAGCCCCTGCCCTGTGACTTCCAGCTTGGCGCCAGGCACAGGAGAAACAGCTGGACTGAGACGGCTTTATGGCTCTCTGGAGTTGAATCCCTACAAGAAATATCTTGTTCTATCTACATCACACTTAGCAGTTCTGCTTCTTGGACTCAGTGCTGATTGATACTTCTAGGTTACGTGGAGAAACTTGGTACAGTAATAAGAACACAGTCAGATACATGTTCTAATTTCATCTGTTTGGCTGGGCGTGGTGGCTCATGCCTGTAATCCCAGCACTTTGGGAGGCCGAAGCAGGAGGATCACTTGTGTCCAGGAGTTTGAGACCACCCCGGGCAACATAGTGAGCCATCTCCACAAATTTTTTTTTTTTTTTTTGAGGCAGTCTTGCTCTGTCACACAGGCTGGAGTGAAATGGTGCAATCTTGGCTTACTGCAACCTCCACCTCTTGGGTTCAAGTGATTCTCCTGCCTCAGCCTCCCAAGCAGCTGGGATTACAGGCGTGTGCCACCATGCCCAGCTAACTTTTTTTTTGTATTTTTAGTAGAGATGGGGTTTTGCCTCCAGGCTGATCTCGAATTCCTGACCTCAGGTGATCCACCCGCCTTGGCCTCCCAAAATGCTGGGATTGCAGGTGTGAGCCACCACGCCCAGCTCACAAAACATTTTTTAAAATTAGCTGGGTGTGGTGGCATGTGCCTGTAGTCCCAGCAACTTGGGAGGCTAAAGCAGAAGGATAGCTTGAGCCTGGAAGGTTGAGGCTGCTGTGAGCCAAAATCATATCACTGCACTCAGCCTGCACAACAGAGTGAGATGCTATCTCAGAAGAAAAGAGAGAGAGAGAGAGAAAGAAACAATTTCATCCGTTCATCTTTTCAGCTAATTTGCTGTGTGACCTTGGGCATGTCACTTTGCCCACCAAGTCCCAGTTTCATCACTGGTTTAAATAAAGGAGGGTTGGATTAGGTGGTCTGTAAAGATGTTCCCGGATTTAAACATACAAGCAGACACATGATACTAAAGTTTATATTTAAGAGTTTCTGAACTCTTGAAAAGCAGTTGTGAAAATTATGCCCTAACAAAACTATTGCCTACTGGCTAATTCCAAACTTTATAACAATTTTCCCGCTGCTCAGTTATGGTCAACACTTTTTCAGGTGTGGGCAAAACTCACAATTCCTCATTCTCTGGGAACTGCCACCAGGTGCACTGGGGTAGGGCCCTGGCAGCCATGCTGATATTACAGGATACCCTCTGCTCTTGCCTATTGCTGACTGGACCAGAGGCGAACACCTGCTCCAAGGTGGCCTCAGGTCCTCTCCCCTGGGAAATTGAGAATTGGGACCAGGAAGCTGCTCAGTTTGTCCAGGCTGGTGCCTCAACCTCTGGAAACACTGGAGTGGCCAGAGAAGCAGAGAAAGTGTGTCTGAATTGAGAAAGAGAGAAGAATGAAGCACATGCTTCAGAGAAAAGCAAAGACAAGAGCTAGAGAGAAAAAAAAATCCTACCCATTTCTATCCGCATTACTGCCCCTTGTTTCCTTGAGAGGATCTGATTTTATTCCTTCCTTTCTGTTTATGTGAGCCCAGGTTCACCTGTATTACTTGTCTCTAAAGAACTTTGATAAGCCAATAGGAAGATCTATTTTTCTTGATAAAAACTGGCTAAAATTTGATTTGGGGGGAAACACGGTCTCACTCTGCTCCCCAGGCTGGAACCCAGTGGCACAATCACAGCTCACTGCAGCCTCGACCTCGCAGGATTCAGGCAATTCTTCCACCTCAGCCTTCTGAGTAGCAGAGACCACAGACATGTGCCACCACATCTGGCTAATTTTTTAATTTTTTGTAGAAACGGGGTATCCAGGCTGGCCTCGAACTCCTGGGCTCAAGCGATCCACCCACTTTGGCCTCCCAAAGTACTAGGATTACAGGTGTGAGCCACCTCGCCCTGCCTGATTTTATTTATTTATTTATTTATTTGAGACAGGGTCTCACTCTGTCACCCAGGATGGAGTGCAGTGGCACGATCTCAGCTCACTGCAACCTCCGCCTCCTAGGTTCAAACGATTCTCGTGCCTCAGCCTCCCAAGTAGCTGGGATTACAGGTGCACGCCACCATGCCCAGCTCATTTTTTTTTTTTTTTTTTTTTTTGGTATTTTTAGTAGCAGCAGGGTTTCACCATGTTGGCCCAGCTAGTCTTGAACTCCTGACCTCAAACGATCTGCCCGTCTCAGCCTCCCAAAGTGCTGGGATTACAGGCTTGAGCCACCACACCCAGCCTCTGATTTTTTTACTATTGTGCTTCTTCATCCAAAACAGAAATTCTGGTTTTGAAAAAATAGCCTAGCTCTGTTAAAAAGTGGACATTCTTGGGCTGCTGATAATATTATATTTGATGGCAATAGTGACAATGACTTCCACTGTCAGTCTTGTTCTCTCTTTCTATGGCAAACAAGAATTAACCTTCCAACTGAACACTCTCACACAAAAGTTTACTGAGTTGCCAATGGTCCCATATTGGAGCACTGGGCCTGGCTTATAAAGGTAGGGTTCAAGTCCCACTTCTGCCATTTACTGTGTGTGTGCCCTTGGAAAAGTGTGCAAACTCTCTGACCCTCAAATATGTCATCTATTTGTGTTAGTCCATTTTGCATTGCTATAAAGGGGAATAACTGAGGTTAATGCATGAAGAAAAGAGGTTTATTTGGCTCATGGTTCTGCGGGCTGTATAAGCATGGTGCCAGCATGTGCGTCTGGTGAGGGCCTCAGGTGCTTGTACTCATGGTGAAAGGTGAAGGGGGAGCAAGCACAGGGAGCAAGAGAGGAAGGAAAAGGTGCCAAGCTCTTTTTTTTTCCTTGAGACGGAGTTTCGCTCTTGTTGCCCAGGCTGGAGTGCAATGGTGTGATCTCAGCTCACTGAAACCTCCACCTCCCGGGTTCAAGCAATTCTCTTGTCTCAGCCTGCCAAGTAGCCGGGATCACAGGCATGCGCCACCACACCCGGCTAATTTTGTATTTTTAGTAGAGATGGGGTTTCACCATGTTGGCCAGGCTGGTCTCAAACTCCTGACCCTCAGGTGATCCGCCCACCTCAGCCTCTCAAAGTGCTGGGATTACAGGCATGAGCCACTGCACCCGGCCTGGTGCCAGGATCTTTTAAGCAACCAGCTCTCACGTGAACTGATAGAGTGAGCACTTACTCATTACTGCAAGGACAGCCCCAAGACATTCATGAGGGATCTGCCCCCATGATCCCAACACCTCCCACCAGGCCCCACCTCCAACACTGGGGATCACATTTCAACATGAGATTTGAAGGGGACAGACATGAAGCTATATCACTATTAAATAGGGACAATGCCTTCCACACAAAGTTATTGTAACATTTACATTAATTGCTATATGTAAGAAGTGTTTTATAAACCACAAAGCTCTTTACACACATGAATTCTGGATACTGAATATTTGAGTGTGTTGAAATATAGTAGAAAAAACCACAAACAATAGGAGGAAGAGAAAGGAATTATTGTCAGACAATGGACTTCCAAGTGGAGGGCCAAAACCCCAATGGAAAATTCCTTTTTTTGCCCCAATTAATCTAAAATAAGAGTAACAGAAATAACATAGAAATGAGCTCTTCAAGTCTACACTAAGGTAGAACTTCTCTACCAAGAATGTTTTTTAAACATTTTCTTACATTTCTGTGGGTACGTAGTAGGTGTATACATTTATGGGGTACATGAGATGTTTTGATACAGCACACAATGTGAAATAATCACATGAGACAGAATGAGGTATCCATCCCCTCAAGCTTTTATCCTTTGTGTTACAAACAATCCAATTGCACTGTTAGTTATTTTAAAATGTACAATTAAGTTATTACTGACTACAGTCACCCTGTTGTGTCTACCAAGAATGTTGTTCTGTATAAGAATGTGGTTCTTTCCCTCAAGCCAATTGTGTGAACATGGGCTTGAACAGAAACTCTAACAGAGACTCAAAAATGTGTTTTGTTTTGTTTTGTTTTGTTTTGTTTTGTTTTGTTTTGTTTTGTTTGAGAAAGAGTCTCATTCTGTCACTGAGGCTGGAGTACAGTGGTGCAATCTTGGCTCACTGCAACCTCCACCTCCTGGGTTCAAGCAATTCTCCTGCCTCAGCCTCCCAAGTAGCTGGGGTTACAGGTGTGCACCGCCACACTCAGCTAATTTTTGTATTTTTTAGTAGAGACGTGGTTTCATCATGTTGGCCAGGCTGGTCTCAAACTCCTGACCTCGGGTGATCCACCCGCCTAGGCCTCCCTAAGTGCTGGGATTACGGGTATGAGCCACCACACCCAGCCCTCAAAAACGTGTTTTTATAACTTTAGCTCAATGAGATGTGGCATATCATCTATATATACAAACACTTCTGTGAATGTTCATAATTCCCCATATAGAGTACAGACCTACTAGAATCATAAGGATTCCAAAGTGAGAGCCTCACCAGGGAATCCACTGGGAATTCTGACGTGTCCAGGCATGGCTACAGAGCCACAATGTGAGATCACCCAGGATCATCCAGGATCTATTTACATGAAGAACTGAGATGCCACAAGTAGGAGACAATGATGGGAAATGCTGGGACAGAGAGTGCATCCCCCAAGAATAAGCTCATCTGCCTTTGGGGTAACAGGGAGATCTGTTACCTGCTCTTTGCTCCTGATATGTGTGCCTGAGAGGAAGAGGGACTAGATGCACAATACCCTGTGTCTGGAGACATAGTTTTGGGTGCAAGGAGGTCTAGTTTCCCACGGCACCAATATGCTGCATTGGTGTCATCCAGATGCCCTCAGTATCCCTCTCTTGTGACCAAGAACTAAGAAAACGGCTGTATTCCTAGAGTCTGTGGGGGCCAAGTAAGATAGTGTAAGGAGATGCGGGTGGAAGTCATTACCTCCCTGCTTCAATATGGTATCTGTCTATTAAAAGCCAATAAGGGGCCGGGCACAGTGGCTCATGCCTGTAATCCCAGCACTTTGGGAGGCGAGGCTGGTGGATCACCTGAGGTCAGGAGCTTGAGACCAGCCTGGCCAACATGGTGAAACCTCATCTATACTAAAAATATAAAAATTAGGTGGGTGTGGTGGGATGTGCCTGTAATCCCAGCTACTCGGGAGGCTGAGGCAGGAGAATCACTTGAACCCAGGAGGCAGAGGTTGCAGTGAGCCAAGATCGTACCACTGCACTCCAGCCTGGGGGAAAGACGGAGACTCTGTTTCACACACACACACACACACACACACACACACAAAGCCTGGGGGAAAGACGGAGACTCTGTTTCACACACACACACACACACACACACACACACACACACACACAAAGCCTGGGGGAAAGACGGAGACTGTTTCACACACACACACACACACACACACACAAACACACACACACAAAAAGCCAATAAGGCCCATGAAAACAATAGATGTATTGGAAGCAGCACCTGTCTACCATGACATGGGCCAGCTGACCTCTCCAGCTCACATCCCTCATCACCCCTCACTCTGTTTACCTGTCCCATGCCTGTGGCAACTTTCTTTCCATCCAGAAATGAAGCTGTTTACACCCTCTAAAAAAACTCCTGTGACTCAACTCAAATGCAGACGTCTGTATTCTCTATGTCACCGCATCCTGGTGTGCCACGACCCCCTCACAAAGATGATGCAGCCTTAACAGGGCAGAGAGAGTGATCTTCTATTTAATTTTAACTTTTCTAGAGAAGGGATCTTGCTATGTTGCCCAGGTTGGCCTCGAACTCCTGGCCTCAAGCAATCCTTCCTTGGCCTTTCAAAGTGCTAAAATTGCAGGCATGAACCACCACACCCAGCCAGAGCAATCCTTTAAAGTGTGTCATGTCACCTCTCTGCCCAAAACACTCTACTGCTCCCTGTCCTACTCAGAGGAGAAGCCCCAGCCACCTCCTTGTCTTCATCTGTCTTTATTTCTACCTTCAGCATCAGATCCAGGTTTTGTGGAGCCCAAAGCTTATAAAATGGAGAGCTTTTTAAGAGGTACCATCCAAAATAATGTATGAAATTGAATATTTATTACAATCAGAAAATAGAACAGACGAAAAGTCTCCCTGTATTCATCAGGGTTCTCCAGAGGGACAGAACCAATAGGGCAGATATGCAACGTAGGTAAATAAGGGGGATTTATTAGGGGAATTTGCTGACATGATTATAGAGGCTGAGAAGTCCCATGACAGGTATCTGCAAGCTGGAGACCTTGGGATGCTGGTAGCATGGCTCAGTGCAAGTCCAAAGACCTCAGAACCCAAGGGGCCACTGGTGTAAGTCCTGAAGCCAGAAAGCCTGAGGTCCAAGGGCAGGAGCAAGGGGGTGTATCCCAGCTCCAGGAAAGAGAGCAACCAATTTGCCCTTCCTTTGTTTTTGTTCTATCCAGGCCTCTAGCCAATTGGATGGCGTCTGCCCACATTGAGGGTGGATCTTCCCCACTGAGTCCACTCAGGCTCACACGCCAAACTCCTCTGGAAACACCCTCAAAGACACACACCCAAATAATGGAGTATTAGTCTGTTTTCATGCCACTGATAAAGACATACCCAAGACTGGGCAATTTACAAAAGAAAGAGGTTTAATGACTTACAGTTCCACGTGTCTGGGGAGGCCTCACAATCATGGTGGAAGGCAAGGAGGAGCAAGTCACATCTTCTGTGGATGGCAGCAGGCAAAGAGAGAGCCTGTGCAGAGAAACTCCCATCTTCAAAACCATCAGATCTCATGAGACCCATTCACTATCACGAGAAGAGCGCAGGAAAGACCTGCCCCCATTATTCAATCATCGCCCACTGCCTCCCTCCCACAACACGTGGGAATTATGGGAGCTATAAGATGAGATTTGGGTGGAAACACAGAGTCAGACCATATCAACTGCTTTACCAGTTATTAAGGTATTCCTTAATTTAGCTAGGTTGACACCTAAAATTAACCATCACTCCCCAACTCAACTTCCTCTTAGTTGGATCCAGAAAATGTCAAATGCCAAATGTCCAACACCATCCAACTCAGGGGATGTGCAACAGAGGGGAAGTGGTAGTGGAAGGAGACAGCAGTCCCAATCATTTGCAGTTGAAATATCTTATTTCTGCAAAGTTTGCAAAATATATGACCACAGGAGTGCATTGCTAGGGCTCTCTCAGGGCTTGGAGGGCACCGTGCAAGTGACGTGTCCTAAAACTTTGCAGTGAATCCACCTTTCTCTACTTCCTTTTCTATTTTCTCTTCTCCCTAGCCATGTTGGCTTCCTCTGTAGGAAAATGCCAAGTCTGTTCCCTTCCCAAGGCTTTGGCTTTGCTGATCTCTCAGCCCACAATTCCTTTCTCTAAGATATCTGAATATTTCCCTTCCTCATTCCCTTCTGGTCCCTGCTCAAATATCACTGTGTCAGAGAGTCCTTCCCAGACATCCTACATGAAAAATTACCCCCACCACTCTCCACCCCTCTTGCCCTGACACATTCCTCCACCTGGTACATGTCAGCACCTGATAGGACTTCTAGCTATTTGCTGTTTTTCCTCACTAGAATGTGAGGTAGGCAGACTTATCTATTTGACTCATTAATTTATCTCCTGCACCTGTAACAATGCCTGGCCTATAGTAGATGATTGGTAAATACTCATTGAATCAATAAACGTCAATGTTTTATTCACTGCAGGTGTTACTTTGGAAATACTTATTGACAGGCCTTGGTTGGATGGTGTAATTCTGGGGAGCAGGGGGCTTATTTCTCCTTTCATTTATAAATTCACCAAATCTTCTGAGCACCTCATGTTAGGCAGTGGATAGGCAATGATAACAAAAATGGTCCTGACCCCAGCGTCAGGGAATCTGCAGCATATACTACAAAAAGTAGATTTTGGCTGAGCGCAGTGGCTCACATCTGTAATCCCAGTACTTTGGGAGGCTGAGGCAGGCGGATCACTGGAGGCCAGGAGTTTGAGACCAGCTTGGCCAACATGGTAAAACCCCATCTCTACTAAAAATACAAAAATTAGCCAGGCATGGTGGTGCATACCTGTAATCCCAGCTACTTGGGAGGCTGAGGCAGGAGAATTGCTTGAACTCGGCAGGTGGAGGTTGTAGAGAGCCGAGATGGCGCTGCTGTACTCCAGCCTGGGTAACAGAGTGAGACTTTGCCTCAAAAAAAATAGTAGATTTTGATACAAATGTTCATGGGAGGCGGGGTATGCTGAAGATAGAGTCTGAAAGCACTGTGGGAAGCATGGGCTCTTAACAAGAGCAATACTAATAGCTGACATTTATTTTGCACTTCCTATGTGCCAGGCACTGTTACCTGAAAGCAACTCTGTGAGGTGGATAACGCTACGATCCTCATTTACAGATGAGGAAAGGAGGCACAGGGAGGTTATACACCTCGCCCAGGGTCACGCAAATAGTACCTGGCAGAAACAGGATGTGAACAGAGGCAACTTGCTTCTAGAGCCATGCTCTTAGCATTTGGCTATAGAAGGTTTGAGAACCACCCCATCCCCCTCACCTTGTAGATGAAGATCACAACTTTCTTCTTTCCATCTCCAGCATCCTACGCCTGTATGTTAGCTGGGTTGAGCTGACACTCCAACCCTCTGCAGAGTTTACAAGCTCCGGTACTGCCCCCTCCATGCTACTCAGTTACCCATGGCCTTGATATTTGTCATAATCACTGATATTAGTTCAGTAGTTAATCAGTTCACAAAGCATTCTCACATGCCTTATGTATTAGTCTGTTTTCATGCTGCTGATAAAGACATACCCAAGACTGGGCAATTTACAAAAGAAAGAGGTTTAATGACTTACAGTTCCACATGGCTGGAGAGGCCTCACAATCATGGCGGAAGGCAAGGAGGAGCAAGTCACATCTTATGTGGATGGCAGCAGCAAAGATAATGGGCAGGGAAACTCCCCCTTGTAATACCATCGGATCTCATGAGACTTATTTGCTTTCATTAGAACAGCACGGGAAAGACCTGCCCCCATGATTCATTACCTCCCACCAGGTCCCTTCCACAACACATGGGAATTCAAGATGAGATTTGGGTAAGGACACAGCCAAACCATATCACCTTATCACACTTAATGTTTATAGTCATACTAATTGGTAGGTATCAGGATGCCCATTTTACATGAGAAGAAATTGAGAGGATGGGAGAAGGACATTGCCAAGGATGTTGCCTTAGAAGGAGTGGGACCTGGCCAGGTGCAGTGGCTCACACCTGTAATCCCAGCACTCTGGGAGGCCAAGGCGGCCAGATTGCCTGAGGTCAGGAGTTCAAGACCAGCCTGGCCAACATGGTGAAACCCCGTCTCTCCTGAAAATACAAAAAATTAGCAAATTAGCTGGGCGCTATGGTGGGCGTCTGTAATCCCAGCTACTCGGGAGGCCGAGGCAGGAGAAACGCTTGAACCCGGGAGGCAGAGGTTGCAGTGAGCCGAGACTATGCCACTGCACTCCAGCCTGGGCAACAACAGTGAGACTTCATCTCAAAGGAAAAAAAAAAAAGGAGTGGGACCTTTGGAGTAGCCTCATTGGGATTTCTGGTCACAGGCTTGGACTTCACTAGATCTGAAGTCTTGAGCAAGTTCCTCTGCCAGGGAGAGATGGCCAATGCAGGGTTTTTTTCCTAAGCCCAGCCTTGTTACTTTAAGCAGGTTTCTCACCCTTGGCACTCCTGACATTTGTAGGGGGCTATCCTGTGCGCTGTAGGACATATATTAGCATCCCTGGCTTCTACCCACTAGAGGCCAATAGCACCCCCTCTTCCAGTTCTAACAACTAGAAATGTCTCCAGACATTGGCAAATGTCCCCCTAAGGATAAAATTGCTCCTGATTGAGAATCACTGCCTTAAAGACAGGCCAGGGAGGCCAAGAGTCATTGAAGCTCATCCCTAAGGATGTGGGCGTATATCAAGATAGAGCCACCGGGTCTTCCTAGCCTTGCAGCTGATCAAAGCCTTCCTGATCTGCCAGACAGGAATCTACACTTTGCATTTAGCAAGTGTCTTATTATTTAATATTATAAATCTTGTTTTTGTTTGTTTCGTTTTGTTTTTGAGATGGTCTCGCTTTCTAGCCCAGGCAGGTGTGCAGTTGTACAATCTTGGCTCACTGCAGCCTTCGCCTTCAAGTGATTCTCGTGCCTCAGCCTCCCAAGTAGCTGGGATGACAGGTGTGTGCCACCATGCCCAGCTAATTTTTGTGTTTTTAGTAGCGATAGGGTTTTACCATGTTGGCCAGGCTGGTCTCAAACTCCTGACCTCAGGTGATCCGCCCACCTCGGCCTCCCAAAGCGCTGGGATTACAGGCGTGAACCACCATGCCTGATCTTAACATTATAAATCTTTATACTGGGTTCTGCCACCGTTCACCTCATCAGGTGTTGCTGGTATACAGTGATGAGCCTTTCACTGCAGCTGGGAGTGAGGTAAGGGGCGGACCCAGGCATGGAGTTTACAGAGCCAGCGACAGGCTGAAAGGTCTGGCTGATCAGGTGGTTCCAGGGATCATCTGGCCGCGTAGGCCGGTGGATTGGGCCCTAGCAAAGCCCTGTGTGCCTGCTTGAATATTTAATTTTGAGACCTGGGTTCTAGCCATATTTTAGCCATCTGGCTCTGGTGTGGCCTTCATAAAGTCCTAGTTTGCTCCTCCCTAACTTAGGGTCAACTGTACCTGCCGTACTTGCTCAGTTGAGATGAAGCAGGCAGAGGCTCTTTTAAACTGTGTTGCATGTCAGCTATTAATATGAAAAGTATCTGCCCTTCTCCTACAGGCCTACTGACTGTTGCCAGAAACTGAAACATCAGAACATTTCTTGGGGGTTCAGGTATGGTCTGGAACTAATCTGAAATCTGTGCTAGCTTCCTGGAGCTCTGGCCCAGCCTTTCTGAATTTGCTCCCATTCAGGCCTGCCTGTATTAGCTGGCTTGTCTACCTACCTACAGGTTTCCCAGGAACAAAGTCCATGTGAGCTGCAGACCATCTGGAAGAGGGCCAGTAAAATCTGGAACCAGGACTGGCTCCTGGAGTCTCCTGCCAGCCACAAACAGCCCTGGTGACTGGAAGACTGTAGATAGCCCTTACCAGCTTTACTTTAAACAGCAGCTGGGGAAACTAAGGGAATGATGCTGTCCACTTGTGAATTAGCACACGTGGCATGGACTTTATAGTATTGCCTGTAGTTTCTGTAACACTGAATTAACGAGAAATAGTTTAGCTGGGTGCAGCAGCTCATGCCTGAAATCCTAGCACTTTGGGAGGCCAAAGTAGATGGATCGCTTGAGCCCAGGAGTTCAAGACCAGCCTGGGCAACATGGTGAAACCCTGTCTCTAGGAAAAATACAAAAATTAGTCAGGCATGGTAGCGTGTGCCTGTAGTCCCAGTTACTTAGGAGGCTGAGGTGGGAAGATGTCCTGAGGTTGGGAGGTCAATGCTGCAGTGAGCTGAGATTATACCACTGCACTCCAGCCTGGGCAACAGAACAAGACCCTGTCTCAAATTTTTTTTTAAAAGGCAAGAAATGATTTGAAATACACTTCTCTTCTTTCTATATTTTATATGGATGTTAAATTACCACTTTAAATCTGTGTTTTTAGAAATAGTCAAAAAAAAATCTGCCCTTTCTGATGGAGGTTCATTTTTTTTAACGTAGAAAATGTCAAGATTTCCTAAATATACCATTTGCAAATAGCTGGAGATGTCACATTCAGTGTGTAAATTTCTGTTAAATTTTTGTTTGTTTTGTATTACTATTGTTTTTTGTAAAGACAGGGTTTTGCCATGTTGCCCAGGCTGGTCTCAAATTCCTGAGCTCAAGTGATCTGCACACCTCGGCCTCCCAAAGTGCTGGGAATTTTTGTTAAATTTTTTAAGTTAATTTTTAAATTTAATGTTTGCTTCTTTCCTATCCACCACTGTGCACAGTATCACCAGAGTCAGAATCCTCTGTAGTTCAATATCTCTGGAAACAAAACCTGTCAACTCCAATGGTTTTCAACAAAGTTTCTTCAAGGAAATTTCCTTCCAATTATAGAGAAAATTTAAATTCTCGACATCAGTGATGAAAGGGGTAGACCAAGCAAGTGGAAGAAAGGCTATGGGGTGTGAATCTTCCCTGTGGACTTTCAAAATTGTTGATTAAAAAACAACAACAACAACAACAACAAAACAAAACAAAAAAACAAGCAGAATTGGTTGAAATAGAAATTTTCTAAATTAAAAATTGACAAAGATATTAACAGCACTAGTCAATTTTAAGCTAGTTTTGTTAACAAATTTTGACTTTTGTTGTTGTTGTAGTTGTAGATACAGGATCTCAATATGTTGCCTAGGCTGGACTTAAACTTCTGGCCTCAAGTGATCTTTTTGCTTTGGCCTCCCAAATGCTGGGATTACAGGTATAAGCCACCATGTCTGGCCTGACCTATTTGTTTAACCAAAATGTCTGCTTCCATGAACTACTTCTTGTTCTTCAAATAATACTTAGTCCCTTTTCTGCTGCTATAACAGAATATCGCAGACTGGGTGGTTTACAAAGAATAAAAATTTATTTGGCTTACGGTTCTGGAGACTGGAAAGTCCAAAAGCATGGCACTGGCATCTGGTGAGGGCCATCCCATGGTGAAAAGCAGAAGGCAGAATTGAGCATGTGAGACAGAGAATTGGGGCCAAACTTATCTTTTTATCAGAAGCCCACTCCTGAGATAACTTACCCACTCCCATGATAACAGCATTAATCCACTCATGATCTAATCACCATGTAAAGGTGTCACCTCTAAATACTGTTACAATGGCAATTAATTTTATTTAAAAAAAATAGAGACAGGTCTTGCTATATTACCCACGTGGGTCTCCAACTCCTGGGCTCAAGCAATCCTCCTGTCTCAGCCTCCCAATGTGCTGAGATTACAGGAGTGAGCCATTGCATCCAGCTGGCAATTAATTTTCAACATGAGTTTTGGCAGGGACATTCAAACCACAGCAAATACGCAATTCATGATTCATTCCATTTAATGCTTTACTCCCTAGTTATTTATTGATTCTCCTCAGGGTCCCTGGCAAACAGTGAGAGACTTCATCTTTGGCCTCCTTGACCTCTGCTAATTCGTTCATTTAACAAACATTTGTTGAGATCCTGCTGTGCTTCAGACAATATACAAGCAATGTGGATACAGACCAGGAAGAGCTCATAATAAACGGTGAACCGCAAATAGTACATAGGTAAGAGCTATGACTGAGAATTATGTATGAAATATTGTGTGACTACAGCTGAGAAACCGTAGAACTTCCAGTGAGAGCATGAGTCAGCTTGGCTAACGTGACAGCTGAGGTATTTTAAAATCACTTTAGCCCATATCATCTGGCTCACTCATCTTCTCCACTACATGCAAAGGAAAATAAAACCTATTGTGTTTTCCCATTCAAATGAAAATATAGGTTGAAGTTCTCTCCTGAGTTGTCATCTTTTTTCTACCCATGTTTTCCCAGAAGATTGTGATACAGTGAAAGGTCACAGAATTTGGAATCAAAATTAGAATTTTCTGCCACTTAGTTGCTATGACCTTTTGACAAGTTACTTGACTTCTGTGGATCTTAGAGTCTTCGTCTGTTAAAACAGGAGTCCCCAACCCCTGGGCCGTGGACTGGTGCTGGTCCATGGCCTGTTAAGAACTGGGCCACACAGGAAGAGGTAAGTGGCAAGCAAGAGAAGTTTCATCTGTATTTATAGCTGCTCCCCATCACTTACATTACCGCCTGAGCTCCATCCACCTCCTGTCAGATCAGTGGTAGCATTCAATTATCATAGGAACATGAACCCTATTGTGAACTGCACATGGAAGGGATCTAGTTTACACACCTCTTATGAGTATCTAATGCTGGATGATCTGTCACTGGATGATGTCTCCCATCATCCCCAGATGGGACTGTCTAGTTACAGGAAAGCAAGCTCAGGGCTCTCACTGTTTCTACATTATGGTGAGTTGTATAATTATTATATGTTCCAATGTAATAATGTTATAAATAAAGTGCACAATAAATGTAATGTGCTTGAATCATCCTGCAACCATCCTCGCCACCCCCAGTCCATGGAAAAATTGTCTTCCATGAAATGGATCCCTGGTGCCAAATATGCTGGGGACTGCTGGGTTAAAAGAGATGACAGATGCCAGGTGCGATGCTTCACACCTGTAATCCCAGCACTTTGGGAGGCTAAGGCGGGCAGATTACAAGGTCAGGAGATCGAGACCATCCTGGCTAACATGGTGAAACCCCATCTCTACTAAAAATGCAAAAGAATAGCCGGGCGTGGTGGCGGGCACCTGTAGTCCCAGCTACTCAGGAGGCTGAGGCAGGAGAATGGCGTGAACCCGGGAGGCGGAGCTTGCAGTGAGCCAAGATTGCGCCACTGCACTCCAGCCTGGGTGACAGAGCGAGACTTCGTCTCAAAAAAAAAAAAAAAAAAAAAAAAAGAGATGACAATAGGCTGGGCATGGTGACTCAGCCTGTAACCCCAGCACTTTGGGAGGCCAAGGCAGGGGGGATCACTTGAGGCCAGGAGTTCGAGACCAGCCTGGCCAACATGGCAAAACCCCGTCTCTACTAAAAATACAAAAATTAGCTGGGCATGGTGGTGCATGCCTGTAATTCTAGCTACTCAGGAGGCTGAGGCAGGAGAATCGCTTGAACCCAGGAGGTTATAGGTTGCAGTGAGCTGAGATCATGTCACTGCACTCCAGCCTGGGCAATAGAGCAAGACTTCGTCTAAAAAAAAAAAAAAGAAATAGCAACTATGTGGCAGGCTGCTGTCAGTATTAGCAATGATGTATACAAAATTATAGACTGTTGTACTGATGGCTCCCTACTGATATTCCTGGTATTCATGCCCTTGGGTAGCCTCCTCCCATACTGACTCTGGACTTGGTTATATGACTTGTTGGCTAATGAGACATAACTGTGACCCAGGCAGAAGCTAAATAAATATTTGCACATTCAGCCTGGCCAACATGGCGAAACCCCGTCTCTACTAAAAATGCAAAAATTAGCTGGGCGTGGTGGCCAGGCATCTGCAGTCCCAGCTACTTGGGAGGCTGAGGCAGGAGAATCGCTTGAACCCAGGAGACGGAGGTTGCAGTGAGCCGAGATCGCACCACTGCACTCCAGCCTGGGTGACAGAGTCAGACTCTGTCTCAAGAAAAAAAAAAAAAAAAAATGTGCACATTGAGGCTTACACTCTTGGAACTCAGATGCCATGTAAAGACATTTGGGCTACCCTACATAAAGAGAGGGGCCCCCGTCTTCCAGCTGTCCCCACCAAGTGAGGCCCTCTGGGACCTTCTAGCTCCAGCCAATCCACCAGCTGAATGCAGCTTCTTCAGTGAGCCCAGACAAGACCAGAACCACACAGCCAGACCACAAAATCATGAGAAATTACTGTTTTGTTTCAAGCCACTACATTGTAGGATGGCTTGTTAAGCAAGAATACATAATGGACACACCAATATTTTAAAAATACTCACATATACCTACTATGAGCCAAGCACTATGCTAGGCTTTAGGGAGACAGCCGTGAACAAGACCAGCAAGGGCCTCCCTCTCATGGAGCTCACATTCTAGTGGGGAAGACAGACCAGAAAAATCAAATGATTGTGCTTTTTTTGGTGTACTATAAAGGACAAGGTTTATGAGCTGAAGCAGAGAATAACAGGGAATAGCAGTTGCTTTTGATAAGGCGATCAGGGAAAACCTCTCTGAGATTAAATTCAAGCAGAAACTTACAACATGAGAAGAAAGTAGCCAGGGAAAGTCATAGACTAGGTCTCAATAAATCACAGCTATTACTAGTAACATATAAAATTATTGATATTTATTATTTGTATACTTGGTATACAGAAGACATATATATATATATATAATCGTCATATATCTATAATCCATATATCTATATACTCCATATATCTATACACTCCATATATCTATATATACTCCATATATCTATATATATAGATATATATAGTTTCCTGCCCTTTCCCTTCCCCTATGTCACCAGTCAGGGTCCAATTAGAAAAATAAAAATCACCAGAAGGATTGTATTATCCTGTTCTCACACTGCTATAAATAAATGCCTGAGACTGGGTAATTTATAAAGGAAAGAGGTTTAATTGACTCACAGTTCCACAGTGCTGGGGAGGCCTCAGGAAACTTACAACCACGATGGAAGGCGAAGGGGAGGCAAGGACCTTCTTCACAAGGCGGCAGGAGAGAGAAGTGAGAGTGTAGGACAAAAACTGCCACTTTTGAAAACCATCAGATCTTGTGAGACTCACTCACTATCGCTAGAACAGCATAATCCAATCACTTCTCTCCCTCAACACGTGGGGATTACAGGGCCCTTCCTCAACATGTGGGGTTTACAATTCGAGGTTTTGAGATGAGATTTGGGTAAGGACACAGATCCAAACCTTATCAGGGATTTAATATAGAGGATTTGTTTCAGGTGTCAGAAAGCTGAAAGAGCAGAAAGCAATGCTGAGGTAGCCTAGAGGGCTACAGAGAGCAACTAATTCTTGTAGTGCTGGAATAACTAAAGGGAAGAGGTTGGGAGTCACCAGTACCGAGAAACTTGGAGGAGGGTCTATGAAGAGAAAGCATCACTCAGCTGCTATTGATATTTCTGAGAGGGCTCAATGAGGTTGGTTCTCAAGGAGCACCCAAAGTAGCTGGAAGCTGGAACCAACTACTATTTGTAAAGTAAAGTGTTGTTTTGGGGGTAACATTGGCTGAAAGAGCAAGTTGAAAGAAGAATGTCCCTTCTTCTTTTCTGTTACCTTCCAATCTTCCTCTAGTGCCTGCTATTGACAGAGCTTTGCAGGAAGGCAGCTAGCAAAGAAATCTGTGAAAGGAACATTGCAGCGTCCCAGACACAGCATAAAAGAGAGGAGCATGCAAGGGCAGATTTGGAGCTGAGAAATGGCAGGCAAAGGGCTAAGAATGTCCAGGTTAGTTTTACCTAACTTCTGTTTTTCCAGTATCTGGTCCAGTATAGCATTTGTTCTGAATCTCTCTGTTATTTTTAAGAAGGAATTTTTCTTTTAAAAAAGTTTCTGAGTAAAACTGGTTTTGGCCAGATGCAGTGGCTTACACCTGTAATCCCAGCACTTTGGGAGGCCAGGGTGGGCAGATTGTTTTGGTTCAGGAGTTCCAGACCAGCCTGACCAACATGGTGATACCCCATCTCTACTAAAAATACAAAAAAATTAGCCAGGCACGGCGGTGCATGCCTGTAATCCCAGCTACTTGGAAGGCTGAGGCAGGAGACTCGCTTGAACCCGGGAGGTGGAAGTTGCAGTGAGCCAAGATCGCACCGCTGCACTGCAGCCTCTGTCTCAAAACAAACAAAACAAAACAAAACAAAACAAAACAAAAAAACCTGTTTTATATATACTAATAAAATGACGATCAAGTATGTATTAGGTTGGTGCAAAAGTAATTGCGGTTTTTGCCATTGAAAGTAATGGCGAATATGTCCTTCATTGAAACATGACGGCAGGAACTTCTATCTTTGTCTGTCTCAGTAAAAATGAATGAATGGTTGAGGGCATGGACGAATGGAACTTACAAGATCTGTCTTTCCAATGGCCGGGGGGCATTTGGTCCCCACACTAAGGCTATTGGACATCTGCACAGGACAGTCCTATTTTTGGTGTCCTTTCCTTTCTGAAAATAAAGTTGTGCTTTAGAGAATGAAAAAAAAAAAGTAATGGCAAAAACCACAATTACTTTTGCACCAACCTAATATATAAACTACCTAGAGCAGCCACTAAAAGCTAATCAAAGATATATACTTAAAAACACTATAATAAATAAAAAATGAAAATCTGAAAAATGTTCAAATAACCGACAGGAAGACAGAAAAAAAAAAAAAAAAAAGCCAGAAAGACAAAAACAGGGAGAAACAGAAAACAAAATAGGAGACGTACACCAACATATCAATAATATCCTTAGCTGCTACAGCCCCTGCCTTGATGCATGGCACTCCAGCCTGCATGAATGCTCCCCACAGCCGCCACTACCCATTGGAATGGCCAACAAGGTACCTGCGTGTGGCCTGAGCCGGGAGGTGCAGCAGAAAATTGAGAATCCATATGACGCAGACCTGGAGCAGATCAATGGATCACCACCCAGTGCCAAAAGGATGTGGGCTGGCCCCAGCTTGGACATGAGAACTTCCAGAATTTCCTCAAGGAGGGCACAGAGCTATGTGAGCTCATTAACGCACTGTGCCCCGAGGGGCAGGCCCCAGTAAAGAAGACCCAGGTCTCCACCATGGCCTTAAAGCAGATGGAGCAGATATCTCAATGCCTGCAAGCAGCTGAGTGCGCTATGGCATTAACACCACAGACATCCTCCAAACTGTGCATCCCTGGGGAGGAAAGAACGTGGCCTGTGTGCAGTGGATCCTGATGAACCTGGGTGGGCTGGCAGTAGCCCAGGACGATGGGCTCTTCTCTGGGGCTCCCATATGGTTCCCTAAGAAACCCAAGGAGAATCCTTGGAACTTCTCAACCAGCTACAAGAGGGCAGGAACATGATTGAGGTACAGATGGGCAGCAACTGCGGGGTGTCTCAGGTTGGCATGACCGGCTATGGGATGTCACGCTAGATCCTCTGATCTGAGGACTAAGCCCTGATTTTTTTTTTTTAATCTTGTCCAAATTCCTATCTGGGGAGTCATGCCCTACAAACCATAAATTCTCATCAGATGGGTTTTATTTAACCCTGTATATCGTGACTTACTTTCCAACCTGACTCTGGAATAACATTACGAGACAAGGAAGAAAATCAAAATATTTTACCCCAAGACATGTTTCTTTGCCATATCTTCATATGGCCCTGCAAAGCTATCCTTTTGGGAGGAAATTTTGCATCTGTAAAGAATCTCTATTAACATAGCTGGATCTTTTTTTTTTTTTTCCAGGCCCTCCCAATCCTAAAGAAATTAAAAGTCTTGCACCTTTTTTTTTGAGATGGAGTCTCGCTCTGTCGCTCAGGCTGGAGTGCAGTGGCGTGATCTCTGGTCACTGCAACCTCTGCCTCCCAGGTTCAAGTGATTCTCCTGCCTCAGCCTCCCAAGTAGCTGGGATTACAGGCACGTGGCACCATGCCCAGCTGATTTTTGTATTTTTAGTAGAGACGGGGAAACTCAGTCTCAGGTAACCTCCGCCTCGCAGGTTCAAGTGATTCTCACTTGATTCGTGTGCCTCAGTCACCCAAGTCGCTGGGATTACAGGTGCCCACCACCATGCCTGGCTAGTTTTTGTATTTTTAGTAGAGATGGGGTTTCACCATGTTGGCCAGGTTGGTCTTGAACTCCTGACCTCAAGTGAGCCGCCTGTCTCAGCCTCCCAAAGTGCTGGGATTACAGGCGTGGGCCACTGCGCCAGGCCTGGGGATTAGAGTTTTTAAGGACAACTTACTGGGACGGGGGAAGCCAGTGAGCTGTGAGTGCTGATCAGTCAGGTCAGAGATGAAATCACAGGAAGTTGAAGATGTATTCCTGTGCTGAGTCGGTTCCTGGGTGGGGGCCACAAGATCAGATGAGCCAGTTTATCGATCTGGGTGGTGCCAGCTGATCCATCAAGTGCAGGGTTGGCAAAATATCTTAAGCACTGATTTTAGGAGCAGTTTAGGGAGGGTCAGAATCTTGTAGCCTCCAGCTGTATGACTCCTAAACCATAATTTCTAATCTTGTGGCTAATTTGTTAGTCCTATAAAGGCAGTCTAGTCCCTAGGCAAGAAGGAGGTTTGTTTTGGGAAAGGGCTGTTATCATCTTTGTTTTAAGCTGTAAACTAAGTTCCTCTCAAAGTTAGTTCGGCCTTTGCCCAGGAAGGAACAAGGACAGCTTAAAGGTAGAACCAATATGGAGTCAGTTAGGTTAGATCTCTTTCACTGTCTCAGTCATAATTTTGCAAAGGCGGTTTTTAGTTCTCCCACAGCTGTGGCTGCAGGGACTTAATTTATAGGGAGGGGCTTGTGGCGGTTGCTACCCCAGCCACTGCTGCACCGTGCTCACCACACATCTGGGGTAGGCTTCCCTGGCAGAGGCCCTCGTGGCTTCTCATTTTCCATTCCCCTCACTGTGGCTAGGGAGTAGGGGTGAGGGAACAGAGAAAGGAGGGCTGCCTACCATGGTCTGGGGCTTGAGGAATATGAGTTTGTTGATTTAAATAAAGAACTCCCCTGTCCCTGTCCCTGTCCCTGTCCCTGTCCCTCTCCCTCTCCCTCTCCACGGTCTCCTTCCACGGTCTCCCTCTGATGCCGAGCCAAAGCTGGACGGTACTGCTGCCATCTCGGCTCACTGCAACCTCCCTGCCTGATTCTCCTGCCTCAGCCTGCCGAGTGCCTGCGATTGCAGGCGCGCGCCGCCACGCCTGACTGGTTTTCGTTTTTTTTTGGTGGAGACGGGGTTTTGCTGTGTTGGCCGGGCTGGTCTCCAGCTCCTAACCGCGAGTGATCCGCCAGCCTCGGCCTCCCGAGGTGCCGGGATTGCAGACGGAGTCTCGTTCACTCAGTGCTCGATGGTGCCCAGGCTGGAGTGCAGTGGCGTGATCTCGGCTCGCTACAACCTCCACCTCCCAGCCGCCTGCCTTGGCCTCCCAAAGAGCCGAGATTGCAGCCTCTGCCCGGCCGCCACCCCGTCTGGGAAGTGAGGAGCGTCTCTGCCTGGCCGCCCATCGTCTGGGATATGAGGAGCCCCTCTGCCTGGCTGCCCAGTCTGGAAAGTGAGGAGTGTCTCTGCCCGGCCGCCATCCCATCTAGGAAGCGAGGAGCGCCTCTTCCCGGTCGCCATCCCATCTAGGAAGTGAGGAGCGTCTCTGCCCGGCCGCCCATCGTCTGAGATGTGGGGAGCACCTCTGCCCCGCCGCCCTGTCTGGGATGTGAGGAGCGCCTCTGCCCGACCGCCCCGTCTGAGAAGTGAGGAAACCCTCTGCCTGGCAACCGCCCCGTCTGAGAAGTGAGGAGCCCCTCCGTCCGGCAGCCACCCCGTCTGGGAAGTGAGGAGCGTCTCCGCCCGGCAGCCACCCCGTCCGGGAGGGAGGTGGGGGGGGTCAGCCCCCCGCCCGGCCAGCCGCCCCGTCCGGGAGGTGAGGGGCTCCTCTGCCCGGCCGCCCCTACTGGGAAGTGAGGACCCCTCTGCCCGGCCAGCCGCCCTGTCCGGGAGGGAGGTGGGGGGGTCAGCCCCCCGCCCGGCCAGCCGCCCAGTCCGGGAGGTGAGGGGCGCCTCTGCCCGGCCGCCCCTACTGGGAAGTGAGGACCCCTCTGCCCGGCCAGCCGCCCCGTCCGGGAGGGAGGTGGGGGGGTCAGCCCCCCGCCCGGCCAGCCGCCCCGTCCGGGAGGTGAGGGGCGCCTCTGCCCGGCCGCCCCTACTGGGAAGTGAGGACCCCTCTGCCCGGCCAGCCGCCCCGTCCGGGAGGGAGGTGGGGGGATCAGCCCCCCGCCTGGCCAGCCGCCCCGTCCGGGAGGTGAGGGGCGCCTCTGCCCGGCCGCCCCTACTGGGAAGTGAGGAGCCCCTCTGCCCGGCCAGCCGCCCCGTCCGGGAGGGTGGTGGGGGGGTCAGCCCCCCGCCCGGCCAGACGCCCCATCCGGGAGGTGAGGGGCGCTTCTGCCCGGCCGCCCCTACTGGGAAGTGAGGAGCCCCTCTGCCCGGCCACGACCCCGTCTGGGAGGTGTGCCCAGCGGCTCATTGGGGATGAGCCATGATGACAATGGCGGTTTTGTGGAATAGAAAGGCGGGAAGGGTGGGGAAAAAATTGAGAAATCGGATGGTTGCCGGGTCTGTGTGGATAGAAGTAGACATGGGAGACTTTTCATTTTGTTCTGTACTAAGAAAAATTCTTCTGCCTTGGGATCCTGTTGATCTGTGACCTTATCCCCAACCCTGTGCTCCCTGAAACATGTGCTGTGTCCACTCAGGGTTAAATGGATTAAGGGCGGTGCAAGATGTGCTTTGTTAAACAGATGCTTGAAGGCAGCATGCTCGTTAAGAGTCATCACCACTCCCTAATCTCAAGTACCCAGGGACACAAACACTGCGGAAGGCCGCAGGGTCCTCTGCCTAGGAAAACCAGAGACCTTTGTTCACTTGTTTATCTGCTGACCTTCCCTCCACTATTGTCCTATGACCCTGCCAAATCCCCCTCTGCGAGAAACACCCAAGAATGATCAATAAAAAAAAAAAAAAAAAAAAAAAAAAAAAGAACTCCAGGCCAGGTGCAGTGGCTCACGTCTGTAATTCCAGCACTTTGGGAGGCCGAGGCAGGTGGATCACCTGAGGTCAGAAGTATAAGACCAGCCTGGTCAACATGGCGAAATCCCGTCTCTACTAAAAAAATACAAAACTTAGCCTGGCATGGTGGCGGCGCCTGTAATCCCAGCTACTTGAGAGGCTGAGGCAAGACAACTGCACCATTGCACTCCAGCCTGGGCAACAAGAGTGAAACTCTGTTTCAAAAATACAAAAAATAAAAAATAAAGTGAGTCTCCCCTAGACAGCATACAGTTTGAGCATGTCTTTTTTATCCTTCTCCCAATATTTCCCTTTGATTGAAGTGTTTAATCAATTTATATTTAATGTAATTATTGTAGGATTTGTATCTGCCATTTTGCTATTTGTTTTCTATATGTCTTATGGCATTTTATTGTTCCTCTATTCCTTTATTACTGCCCTCTTTTGTGTTAGATATTTTCTCATGTACCATTTTAATTCTCTTGTCATTTTCTTTCTTTCTTTCCTTTTTTTTTTTTTTTTTGACAGATTCTTGCTCTGTCTCCCAGGCTGGAGTACAGCAGCACCATCTCAGCTCTCTACAACCTCCGCCTGCCGAGTTCAAGCGATTCTCCAGCCTCAGCCTCCTTAGTAGCTAGGATTACAGGCATGTGCCACCAGGCCTGGCTAATTTTTGTATTTTTAGTAGAGATGGGGTTTCACCATGTTGGTCAGGCTGGTCTCAAACTCCTGACCTCGTGATCCGCCCGCCTCAGCCTCCCAACTTTCTTTTTTTAGAGATGGGATCTTGCAATGTTGCCCAGGTTAAACTTGAATTCCTGGGCTCAAATAGTCCTCCCACCTCAGCCTTCCAAGTAGCTGGGACTATAAGTGTGTGCCACCACACCCAGCTCTTGTCATTTCTTTTACTATATTTTCTATTTATTTTCTCTGTTGCCCTTGTGATTACAGTTAACATCTTAATTTATAACCATCTACTTTAAATTAATACCAACTTAATTTCAATAATAGACAAGAGCTTCATTTCTATATAGTTCTATTACTTCACCACTAGTTTGTGCTATTATAGTCATACAGAATAAGCCCAATACAGTTTTATAATTATTGCTTATCCAGTTATCTTTTAAATCGGGTAGAAAAAGGAAAGACTTATATACACATAAAAATAATTTATAATGTCTTTTACATTTACCTATATAGGAGGTACCATTACTAGTGCTTTATTCCTTTGTGTAGGTCAGAATTACTGTCTATTTCCTTTTACTTGTTCAGGATCTCACTCAGTCACCCAGACAGGAGTGCAGTGGTGTAATCATAGGTCACTGCAACTTCAAACTCTGGTGCTCAAGTGATCCCCCTGCCTCATCCTTCCAAAGTGTTGAGATTACAAGCATGAACCACCATGCCTGACCCACAGTTTTTTGTTTTTAACCAGTGAATGTCTTTATTTCTCCTTCACCTTTAAAGAATAGCTTTACTGGATATAGAATTATTGACTGACAGTACTTTTTAATTTCGGCACTTCATATGTCACCCCAGTGCCTTCTGGTCTCCATGATTTCTGATGAGACATTCTCTGTTAATCTTATTGAGGCCTTACTGTATGTGACAAGGCACTTCTCTCTTGCTGCTTTCAAGATTCCCTCTTTAACAGTTGGATTAGGATGTTTTTAGGTGTTGATCTCTTTGAGTTTATCTTACTTGGATTTTGGTGAGGTTCTGGATGTGTATATTAATGTTTTCCATCAAACTTGTGAAGTTGTAGGTCATTATTATTTAAGATGTTAATTATGCCCCATTCTCTCTCTCCTCTCTTCTGGGACTCCCATTATGTATAAGCTGATATGCTTGATGGTGGCTCAAAGATCTCTGAGTCTCTTGTTTATTTTTATTCATTTATTTTCTTTCTATTCCTCAGATTGGATGATCTCAATTGACCTATCTTCAAGTTTGCTGTTGTACCCCTCTAATGAATTTTTTATTTCAGTTTTTGTACTTTTCAACTTCAGGATTTCTATCTGGTTCTCTTTTTAATATAATTTCTATGTCATAATTGATGTTGTACATATGGTGACACATTGTTTTCATGCTTTCCTTTAGTTCTTTAGACATATTAGTTCTTTGAACATATTTTTAGTAGCTGATTTAAAGTTTTTGTCTAGTAAGTGTAATGTCTGGCCCCCCTAAAGGACACTGAAAGTTTACTGGCACCATATTACCTTTTTTGACCTAGTCTTTTACCTTGTTTAGGCAGTCACACAAGTCCACCCAATTTCAAGTGGGGAGTGGCAAAGCTCCGGAATTGCAGGTGGGACCACAAATGTTTCTGTGACCATTTGTGGAAAATATAATCTGCCACATTTACTGTTTTGGAAAATCAAGTCACTAATGGCAGCACTGCTTATAGTAGTCAAGTCACCAGTTCAATACACTTGTCTCAGCCTGCATTAGTACCATAAAGCATATATATGAAGTTTTTTTTTTTTTTTTTTTTTTTTTTTTTTGAGACAGAGTTTCACTCTTGTTGCCCAGGCTGGAGTACAATGACACAATTTCGGCTCACTGCAACCTCCGACTCTTTGGTTCAAGCAATTCTCCTGCCTCAGCCTCCTGAGTCACTGGGATCACAGATGACTGTCACCACGCCCAGTTAATTTTTGTTATATTTAGTAGAGACGGGGTTTTACCATGTTGGCCAGGCTGGTCTCGAACTCCTGACCTCAGGTGATCCACCTGCCTCAGCCTCCCAAAGTGCTGGGATTACAGGTGGGAGCCACTGCACATGGCCCAAGATGATTTTTAAGATGTGAGCCTTAAGCTCCTTCTTGGGTCTTCTGGAGTTGTAGTGGCCAAGCATTTTTATATTAAAGTATCTTTCATAAATTGTCTTTATTTTATGTATCTTTTATATAACAATTAGGACATTACATTTATTTTCTGCATTAAATAATTATTAAATTTTATAATTTTTTATTGAAGCATAACATATATGCTGAAGTACCCAAATCTTCAGTGTATAGCTCAAGGAATTTTTTCAAAGTAATAGTACTCATTTATTATCTCACAGTTTCTATTGGTCAGGAATTCAAGAGAAGCTGAGTTGGTGGTTCTGGCTCAGAGTCGCTCATCAGGTTGGAGTCAGATGTTGGCTGGGACTGCAGTTATCTGCAGGCTTCACTGGGGCTGGAGGATTTACCTTCAGTGTGGTTCACATGGCTGGCAAGTTGGTGCTGGCTGGTGGTTGGGGGCCTCAGATCCTTTCTCCACGGGGCTCTCCCTGGGTTTCTCTGAGTGTGCTGACAATATGGTAGATAGATTCCCACAGAGCAAATAATCCAAGATACCAAGGTGGAATCAGCAATACCATTTATGATCTAGCCTTGACAGCCACATGCCATCATTTCTACCATATTTTATTGGCCACACAGAGCCAACTCTGATTCACTGTGGGAGGGGACTACACAAGGGCGTGAATACCAGGAGGCTGGGATTACTGGGGGATGGCTACCACATTGCCCCATAGATGGATTCTATTCTGGGTTCCACAGGGGTTCCATAGTCACATCAGTGTCTTGCATCACCTTCTTTTTTTTTTGAGACAGAGTTTTCCTCTTGTGCCCCAGGCTAGAGTGCAATGGTGTGGTCTTGGTTCATGTGAATCACTTCTTTTTTTTTTTTAAATCAAAAATCACATTTTTTTTTATTATACTTTAAGCTCTATGGTACCTGTGCACAACATGCAGGTTTGTTACATATGTATACATGTGCCATGTTGGTGTGCTGCACCCTGAATCACTTCTTAACTTCCTGTGTCTTGAATGTTGCATTGGTATTTTCCAACAATCACCCTTGGCTCCTCAAGGCTGTGCCCTCCTTAGTATCTTTGAGTTCTGAGAACACTGTTTATTACTAGCTAAGCAATAATTCCCATTGCCAAAGCTCCAAGGCTCATCTGCTTGTTTGTCTGGAGGTTTTCAAATAGACAAGGATGTGTTAATGACCTAGTACGTTATCTGTTAAGTTTTGGCAGGCAGCATGGAAATGTGACTTTTTAAATAGGAAAAATAAAATTGTAATTTTATTCTTAAACAACCACAATTACTTACTAATGGTATGTGTGCCTGTTGAGCAATGCACAGTTCCTCAAACCGTGGAATCAAATTAGACATTGCCATTCACATTTCCTGTTCCACATTGATATTTACACACTACTTACTTTTTTTTTAATAAGGGGAAATATTTTTAATTTTAAAAGTTTTTAATTAAACATTTTTTAATAAAAGGAGACACTGATGAACACTTTGTTTTCAATTTTGTACGCTTACTAACAATATTCCAAAGAATGTCTCATACAAATATCCTTGTTCATATGTGGGAGTGTTTCACAATAGTTTATTAGAACTGGAATTTCTGGCTTATAGAACATTTGCATTTCCAATCTTACTAGGTAATTCTGAGTTGTTCTCCATAGTAATTTACTCACTTATGCTCCTAAAGTGTTTAAGAATTTCCCTTTTGTCCATTCTTGCCAAGTTGAGTATTATTAAACTTCTCCATGTCTGCCAATCTGATGGGTGTGAATTTCATCTCATTTTTTAAAAAATTAGGGTAAATTACATCTAACATAACAATCACCTGCATCTCATTTTTTTCCAATATTAAACACAGTTTTATTTAAGACATTGCATTTTCCACTTACAATACAGTGCTTATAAAGTGCAATGTTATTTCCTTCCCTTGTGCACATGTTCCATATTCAAGTATTGAGAATGCCCAGTAATTTACTATAGCAGCTGAACTTTAAAAGCTGCCACAGAATTTGCTACAAATTTAAGTCCTTCCATATTTTCACTGTGTGGAACAATGCTACATCTTTTCTTGGGTTGGCTTAATTAACTTCTTCAATGGTAGGCCCTGAGGAAGCATTGACAGAGGGAGGAGCTCCACTACCAGGGTATCCCCCAGGCATTCCTCCTGGTATGCCTTCTGCACTCTGGTACAGCTTGGTAATGATGGGGTTGCAGACTATCTCCAGCTCTTTCTGCTGATGTTCACATTCTTCCTTCACTGCGGTCTGATTCTGTTGATAATTTCATTACACTTGTCAAGAATCTTCTGCTTGTCTGCATTGTTCATCTTGCCTTGAAGTTTCTCATCTTCAACAGTGCTTTCATGTTGAATGCATGGGACTCAAGTGAATTCTTGGGTGACACCTTGTCCCTCTGCTTCTCATCTTCAGCTTTGCACTTCTCAGCTTCCTGGGCCATAGCTCAATATCTTCCTTGTCCAAATGGCTCTTGTCATTAATGACAGTAATCGTGCTCTCTTTTTCTACTCTTGTCCACAGCAGAGACACTGAGGATGCCATTGGCATCAATGTCAAAAGTGACTTCGATCTGAGGAACAGTGGAGTGCAGGAAGTAGGCCTGTGAGTTCAAACTTGCCAATCCATAGAGACAGAAAGTAGATTGATGCTTTCTAGAGGGAGGAATAAGTGAATGGAGAATGATGGCTAGTGGATATGGGATTTCTTTTCAGGTTGATCAAACTATTATAATATTTTTGTTGTTGTTTTTTGTTTGTTTGTTTTTGAGACAGAGTTTTGCTCTTGTTTCCCAGGCTGGAGTGCAGTGGCATGATCTCGGCTCACTGAAACCTCTGTTTCTGCCTCCTGCGTTCAAGCCATTCTCCTGCCTCAGCCTCCCGAGTAGCTGGGACTACAGGTGCACAGCACCATGCCTGGCTAATTTTTGTATTTTTGGTAGAGATGGGGTTTCACAATGATGACCAGGCTGGTCTTGAATTCCTGATCTGAAGTGATCCTCCTGCCTCAGCCTCTCAAAGTGTTGGGATTACAGGTATGAGCCACCGTGCCCGGCCAAACTATTGTAATATTAGAAAACAGTGATAGTTGTATATCACTGTGTATATACCAAAACACATCAAATTGTATGCGTTAAAAGAATGATGTTTATTGTATGTGAATAATATCTCAATAAATTTGTGATAAAATAAGATGAAAATGCATTTCAAAATTCTTTCCTTTATGTTTCTTTTATATATCACACTTAGAAATGGAAATAGCTTTTTCAGGGAGAAAAGCCATCTAGAGACCTTGTGATGTGGTTTGGATGTTTTCTATCTCCAAACGTCATGTTGAAATTTGATTTCCAGAGGTGAAGCTGGGACCTGGTGGGAGGTGATTTGATCATGAGGACGGATCCCTCATGAATGGCTTAGCACCATTCCCATGGCGATGAGTGAGTTCTTGCTCAGTTAGTTGATGCGAGATCTCATTATTTAAGAGTCTGGGATCTTCCTCTTCACTCTCTTGCCATGTGATACACTGCTCCCCTTCACCTTCCACCATGATTGTAAGCTCCCTAAGGCTCATGCCATAAGCGAGAGGTTTGCGCCACACTTCCTGTACAGCCTGCAGAACCATGAGCCAAAATAAACATCTTTTCTTCATAAAAAAAAAAAATTAAAAACCCCAAAACTTGCCAAACAGGTTGTAATCCTTGGTCATGGAATGCTCATCTCTATAAACCTGAATAAGCACACCAGGCTGGTTGTCAAAATAGGCAGTGAAATTCTGTGTCTGCTTGGTAAAAATGGTAGTATTGTGCTTAATGAGGACAGTCGTGACTCCGTCATCAGTTTCAATACCAAGGAAAGAGGAGTGGCATCCAACAGAAGCAAATCTGGAACATTTTCAGACTTGTCTCCAGATAGGAGGGCTGCCTGGACAGCTGTGCCATAAGCAACAGCTTCATCAGGGTGGATGCTCCTATTCAGTTCTTTTCCATTGAAGAAGTCTTGGAGAAGCTTCTGAAGGTTGGGGATATGAGTAGAACCACCAACCAGGACAATATCATGAGTCTGTGACTTGTCTAGTTTGGTGTCTCGAAGGGCTTTCTCTACGGGGTCGATGGTGCCATGGAGCAAGTCAGTTCTTCAGGTCAGTTCTTCAAATCAGGCATTGGTAATGGAGGTATAGAAGTCGATTTCTTCATAGAGAGAATCAATCTCGATACCGGCCTGGGTGCTGGAAGAGAGAGTATACTTACCACATTCACAAACCATATGATGGTGTGAGATAGCTCTTTTGTTCTCACTGACATCCTTCTTTTTTTTTTTTTTTGAGATGGAGTCTTGGTCTGTTGCCCAGACCGGAGTGCAGTGGTGTTAGCTCACTGCAAGCTCCACCTCCCGGGTTCAAGCGATTCTCCTGCCTCAGCCTCCCAAGTAGCTGGGACTACAGGCACATGCCACCACACCCAGCTAACTTTTGTATTTTTAGTAGAGATGGGGTTTCACCATGTTGGCCAGGCTGATCTCAAACCCCTGACCTTGGGATCCGCCCTCCTCGGCCTCCCAAAGTGCTGGGATTACAGGTGGGAGCCACCATGCCCAGCCTCACTGACATCCTTCTTATGCTTGCGCTTGAACTCAGCAATAAGATGGTTGACTATTTGGTTGTCAAAGTCTTCTCCACCCAAGTGAGTTCTCTGGGTGTAGATTTTTTTTTTTTTTTTTGAGATGGAGTCTTGCTCTGTTGCCCAGGCTGGAGTGCAGTGGCACGATCTTGGCTCACTGCAACCTCTACCTCCTGGGTTCAAGTGATTCTCCTGCCTCAGCCTTCCACGTGGCTGGGATTACAGGTGCACACCACCACACCTGGCTACTTTTTGTATTTGTTTTTTAGTAGAGATGGGATTTCACCACTTTGGCCAGGCTGGTCTTGAACTCCTGACCTCAAGTGATCTGCCTACCTCGGCCTCCCAAAGTGCTGGGATTATAGGCATGAGCCACAGTGCCTGGCGTTCCAGCTGTAGATTTGATGTCAAAGATCCCATTCTCAATAGTGAGGATTGATACATCAAAAGTGCCACCTCCCAGGTCAAAGATCAGCATAATTATTTCAGCTCCAACCTTTCTCTGTCTAAGCCATAAGCAATAGCACCTGCAGTTGTCTCATCGATAATTCTAAGTACATTGAGACCAGCAATAGTTCCAGCATCTTTGGTAGCCTGACGCTGAGAGTCATTAAAGTCAGCTGGCACTGTGACCACAGCATCGGTAACTGTTTTCCCAAGATCAGCTTCTGCAATGTCCTTCATCTTTGTTAGAACCATAGAAGACATCTCGTCCTCTGGGTAGAAGCTTTTTGTCTCTCCGCTGTCTCCTCCTTGGACCTTGGGCCTGCCAGCATCATTCACCACCATGAAGGGCCATTGCTTTATATCACACTGGACAACAGCATCATGAGATCTGCATCCAATCAGACATTTGGCACTGAAAACTGTGTTGGTGGGGTTCACTGCAACTTGATTCTTTGTGGCATCACCAACCAATCATTTGGTGTCTGTAAAGGCGACATAGCTTGGAGTAGTTTGGCTTCCCTGATCATTGGCAATTGTCTCTACTTTTCCGTGTTGGAAAACACCCACATGAGAGTAGGTGGTGCCAAGATCAATACCAACTGTAGGTCCCTCAGACATGGTTGCTGCTGCGTAGGTCCAGCTCGGACAGTGAAAAAAGACACAGAAACCCCAAGAGCTGCAGGAACCCCAAGAGCTGCAGGCACGTTCCATGAGCTGCATCTTTTTTTTTTTTTTTGAGACGGAGTTTCACTCTTGTTGCCCAGACTGGAGTGCACCAGCATTATCTTGGCTCACTGCAACCTCCGCCTCCTGGGTTCAAGCAGTTCTCCTGCTCAGCCTCCTAAGTAGCTGGGATTACAGGCACCCGCCACCACACCCGGGTAATTTTTTGTATTTTTAGTAGGGACGGGGTTTCGCCATGTTGATAGGCTGGTCTCGAACTCCTGACCTCAGGTGATCCGCCCGCCTCAGCCTCCCAAAATGCTGGGATTACAGGTGTAAGCCACCGCGGTCAGCCACATCTAATTTTTGATTTAGATTTTTCTGGAGATAATTGTAGATTCATATACAGCTGCAAAAACAAATACAGAGAGATCCCTTGTTCAAGGAGGTATTTTTTTTAGAGAGATGAGGGTCTTACTATGTTGCCCGGGCTGGACTTGAACCCCTGGGCTCAAGTGATCCTCATCCTGTGCCTCAGCTGCCTGAGTAAGCTGGGACTATAGTTATACGCCACCATGCCTGGGTTTCAATGGCTTTTTATGTAGGAATGTAGTCATGTAGCCAACACTCACATCAACACACATCCATTCTCAGCACCCTCGAAGGCTCCCTCATGTCCTGCCCAGTCAATACCTATCAAAAGTAAATATACTGACTTAAAATTTTTATTTTGGCTGGGCACAGTGGCTCATGCCTATTAATTCCAGCACTTTGAGAGGCCAAGGCAGGTGGATCACCTGAGGTCAGGAGTTCGAGACCAGCCTGGCCAACATGGTGAAATCCCTTCTCTACTAAAAATACAAAAATTAGCTGGGCATGATGGTGGACATCTGTAATCCCAGCTACTCAGGAGGTTAAAAATACAAAAATTAGTTGGGCATGGTGGTGGACACCTGTAATCCCAGCTACTCAGGAGGTTGAGGCAGGAGAATCGATTGAACCTGGGAGGTGGAGGTTGCAGTGAGCCGAGATGGCGCCACTATACTCCTGCCTGGGCAACAACAGTGAAAATCTGTCTCAAAAAAATTAAAAATTAAAAATAAAATTTATATATCAAGGATGATAATAAACATAGTGTATTTATCATATTTGTATACTATAAAAGTATATTTATATATTTAGGGGAGTTGGGACTGATAAGATTGAGAACCACTGTGTCTAGTAAGACTTCCTTAGGCGGGTAGGTTGGAGGCATCAGAAAATGTGTTTTCCACCCTTTGCTTATTTTCATTGTCTGTCCCAGTCTGTAGTCTCAGGCACTGTGCTTAGTGAGGCATCACATAAAAATGGAATGATTAAGTTTTCTTTTTTTTTTTTTTTGAGACAGAGTCTCACTCTATCGCCCAGGCTGGAGTGCAGTGGCATGATCTCACCTCACTGCAATCTCCGCCTCCCGGGCTCAAGCCATTCTCTCACCTCAGCCTCCCAAATAGCTAGGATTACAGGCATCTACCACCTTGCTCAGCTAATTTTTGTATTTTTAGTAGAGATGGGGTTTTACCATGTTGTCCAGGCTGGTCTCGAACTCCTGACCTCATGTTATCTGCCTGCCTCAGCCTCCCAAAGTGCTGGGATTACAGACGTGAGCCACTGCACTCAGCCAAGTTGCCTTGTTTGAAAGTAATTGATGACAGTCTTAGAATTCGCCTAGCCCCACCCCTCGATGTGCCTTTTTTTTATTTTTTATTTTTTATTGAGACAGGGACTCACTCTGTCATCCATATTGGAGAGTGCAGTGGTGCGATCTCGGCTCACTGCAATCTTCACCTCCCAGGCTCAAGTGATTCTCCTGCTTTAGACTCCCGAGTCGCTGGGATTACAGGCACCTGCCACTACGCCTGGCTAATTTTTGTATTTTTAGTAGAGATAGGGTTTTACCATGTTTGCCATGCTCGAACTCCTGACCTCAAATAATCCACTCTCCTTGGCCTCCCAATGTGCTGGGATTACAAGCGTGAGCCACTGTGCCTGGCCTCGATGTCCTATTTCTTATTCATGTAACCTTTTCTGTTTTTACTGAGAAAGGAGTAAGACAAAGAGCATGGGTTATCAAAAGGACGTCATCCTTGACCACCACGCAGCAGGTAAACACCAAGAAAACCCAGAGAGCAGGAAGTACAGGCAGACTGTGGCTGAGGACCGGGTCAGGAATTCTCTGTCTTGTGGTTCACCGGTGGTTGGTTCCTCTTGGTTACAGGAAGAAGAAGGGACTAAGAGTATCTGAGTATGTGATGTGCAATTTTATGCACAGGGAACTCTGTTGGGCACATTGTGTAGATATCATTTAATCCTCACAACAACCCCGTGAAACAGGTGTTACAATTCCCTTCCTCTGGATTAAAAAAAAAAAAGGTACCCTGTCTCTACTAAAAATACAAAAATTAGCCACAGGAGGAGGTCAGGTAGGGAAGAGGATAGAGTGAGAAAGACTGCATCTAGTGTCTTCTGGCCAACCATTATTTGAATAACTGAGCAGAAGAAAAAGGCTCTGCAAAGGTATGAGGAAGAGGGGAAGAGGCCAGGTCCACCGGAAGCCAAGGCATGGCAACTAACATGATTCACCACCGCTGAGAGGGAAAGAAGAGGATGGAAACACGTCTGCTGACATTAGCAACAGGCACGTCTTGGGTGATGACGCTGATTGGGATGAAGAATGAAAAGGAAATGAGGCCATGGGACAGAGTGTATGGACCACTCTTTGGAGAGGATTAGTTGCAAAGGGGATACGAGTGGAGATGACGTGTTAAGGCTGTGTGTGTGTGTGTGTGTGTGTGTGTGTGTGTGTGTGTATGTGTGTGTGTGTTGTTTTGTTCTTATTGAACATGACTTGTGCATACTATGGAATCAGTAGAAAAGATCTGAAAGAGCTGGAGATAGAGACAGGAGAGTGAAGGGATGATAGACAGTTCTATGTTCCTACCAAAGACTCTTGGCCAAGATGCAAGGCAGGAATGAGAGCCTCACCTTTGATGGGAGGAACAGCAACCCCTGCTACAACAAGAGGCAAGGAGAGGAAAAAGTGAGCCTTTCAGTTGGTGTCGGGAAGAAGAGGCAACCATTGGCTTAAACACTTTGATTTCTCTGAATCTTAGCAGGTAGGTCCGCCTGAGAGTGAGAGGATCTGAGCAGAATAGAGTGGGCCTGAAATCATGCTTGCATGAGTAAGAAAGTGAGTTGGGCTGGGTTCGGTGGCTCACACTTGTAATCCCAGCACTTTGGGAGGCCGAGGCAGGAGGATCAGCTGAGGTTGGGAGTTCGAGACCAGCCTGACCACCATGGAGAAACCTTGTCTCTACTAAAAATACAAAATTAGCTGGGCATGGTGGTGCATGCCTGTAATCCCAGCTACCCGGGAGGCTGAGGCAGGAGAATCACTTGAACCTGGGAGGCAGAGGTTGTGGTAAGCCGAGATCGCGCCATTGCACTCCAGCCTGGGCAACAAGAGCGAAACTCCATCTCAAAAAAAAAGAAAGAAAGAAAAAGAAAGAATGTGAGTGGACTGGCAAAGCCTAATAGCCTAATAGTGTTACCCTGAAGGTCTAGTGGACCATTTGTGGAAGGGAACCAACCTGATTAGGTCAAAGTGAAATCTGCCTCGTATCCATGGATATAATCTGAAGAAAGGGCACCAGACATGCACAGATGAACAAGAATCAGTCCTTGCTCTCCAGGGCTTGTAGTCCATTGGAAAATTTCAAGGACACAGGTTGTAGGATAAGGATTAGGTTTGGCTGGGAGTAAAGGAGATCCCCCCAAAATAAAATAGTTTCTTTCTCTCTCAGAAATAATGTATGTAGTATACCAGAGATATTATGGCACACCACAGTGTTGTGAACCAAGACTTCTGTCTTGTTGCTCTAACATGTATGGCTTCCACTCCCAAGATATCTCATGGTCTTAGGCAGCTGCCATAGCTGCTATTCCAACCAAGAGAAATGTGGAAGAGAGAAAGAATTGACAAAGGGTGCATGCCAGCTATCTTTTATAGGGTTTCCTGGAAGCTGTCATCTCACTGGCCAGAACTTTATTATTTTTTCTGAGATGGAGTCTCATTCTGTCACCCAGGCTGGAGTGCAGTGGCACAATCATGGCTTACCAAAGCTTCGACTTCCCAGGCTCAATGATCCTCCCACTCCAGCCTCCTGAGCAGCTGGGACTACAGGCTGTGCCACCACACCCAGCTATTTTGTCATTTTTGCAGAGGCAGGGTCTCACTGTGTTGCCCTGGCTGATCTCAGACTCCTGGGCTCAAGCCTTGGCCTCCCAAAGTGCTGGGATTACAGGTGTGAGCCACTGCGCCCAGCCCAGAACTGAATCATATTACCATACCTCGCAGTAAGGGAGCCTGGCGAATGTCAGCTTTATTCCATTTAGCAATGTGCCAAACATAACACTTGGGGGAGGGGGACTTAGCTACCAAGGAAGAGGGAAGGAGCAGAAACTAGAGATCACTAACTGTCTCTTCTATATAGATAAATTAACAGATGAATGAGGCAAGGCACGGTGGCTCATGCCTATAATGCCAACACTTTGGGAGGCCTAGGCAGGAGGATTGCTTGACCCCAGGAATTAGACACGAGGCTGGACAACATAGGGAGGCCTCGTCTCTACTAAAAAAATTTTTTTTTAATTAGCTGGGCATGGTGGCACATGCCTGTAGTCCCAGCTACTTGGGAGGTTGAGGTGGGAGGATTGTTTGAACCTCAGAGGATGAGACTGCAGTGAGTTGTGATTGTGCCACTGCATTCTAGCCTGGAAGACAGAGCAAGACCCCATCTCAAAAAAACACAAAAAACAAAAAAAAGACGACAACAAAAACCCAATCAACTAATCAACAAACAGATGAATACAGTGCAGTGATACGGGCTAAGAACCACGTACAGAAAAGGGAGACATCAGCTCAGCTTGAAGCGGTCAAGAAAAGCTACACAGAGCTCAAGTTGGGGTTCTTTGGGTGCAATGCAATTTACAGAAACCATCAGGCAGACAGTGAATTGTTCGTTATCTGTTCTCTCCTTCTTCCATAGGATAGGATTTCAGCTGCCCAACTGAGAGCTATATTCCCAGACTGTCTTGCAGCTAGGTGGGGTTATTATTCAGTTCTGGCCAATGAGTTGTGAGCAGAAGTGCAGAAGTGGTGTATACCATTTCTGAGTCTTGCCCTTCTAAATCCTGAGCATATTCCTCCCTGGTGTGTAGGTGTGGTGCTGGGATCTAGCTTTGATCTTGCAGAGAAAAGCAATACCTTAAGGCATGGACTGCTGGGAAACAGAGACAGAAAAAGCCTGGTTCCCTGGATGTCCTAGTGCCTCAGAGCCCCCAACCTCCCTGGACTGCCTGCCTATAGATATAATAGGTAAACTATCCTGTTGGAGCTATATTTGGGGGTCTTTTGGGCAACAGCAGCAGTTTAGCCCATGCTGTAAATAATTTATTACTCAAGCTATTTGAAGGAAAAAAGAAAAGAGGGCAATAAAGGGGTACTATGCAACCCAAGTAGTGGAAAATGCTGCCCAGCCTCAGGGAGGAAAAGGAACTAAGAATTGGAGACTGGGTGGAAACCCACATATGCCTTTCTTGACTCTCATCCCTGCTTTGCTCTGCACACCTGCTTTGGTTGTCTGTCCCCCTGCAGACCAGCTTTGTCCGATTCTGCACTTATATAGCTTTTAAGGCTGCCCCGCAGTTTCCAGTGTATTTGTTATTGTTCTAGACACAGGTCGGCAATAAGCAGTGGTTTCAATCCCATTTTCAGATTCCTGAGAGGAAGGATCAGATTTGCCTGTCCTGGGTCAGGTATTTATCCCTGGAACTGTCAGTTAACTATGAGCAAGACAGTGAGGGTCAAATACTATCAACTAGGGGCTGAGCAGGGTGGTTTATGCCTGTAATCCCAGAACTTTGGGAGGCTAAGGTGGGTGGATCACCTGAGGTCAGGAATTCAAGACCAACCTGGCCAACATGGTGAAACCCCGTCTCTACTAAATTAGAAAAATCAGCCAGGCTTGATGGTGGGCGCCTGTAATCCCAGCTACCCGGGAGGCTGAGGCAGGATAATCGCTTGAACCCAGAAGACAGAGGATGCAGTGAGCTGAGATGGTGTCACTGGACTCTAGCCTGGGCAAGAGTGAGACTCCATCTCAAACAACAACAGCAACAACAACAACAAAAACATCTATCAACTGGCTACCTGGACCCCAACCCATGGAGTGACAGAATTTTTGGACAGGGTCATGGCTCTTGGACTGGGAAGGACCCCCTGATATGGTTTGGCTCTGTGTCCCCACCTAAATCTCATCTTGAATTGTAATCCCCGCGTGTCGATAGAGGGACCTGGTGGTAGGTGATTGGAGCATGGGAGCAGTTTCCCCCGTGCTATTCTCATGATAGTGAGTTCTCACAAGATTTGATGGTTTATAAGTGGCAGTTTCCCCTGCACTCTCTCTGCTGCCACCTTGTGAAGAAGGTACTTGCTTCTCCTTCTCCTTCCACCATGACTGTAAGTTTCCTGAGGTTTTCCCAGCCAGATGGAACTGTGAGTCAATTAAAGCTCTTTTGTTTATAAATTACCAAGTCTCAGGTGGTATGTTTATAGCAGTGTGAGAACGGACTAATGCAACCCCCAAAGCATCTACTCTGCAGGGTAAAATCCAGCTTCCTTAGTTTGATGTATAAGGCCTGGTACAACCTGACTCCACCCCGTTTTCTCTCTCACCTGCCTTCCCTACACACATACCCACTCCACACAATGAACATACCTTGTCTCCCACAGGACTACAGGTCTCTGCACATGCTGTTCACACTCTGGAATTTTCTTCCCTCTTTTCTGCTTGGTTAGCTTCTATGCGTGCTTCAACAGCTGACTTAAATGTTGCATTCTCTTGAGTAGACAACAACTTGATACTAAGTTTCATTTTACTGGAATTTTATCCGCTTAATTGCCATTGTGATAACACTTGTTATCCCTGAGGGGGAAGTAATAGATGTCTCATTAACATGAAATGTGCACAGTAAACTGCTACAGGACATTCTACTCACCAGAAATTTCTATGAACTGGCATTTCTAAACTATGCAATTGCAACTGATGGCAACTCTAGAAGATACAAAGTTGTTTCACAAGTCAATTAAAAATAAAGTGAGGTGTGAAAGAGAGAGATGCTTTCTGACTAGACTGCTAGTTGCCCCACTTTTATTTTATGTTTTATTTTATTTGAGAGGGTCTTGCTCTGTCACACAGGCTTGGGTGTAGTAGTGCCATCATAGCTCACTGCAGCTTTAAACTCTTGGGCTCAAACAATCCTCTTGCCTCAGCCTCCTGAGTAGCTGGGACTATAGGTGTATACCACCACCATGTCCAGCTAATTTGTCCATTTCTTTATTTTTGCAGAGACGGAGTCTTGCTATGTTGCCCAGGCTGCCCCACATTTCTAACTAGGCTCATCACTGCCTAGCAAAAGGCTACATTTCCCAGCCTTCCTTGCAGCTAGATGTGGCCATAGGACTAGGTCCATGCCCTAGAATGTGAATAGAAGTGCTAGGTGTGACTTCTGTGTTTCTTGCTTAAAAGCCAAATTGCATGCCCTCCACTTTTTCTCTTTCCCTTCTCCAGGGTGAAGCATGGATGAGGTTATGACTCAGCTTTGACCATGCAGCCAAAGACAACATCCTAGGAACTGTGAGCCAAGGGGATGGGAGGAAGCCATGGCCCCGACTGACCCGATGGAGCTGAGTAGCCCGACCAGTCTGGACCACCCACCCCTGGCCTTTTGCTTGAGAAATAAATTAATTTCAGATTCTTTAAACCTCTGAGTAGCTTATCCAGTGTCTTATGTATCTCTCATATATATAATTGTATCTTATAATTAAGATTAGCAGCTTAGATGCTTAGCCAATGCTATGGATATGGATAATTTTATATATATAAATGTTAAATAATTTTATATCTATATTATATATAAATAAATTTATATCTATATTATGTACAAATTTATAAGTTATTTATAAATAAATTTATACATAACATAAACATAATTTTATATCTATATTATGTATACATAAATTATTTATACATAATATAGATATAAAGTTATATCTTATATATAATTATATATAATATAAACATATATCTTATATATATAATTATCCATATCCATAGCATTGGCTATGAAATATATGTGTTTCATGTATATTTCATATATAGCTGCTAATTAAGATTAGTAGTCTGGGCTCGGTGGCTCACAACTGTAATCCCAGCACTTTGGGAGGTCGAGGTGGGTGGATGGCTTGAGCCCAGGAGTTCAAGACCAGCCTGGACAACATGGTGAGATGCCGTCTCTATGAAAAATACAAAAATTAGCTGGGTGTGGTGGCCCACACCTGTAATTCCAGCTGTTCAGGAGGCTGAGGGGGAAGGATCACTTGAGCCCAGGAGGTCAAGGCTTCAGTAAGCTGTGATCGCACCACTGCACTCCAGTGTGGGTGACAGAGTGAGATTCTGTCTCAAAAAAAAAAAAAAATTAGCAGCTTAGCAGCTTAGCCATAGCAGCTTAGTCAATGCTATAAATATGAATAATTATATATATCATTCATATATAATTATATGCAATTAATATAAATATATCATATATAATTATATATACAAAATATAAGTATATAATTATCCATATCCATAGCACTGCTATGACAAATATACATACATACATACACATGTATAATGTGTATATCTATACGTATATGCTACGTAATGTCTAATAGCATATATGTGTATATGTACGCACACATATTTGTTGTAGCAGCTTAGTCAATTTTTTTTTTTTTTTTTTTGAGTTGGAGTCTCGATCTGTCACCCAGGCTGGAGTGCAATGGTGTGACCTTCGGCTCACTGCAACCTCTGCCTCCTGGGTTCAAGCAATTCTCCTGCCTCAGCCTCCCAAGTAGCTGGGATTACAGGTGTCCGCCACCACTCCCGGCTAATTTTTGTATTTTTAGTAGAGATAGGGTTTCACCATATTGGCCAGGCTGGTCTCTTGGCCAGGCTGGTCTCGAACTCCTGACCTCGTGATCTGCCTGCCTCGGCCTCCCAAAGTGCTGAGATTACAGGCATGAGCCACCGCTCCCGGCTGCCAATGTTTTAACATAGCAGCTTAGCCCTCTCCTGGGCAGAGTAAGCCATGCAATTCTCCGGAACAGAGGTGAAATCTCTGTCATCTTTTCATTTCCAGCCCCCGGATAGCCCCTTACAAATAACGAATGTTCAATAAACCTCTGCTGATTGAATGTGTGCCTGAATTGGCAAGAACTAAGGCAGTAAACCATGAGTTGGGCCAAATATGAAGGGCCTGGGATGTCCTAGTTAGGAATTTGGACTTTGCACTTGCCCACACACATTTTGGTGCCATCAAAGGTGTACGGAAAAAGAACCTCACATTTTTAGGCTTCTCTGAATCGTGTTAGCTGGGGTGACACCTGCTGGCAAATTGAAATACTGCAGCCTCAATCCGTCAGCCAGAGAAGAGATCAAGGAAGCAGTTGTTAAATATTGTTAAGTTACAAATAGGAGGTGCTGAGGAAAATATGATGGATAGCAATCGTTTGGAAATACTCTGGGCTAGTCATGGTGATGGGTGCCGTAGTGGGGATGCAGAAACCTTTTGACATAGTTCTGTGATGGTGAGTTTCAGGGTTTGGTTTTGTTTAGAGATGGCCTCTGTCCTTTGATCTTGATAAGCTGTAAAATGCCTCTCCCACCCTTTCCTCTTCCTGGGATTGATTCTTCATTATCTATTTGCATCAGCTTTTGATTTTCTCATTTCTGCCAAAGGGGTTAATCACCATGACAATGTTATTTGAGTCAACTTGTGAATTGGATTAAAAACAACGCAAAAGAAGGAACTATCACCCAAATACCATCCGACAACACTCCCCTCCCCACCCCCGGCCCCAACCCCGCAACACTTATCATGAAAACAGAGCAGCTGGGCTGGGCACCGTGGCTTATGCCTGTAATCCCAGAACTTTGGGAGGCTGAGGTGAGAGGATCGCTTGAGCCCAGGAGTTTGAGACCAGCCTGGGCAACATAATGAGACCCCATCTCTATTTAAAAAGGAAAAGAAAGAAAGAAAAAGAAAGCTGAGCACTCTTCTCGGGTGAGATAGTGCAACAGCGCTCCTTGGCTGGGCCCACTGGGGGAGATTTCGCTCTGTTCTCACTTTTGAGAGACAACAAGATATGCTATTCCTAAACACCAGTGTGATCACCCCTAAGGCCTGTGCAGCTGCTGCAATGATCATTTGCCCTTTTGCTTTGGCCTCCTGAAAACTTGGAGAGAATCCTAGTCCTCTTCCAGCAACTGTAGAAGACTGTGCTTTTCCCAGCCTGGGCAACATGGCAAAACCCCGTCTCTACCAAAATACAAAAAATTAGCAGGGTGTGTTGGTGCGTGTCTATAATCCCAGCTACTCCGGATGCTGAGGCAGGAGAATTGCTTGAACCCGGGAAACAGAGGTTGCAGTGATCCAAGATCATGCCACTGCATTCTAGCCTGGGCAACAGAGCAAGACTCTGACTCAAAAAAAAAAAAAAAAAAAAAAAAAGACTGTGCTTTGCTCAGTGCTAAAGGCATAACCTGGCCTTAAAATTTTTTCTCCTCTTATTTTGCCCAATCCATCTGGTATTTTTGTAAGCCATCTGAAATCCCGAATACAACCTAGGACCAAACATTAGGACAAGCGGCCCAAGTAGTGCCCTGGTGGTGGGGCTGGGGAGTCGTAGAAGTGAGGGGAAGAGGCCAGGCGCGGTGGCTCATGCCTGTAATCCTAGCACTTTGGAAGGCCGAGGCAGGTGGATCACCTGAGATCAAGAGTTCAAGACCAGCCTGACCAATATGGTGAAACCTTGTCTCTACTAAAAATACAAAAATTAGCCAGGCGTGGTGGTGGGCACCTGTAATCCCAGCTACTCGGGAGGCTGAGGCAGGAGAATCGCTTGAACCCAGTGAGAGACAGGACTAGCTGGATTTCCTAGGCCGACTAAGAATCCCTAAGCCTAGCTGGAAAGGTGACCGAATCCACCTTTAAACACGGGGCTGGCAACTTAGCTCACACCCGACCAATCAAGTAGTAAGGAGAGCTCACTAAAATGCTAATTAGGCAAAAACAGGAGGTAAAGAAATAGCCAATCATCTATTGCCTGAGAGCACAGTGGGAGGAACAATGATGGGGATTTGGGTCCCCTCCCTTTGTATGGGAGCTCTGTTTTCACTCTATTAAATCTTGCACCTGCATTCTCTTCTGGTCCGTGTTTGTTACGGCTCGAGCTGAGCTTTTGCTTGCCATCCACCAACCCCGCTGACTTCCATCCCTCTGGATCCGGCAGGGTGTCCACTGTGCTCCTGATCCAGCTAGACTTCCATTGCCGCTCCTGATCGGGCTAAAGGCTTGCCATTGTTCCTGCACGCCTAAGTGCCTGGGTTCATCCTAATTGAGCTGAACGCTAGTCACTGGGTTCCACGGTTCTCTTCCGTGACCCATGGCTTCTGATAGAGCTATAACACTCACTGCATGGCCCAAGATTCCATTCCTTGGAATCCGTGAGGCTAAGAACCCCAAGTCAGAGAACAGGAGGCTTGCCACCATCTTGGAAGTGGCCCACGCCATTTTGGAAGTGGCCCACCACCATCTTGGGAGCTCTGGGAGCAAGGAAGCCCGGTAACACCAGGAGGCAGAGGTTGCAGTGAACCAAGATCGTGCCACTGCACTCCAGCCTGGGCAGCAAGAGTGAAACTCTGTCTCAAAAAAAAAAAAAAAAAGAAACATAGAAGTGAGGGGAAGATAGATCTGAATGAGGGACAGAGGCTAGGAAAGGGCCCATACCTGGGGAAGGGGGGCTTGATTAAACATTGAAGGGTGACATTGATGGCAAACAATGCCAGGTGGGCTCACTCCCACCAACCCTGGCACCCTTTTCTGATAACACTTCTCCTGGCCTCTTTAAATGACAAAAGTCTTGTCCGTTGAGTTCATTTTAAAAATACCTGGTGATAGCCTGGGCAACATAGCGAGACCCTGTCTCTACAAAAAATGAAGAAATTAGCCAGGCATGGTGGCTCACACCTATAATCCCAGCTACTTGGGAGGCTGAGGTGAGAGGATCACCTGAGCCCAGGAGTTTGAGGCTGGAGTGAGCTATGATCGCAGCACTGCCCTCCAGCCTGGCGGACAGAGCGAGAACCTGTCTCAACAACAAAATCTCCCAGCCATAGATCCAATGATAAAGGTACACCCATGGCTTAGTCCTATGGGGGAATGTGGCAGCCAACCTCCAAGATGGCACCCTGTGGAGAGTGGCAGCCTGCCTCCGAGATGGCACCCTTCAAGGAGACACTCTCACCTCCTGGTTTTGTCTGTTTGTGTGTAGCTCCCTCCCCACTGAGTAGGGCCAACCTATGTAACTTCCCTGGTAACTGGCCACCCCTCCACCCCTGAGTTGATGAAACAGGGCACCAGCATTTCCACTGCGGCTGTCATGCCATCCAGAAGCCCACTTGAACCTATGTCTAAAATAAATACACGCAGCCCTGCTGGAAGTAAGAGGGGTACACTTTAGTCATGGCTTGTACAGAGATTTTTTGGGGCATGGGATTCCTACAGCGAATGAAGTTACACATAGCAGGCAGCTGCTGCTAGAAGGGGCCGAAGGCTTCGGCCCATGTGTTGAGATGTTTTCATAGCCATGCATGTCTGTGCACTGAAGAGGGACCTGGCACTTTCTGGGTCCTTGGTTCCAGCTGCTTGACAAGGCCAGGCGTTCAGACACAGGCAGCAACAGAGGCTGGAACGAAGTCTTCAGACTCAATGTCTAACTTCTGGACAGGCATGGTTGCTCACACCTGTAATCCCAGGACTTTGGGAGGCCAAGGCAGGCAGATCACCTGAGGCCAGGAGTTTGAGACCAGCCTGGCCCACATGGTGAGACCCTGTCTCTACTAAAAAAAAAAAAAGGGGCAAAAATTAGCCAGGCACAGTGGCTGATTTAGTAGTCCCAGATACTCGGGAGGCTGAGGCAGGATAATTGCTTGAACCCAGGAGGCAGAGGTTGCAGGGAGCTGAGATTGTGCCAATGCACTCCAGCCTGGGCAACAGTGCGAGACTTCATCAAAAAAAAAAAAAAAAGTCCAGCTCCTTTGCACAGTCCCTGTCTGTCTTCTAGGCAGGCAGGTGGTCTAGAGCTGCTGGGGTCCGATGCTGCTCCCTGGGCTCTAGAACCCCTAGATGGGCCAGGCCTTCAGCCCGTCACTGGCTCTGTGAACTGCATGCTTGAGCCTGTCCTTCCTCTCCCTCCCAAACACAGCGAGAAGGTCATTACTGCATGTCCTCAACATCCCAATGCAGGGGAGTGTGGCAGAACCGAGTATAAATATTTAGAGTGGCAAATAGGAGGTCCTTGCTCTCTGGAGCCAAGCATGTGTTTCTGTCCTGCAGCCAAGTGATCAGTGAGGTTGGATGGGACAGTAGGAGCTTGAGGCTGGCCAGGAGGTCCTTGGCTTACCAAGGGCAAGGTGCAGTGAGGCTACAGAGCTCAGAGGGCTGTGGCTGTGCCTCTGAACATGGCATTTACCTGGGTGGGCTTCAATAGCTCCTGTCTCACCCTAATGGAGACTCAGAGGCTTGGGCTGATGGTGGGAGAGAATTGATCTGAGTGTAAGGCTGCTGGTGTAGTGTGTGAGTGTGTGTGTGTCTGCGCATGCACGCGTGTGTCTATGTCTGTGTGGCAGAAGCTGGTGTTTACTCTAAGCCCAGGAAAACTTCCCAGTACCTTGTTGTTGAGCGAGAAGACTGAGGAGAGAGGTTTATTTAGGCAGTTAGACCTAGCCACAAAAACAAATGAGGAGGGAGGACTATTTCCCAGTGTCTTTGGTACCCTAGGAATGGACAAGATCTTTCCTGTTCATTACCAAAGTGCATTCAAATGATCCCTGGGGTGGATGCAGGGTGCACCACAGAGGGGTTGGCCACTGATAAAAAAAGGAAGGAAAGTTCATAGAAATAGAGCTGAAATCAACTGCCCAGGAAGTGTTAGCAGGTTCAGGAGAGCTGGGTGGCTACCCAAGCCAGGGCACTGTGCACACTAGATGCCCAGGGAGAGGAAGGAGGTGGGGAGCAGGGGGGAAAATGAGGGAAAGACAAAAAAGGAAGGGTCAAGGTCGGAGCGGCTGACCCTGTATTCCCAGACACCACCACATGGTAGGCACGCTACCATGGGTGCCTGCCCTTCGCTAAAGAACATTAGGAGAGTAATCCCAGCACTTTGGGAGGCCGAGGCAGGCAGATCATTTGAGGTCAGGAGTCCAAGACCAGCCTGGCCAACATGGTGAAACCCTGTCTCTACTAAAAATACAAAAATTAGCCAGGCATAGTGGTGGGTGCTACTTGGGAGGCTGAGGTACGTGAATTGCTTGAACCTGGGAGGCAGAGGCTGCAGTGAGCTGATTGCACCACTGCACTCCAGCCTGGGCAACAGCGTGAGACTCCATCTCAAAAAATAAAATAAAATAAAATAAAATAAGAACATTAGGAGAGAAATTGAACATGGACTCTATATTGGGTAATAGTATTGTACTAGTATCCAACATCTTGGGCATAATAATGGTATTGTGGTCATGTGGAAGAACGTCTTTGTTGTTAGGAGCACATACTGAAGTGTTTAGGGATGAAGTGTCTTGGCATGTGCAACTTTCAAGTAGGTGAGTAAAACGAAAAGAAGAGAGAAAGAATGGAAGCCAATGTGGCAGAATGTTAACAATGTAAAGGTCTAGACCAAGGGTTCAACTTCATGGTACTATCTTTGAGTTCTTCTCTAGGCTCAAAATTTTTTAAAAAATGATAAGTTAGGGGAAACAAATTACTGGTGCATGACAACATGGATGAATCAACATGCTGATTAAAAATGAAATCAGACAAAATATCAATTAATTTGAAATTCTAGAGCATGTAAAACTACAGTGAAAGATACCAGAACAGTGGTTGCCTCAGTGTGTGAGTGTGTGTGGCAAGGGCTGGGGAGTTGGCTGGAAAGGAGCATGAGGACATTTTCTGTATTTCTAAAGGGATTTAACTTACACAGGTATAAGATATTATTCAAAACTGGGCAGATGTACACCTAAGATTTGTGCATTTCATGGTACGTGAAATGTATATCAAAAGGGAAAAATGATTAAAAAGAGTTGGGGGCAGCCAGGAACAGTGGCTCCTGCCTGTAATCCCATCACTTTGGGAGGCCAAGGCGGGCAGATCACCTGAGGTCAGGAGTTCAAGACTAGCCTGGCCAACATGGTGAAACCAGGAGGCTGAGGCAGGAGAATCGTTTGAACCCAGGAGGCAGAGGTTGCAGTGAGCCGAGATCGCACCACTGCACTCCAGTCTGGGTAACAAGAGCAAAACTCCGTCTTAAAAACAAAAAAAAATTGCTGGGTGTGGTGGCAGGTACCTGTAGTCCCAGCTACTTGGGAGGCTGAGCCAGCAGAATTGCTTGAACCTGGGAGATGGAGGTTGCAGTGAGCCAAGATCGCGCCACTGCACTCTAGCCTGGGTTACAGCGAGACTCCATCTTAAAAAAAAAAAAAGGAATTGGGGGAAATGTTGAATTCAGATAGATTATGGTGGTGTGTCTTGGATTTCTAACCTCTTTGGGATAAACCTTGGGAGCCTGGCTGGACATATTTTGAATGCTTCACTTTGAGGATTCAGAAAGAACACATTGTTGCTCAGGTTTTGGAAGTTCCCAGCCCCAGAGTTGGTTTCCCTGCACTGAGTCGCAGCCATGGATCCAATGATGAAGGCACACCCATGGCTTAGTTCTATGGAGAATGTGGCAGCCAGCCTCCAAGATGGCACCCTGTGGAGAGTGGCAGCCGGCCTCCAAGACGGCACCCTCCAAGGAGACCCTCTTACCTTTTGGTTTTGTCTGTGGTGTGTGTGTGTGTGTGTGTGTGTGTGTGTGTGTGTGTGTAGCCCCCTCTCCCGCTGAATAGGGCCAACCTGTGTAATCAATAAGATATATGGAAATGATACTCTGTGTGTGTGTGTGTGACTCTGAAACTAGGTTATAAAAGACAATGCATGTCCGCCTTGCTCTCTCTTGGATACTTGTTCTGGGGAAAGCCAACCCTATGGAGGCATCCACCTTGCAAGGAACTGAGGCCTCCTGCCAACAGCCGTGTTGAGTCTGCCAGCCGTGTGAGTGACCTACCTTGGAAATGGCTCCTTCAGTCCCAGTCAATTTTTCACGTGATTGCAACCCTCGCTGACATCTTGACTAAAACCTCCTCAGAGACCTCAAGTCGGAATTATCCTGCTAATTCAATCCTGAATTCCGTACCTGCAGAAACTCTGACATAACAAATGTGTCTTGTTATGTTAAGCCAGTAAGTTTTGAGGTTAAGCCACCAGAGATAACTAGTACAGGAAGGGATGTTGGGACCTCCAGAGGACACCGAAGGAGGCTGTGGGCAGGTGTGGTCCGCCTTCTTGTGGCAAACCCCAGAGGCTTTCCCCTCTGCCCACAGACTTCACCTTCCCTCCTGGTTCTCATTCACAGCAGCCCAAGAAAAGACTGAGAAGTATTTACCTTTGCCATTCTGGCCCCATTGTCATACTGAGTCACTAAACTCTTTCAAGACTCTGCTGTCTTGCACCACTCCCACACCACCCTCGTGAGGGGAATTCAACCCTCTCTACACATTTGCCTCAGGACCTCACGGTACCCCATAGCACCTTAAAGACAATTACTTCTTGGAGCTGAGAAGTTCCCAGGTCTCACACATTAAAAGTTATTGCCAACATCCCACTTACATTTTCCTCCCCAACCTGAGCCTCTCATCTACGGAGAATCTCTCCATCCATAATCAGTTTTTGTGGCAGATATGGCATCCTCCTATAAAAGAAAGTATAGTTTTTTCTTTCTTTTTTTTTTTTTTAACAAAAAGAGTTTCACTCTGTCACCCAGGCTAGAGTGCAGTGGCACAACCACAGCTCACTGTGGCCTTGAACTCCTGGGCTGAAGCAATTCTCCTGCCTCAGCCTCCTGAGTAGCAAGGACTACAGGTCCCTGCCACCACACCCAGCTAATTTTTAATTTTTTTGTAGAGACAGGGTCTTCCTACTTTGCCCAGGTTGGTCTTGAACCCCTGGTCCCAAGTGATTCTCCTGTTTTAGCCTCCCAAAGTGTTGGCATTACAGGCATGAGCCACTGCACCCAGCCTAAAAATGTTTTTATTATGAAGGTAATACACGCTCATTTTAGCATTTCCATTAGTTGGAAAATATAGCAATCGCTGTCAAGGCTGTGTGCATGTATGTGCACACACGTGTATTCCCAAAGCAAATCCTCTATAAATAATTTAGGACTAAATGAAGCTCTGAAGTAATTTGCTTTGTCATAGCCAAAGCTTTAAAGCCAACATATTTTCAACCTGGAGGCTTTTTGTATTAAAGGCATATTCTGGCAAACAACAACTTAAATCTCCTAGAAAGAATATGGATACAGTTAAAAGTGGGGGAAGTGGATCTTTGTGGTACTTTCTCTGTCTGACCAGAAAGGAATGGCCAGCAGGTGGAGAGATCAAGGAGAAGGATGTGATCCCATACACCAGCACACCGCTTGGCCCTTTGCTCACGGCTTTGCACGTGGGCTCTGTGAATCCCCTCAGATGTCTGCTGACCCGGGCAGCCAGAACCACGGCCCTGTATTCCACAGAAGTGCCAGAGCTGTGCTCAGACCCAGGTCCCTCTAAGGCCACAGCCCATTGTATTTAGTTTGCAAGGGTTGCCAAAATGAAATATCACAAAGGGGCTGGGTGTGGTGGCTCACCACTATAATCCTAGTAGTTTGGGAGGCAGAGGTGGGAGGATCGCTTGAGGCCAGTAGTTTGAGACCAGCCTGGACAATATAGCTAGATCCCATCTCTACAACAAATTTTACGAAGAGTTGGGCATGGTAGCGCCTACTGTAGTTCCAGCTACTCGGAAGACTGAGAGATGGGAGGATCCCTTGAATCCACGAGGGTGCAGTGAGCTATAATTGCACCATTGCATTCCAGCCTGGGTGACAGAGTAAGACCTCGTTTCTTTTTTTTTTCTTTTTGAGACAGAGTTTCGCTCTTGTTGTCCAGGCTGGAGTGCAATGGCGCAATCTCGGCTCACTGCAACCTCCTCCTCCCAGGTTCAAGTGATTTTCCTGCCTCAGCCTCCAGAGTAGCTGGGATTACAGGCATGCACCACCACGCCCCGCTAATTTTGTATTTTTAGTAGAGACGGGCGTTTCTCCTTGTTGGTCAGGCTGGTGTCGAACTCCTGACCTCAGGTGATCTGCCCACCTCAGCCTCCCAAAGTGCTGGGATTACAGGCATGAGCCAATGCGCCTAGCTGAGACCCTGTTTCAAATAAACAAAAATAAAATCACAAAGAAAGTGGCTTAAAACAATAGAAATTTATTCTCTTGCAATTCTGGAATCTAGAAGTTGAAAGTCAAGGTGTCAGCAGAGTTGGTTCCTTCTTAGGGGCCTGTATTTTTCTGGTCTCACACTGCTAATAAAAACATACCTGAGATTGAGTAATCTATAAAGGAAAGAGGTTTAATGGACTCACAGTTCTACATGGCTGGGGAGACCTCACAATCATGGAGGAAGGTGAATGAGGAGCAAAGTCACATCTTACATGGTGGCAGAAAAGAGAGCGTGTGCAGGGGAACCCCCCTTTATAAAACCATCAGATTTCATGAGACTTATTTACTATCAGGAGAAGAATATGGGGGAAACTGCCCCCATGATTCAATTATCTCCACCTGGCCCTGCCCTTGACACATGGGGATTATTATAACTCAAGGTGAGATTTGAGTGGGGACACAGCCAAATCATATCAGGGCTCTAAGGGAGAATCTGTTCCATGCCTCTCTTCCGGCTTCTGGCAGTGGCCACCATCCTTGGCTTTCCTTGGCTTGTAAACAAATGCATCACTCCAATCTCTGTCTCCATCTTCTCCATCTCCATTTGTGTGTATGTCTCTGTCTTCACATGGCCTTCTTATAAGGACACCAGTCACTGAATTTAGGGCCCACCCTAATCTAGTGTGGCTTCATTTTACCAAGTTACATATGCAAAGGCCCTAATTTGAAATAACATTGCATTCTGAGGTTCTGGATGAATATGGCTTTGAGGTGGGGTTGTTGGGGGCACTATTCTATCCAGTACATCAACATTCAAACATTATGCTTTTTAGCCATCAGCAATGACAGCACCTGGGTATCCCTAATAGATAAGTCCCTTTATTGTGAGCAATAAAGACAAGGGAAAAAGTCAAAAAAAGAAAGACTTTACACTTGAACTCTACTGAAATACATTTGACTAAAGTTTTATAGAGGCCCAGGAGAACATGGATGAAGATTTTGCTGACTTCCCTGTTGCCTTGGAGAAAACAGAGGAGCAGTTCTTTGCAGGGGGAAACCCTCTAAGACATGGATAATGAAAGCAAACCTCATGGAAACATAAGGGCTGGATCACAGCTAATTTAGACAAGAAAATAGTGCAATGATTATTACGTAACCTATACAATTGTCTTCAAGAAGAGTTCTTACGTACATGGGAAAATGCTTATGCTGTAATATTAAACAACAACAAAAAAAGCCAGCATTCAAATTTGTCTTTGCAACATGAGCTTAACTATGCATATCCCAGAAAATAAGTCTGGTGCCAATTTAGACATGAGGAGATAGAAGCAGAGCACTATTGTCTTTTATTTTATATGCTTTTGTATTATTTGAATTTTGTACCCAATAATAATGTAGTACTTTTTAATTTTTCTTAATTTTTTTTTTTTTTTTTTTTTTTAGAGAGAGAGAAGGTCTTGTTCTGTCACCCAGGTAGAAGTGCAGTGGTGTGATCATGGTTCACTGCAACCTCCACCTCCTGGGCTTAAGCCATCCTCCCACCTCAGCCTTCCAAGTAGTGGGGAATACAGGCACCAACCACCATGCCTGGCTAATGTTGTTATTTTCTGTAGAGACAGGATCTTGCTATGTTGCCCAGACTAATCTCAAACTCCTGTCCTCAAGCAGTCCTCCCACCTCAGCCTCCCAAAGTGCTGGGATTACAGGTATGAGCCACCACACCCAGCCATAGTACTTTTTAAAAATAAGCTTTGTATTTAAGAATAGTTTTAGATTTACAGAAGAGTTACAAAGATAATAGAGTTCCCATATGGTATCCAGTTTCCTCTATTGTTAACATTTTATATTTGTCACAAGTAATGAACCAACACTGATACATTATGATTAACTAATGTCCATACTTAAATGGGGTTTCTCAAGTGTTTTTCTAATGTCCTTTCTCTGTTCCAGAATCTCATCCAGGATACCACATTATGTTTAGTGGTCATGTCCCTTTGTGACTGTGGCATTTTCTCAGACTTCCCTTGTTTTTGATGACCTTGACAGTTTTGAGGAGTACTGGTCAGGTATTTTGTAGAATGTCCCTCAATTTGAATTTGTCTGCTGTTTTTCTCATAATTAGACTTGGGTTATGAATTTGGAGGAGAAAGACCACACAAGTTAAGTGCCATTCACATAAAGTCATGTCCAAGGATACATTACTTTTGTAATGAAACATACGATGAAATATTAAACAAAGCCAGCATTCACAATTGAATATATAAGTTTTGTAATGAAACATACAATGAAATATACAATGAAAAGGATATATTACATTTGTAATGAAATGTACAATGAAATATACATTTCTTTTTGTTTTTTTATTTTGTTTTGTCTTGTCTTTTTGTAGAGACAGGGTCTTACTATGTTGCCCAGGCTGGTCTTGAACTCCTGGGCTCAAGTGATTCTCCCACCTCAGCCTCCCAAAGTGCTGGGATTACAGGCATGAGCCACTGTGCCCAGCAAAACATATTCTTAAATAGGATTATGCCAAAAAACTGTTTGACTCTAGGTGGTGGATTATAAGGGTTTTCTAAATATTTTCCTTTACAGTTTTCTATAAAAAGCATACAATATATTTTATAATTTTAAAAATTTATTTTAAAAATCCTACTGTAAATACTTAAGCTGCCTGGCTGTAGAGACAGAGGAGGGAGGGAGGGAAGCATCCCGGGGCCTCAGCCTGGCCTGCGTGGGAGCAGAAAGTGTCAGAGTGATGGGGAACACACCAGGACTTGGCTGTATGCTGGGAGCAATCAAGATTACTTATGGCAGGACAGAAAGTAACAGCAACAAAAGGAGAGTGAGGGCCGGGGCTGGGAAGACATCTCTAATGAGAACATTGAGATGCATTCCAGGCGAAAGGGTAACCCAAAAATGTAAGCAAGCCTAGAGCAGAGATTAGTTATAGCCAAATAAGTCAGGCAGAACTCAGAGGGTGCAGGCGGCTTCGGGGAGGGACAGGCCAGCTCGGTGTCTCCGAATCCAGCAACCTGAGGCTTTGTATAAATACTGACTTTTTAGGGAAGACACAGAGGAGCCTCTCTCTTTTTCCACTGGAGGGATTAAGAAGAGTTTACTGATTTTCAAACAGGCTGTTTCTAATCAGGGCTTATTGTAGATCTAATAAGGCTCTTATTTTTTTTAATTGGGTACAGAGAAGGGAATTTAATGTCAATCTCTGGGTAAAGTATTTTTAATTACTTTGGATGATGTTACATTGAAACTAAGATTGTAGGTCACACGCAAACCCCAGGGAACTGGTCCTACAAGGATATTCTACTAGAATTAGGGGAGCCTTGCCCAAGGTGTCTCCTAGCTCTTGGTCCAGCATGAAAATGACTGGGCAGATGGGCTGGCATCCATAGATGGGGTAAATGATGATAACTTCCAGAGTAAACAACTTTTTTTTTTTTTTTTTTTTTTTTTTAGATAGAGTCTTGCTCTGTTGCCCAGGCTGGAGTGCAGTGGCTTGATCTTGGCTCACTGCAATTTCCACCTCCCAGGTTCAAGCGATTCTCCTGCCTCAGCCTCCCTAGTAGCTGGGATTAGAGGCATGCACTGCCATGCCTGGCTAATTTTTGTATTTTAGTAGAGGTGGGGTTTCGCCATGTTGGCCAGGTTGGTCTCAAACTCCTGACCTCAGGTGATCCACCTGCCTCAGCTTCCCAAAGTGCTGGGATTACAGGCATGAGCCACCATGACTAGCCTAAACAACCATTTTTTTTCTTTATTTTTAAATTTTTTTAAAAATTAAATTTTTAAATAATAGAGACGGGGTCCACTATGTTGCCCAGCCTGGTCTCAAAATCCTGGGCTTAAGCAATCTTCCCGCGTCAGCCTCCCAAAGTGCTGGGATTACAGGCGTGAGCCACCATGCTCTGCCTTTTAATTACAGTTGGCAAACTTCTACATATCCTTCAAGACCCATATAAAGTGTTCTGTGAAGTCTGCTCTATGAGCAATCATAGCAGCTCTGACTTCTGCCCCCACTGTGGAATGTCACAGCTATTTTAATTATTGCATTTATCACACTGCACTACAATCATTAATTTATAGTTCTGCTCCCCCGGTAGACTATAAACCTTAGAGAGCAGAAGCTGTAGCTTATTCTCATCCTGTATGCCTTTCTCCTTCAGTGCAGCTCAGTTATTAGAAAACAGAAGGCACTCAGATAAAAAATGCTTTTTCGGCCAGATACGGTGGCTCCTGCTTAATCTCAGCACTTTGGGAGGCTGAAGTGGGAGGATTGCTTGAGCCAAGGAGTTTGAGACCAGCCTGGGCAACATTGCAAGACCCGATTTCTATAAAAAATAAACAAAAATTAGCCAGGTGTCCTGGCACGTTCCTGTAGTCCCAGCTACATGGGAGACTGAAGCAGGAGGATCACTTGAGCCTGGGAGGTTGAAGCTGCAGTGAGCCAAGACAGAACCACTGCTCTCCAGCCTGGGTAACAGAGCAAGACCCTATCTTAAAAAAAAAAAAAAAAAGAAAAGGCTGGGCGTGGTGGCTCATGCCTGTAATCCCAGCACTTTGGGAAGTCGAGGAGGGTGGATCACGAGGTCAAGAGATCAAGACCACCCTGGCCAATGTGGTGAAAACCTGTCTCTACTAAAAATACAAAAATTAGCTGGGCGTGGTGGCATGCACCTGTAGTCCCAGCTACTCAGGAGGCTGAGGCAGGAGAATTGTTTGAACCCGGGAGGCAGAGGTTGCAGTGAGCTGAGATCATGCCACTGCACTCCAGCCTCGTAACAGCAAGACTCCATATCAAAGAAAAAAATTAAAAAAGCTTTTCTCTGAATAATAGACTTAGCTATCCTTCTGCAGATCTGGTGTGTCTAGATGTACCATCACATGTGCATCCAGTCAATTTTTGATTTACTAACTTTATGAAGATTCATTGTTGAGCACTTCCTATGGGCTTAAGTTCTGTGCTAGACATAAAACTTCTGTGCAAAGTTATGTAATCACGCTGTGGTGTAGCCCTTGATCTTTAAAGAAATACAGTGAAGGAAAATATTAAACCATTAGAGAATAGGAGAAGATGTAATTATAAAAAAATTCAAAGTCAAGTGCCCCCATGCATGATGAAGATGGTGCCTGTCGAGGGGCTGAGGCAGGGGAAGTGGCAATGGCTGGAGTCATCAGGAAGGGCTTTCTGGAGAAGTGGGGTTTGGGTTGAGACATGGAAGACAGGGACAAGCAGCCAGGTGGAAGGAAGCGGGGAAAGCTTCAGACCGGCAGAGCAGCCTCCAGGATGAGACGGAGCACAGAGGGGAGAGGACAGTGAAGAGACCAGAGTGGGATTCCTGATTGTAACTCGGAGTCTTTGGGGTCCACACCTAAGCTGTAGTGTAGGCCAGAATGACGTCACAGACACTCGCAGTGGACCAAGAGGCCAAGTGCTGAGTGAGCACAGCTGACAACAGAAGCTGGCAATGATCTGAGTGAAACTAGGGCCAGGGGTGTGGCATCACCCTGATTGCAGCTCGGAGGCAGCATCTGGATAACCTGGGGGCCCTAGAGGAAGCATCTGGATAACCAATGGAGATGGGGCTACAGGAATTGGCGAGATCTGGCAGTGCAGGCACCAGAGCCTCAGGAAGCCAGACGATGCCACTGATTGCTGTGTCCCCATCCCTGCTCCTCCCTCTGAGACAGGCCTCTTCTCTCTACAGTGCTTCATGGCCCTAAGTTATTTCTGAAGACTAAGAAGGGGCAGGAGGAAAGGAAAGGATGGGTTGAGGAGGTACCTATAAAGGAAACAAAATTCTGAGAGGAGGGAATTCAGGCAGCAGCGTGGCACTTGGGCAAAGTTTTGGTGGACACCACAATATGGCTACCTGCTAGCACTGCACCCTGGGCAGGCAGCCTGATCTCTCTGAGCCTTAGTCTCATTTGTACAACTCAAATGCTCATCCTTCTCTTCTGTTTTTACTTGATAGGTAAATATTGTATAAATTCATGGTGTAAAATTCCTTTCTTTCTTTCTTTTTCTTGAGACAGTGTCTCACTCTGTCATCCAGGCTGGAGTGTGATGGTGGAGGCATGGCTGACTGCAGCCTCGATCTCCTGGTCTCAGGTGATCCTCCTGACTCAGCCTCCTAAGTAGCTGGGAGCACAGGTACACATCATCACACCTGGCTAATTTTAAAGATTACTTTTAGAGACAGGTTCTTGCTATGTTACCCAGGCTGGTCTTGAACTCCTGGGTTCAAGTGATCTGCTAGCTTTGGCTTCCCAAAGTGTTGGGATTACAAGTGAGCCTCTGCCTGGCTTCAAGCTATTTCACACGTGCATTACCTCATATACTTATTTTTTGGTGGTGAGAACACATAAAATGTACTCTTGGCAATTTTCAAGAATACAATACATTGTTATTAACTGTAGTCACCATGATGTCTGATACGGTTTGACTCTCTGTCCCCACCCAAACCTCACCTCGAATTGTAATCCCCATGTGTCAGGGGAGGGGCCTGGTGGGAGGTGATTGGATCACGGGGGTGGATTTCCCCCTTGCTATTCTTGTGATACTGAGTTCTTACGACGACGTGTGATGGTTTAAAAGTGGTTCTCTTATGGCCAGGCACGGTGGCTCACGCCTGTAATCCCAGCACTTTGGGAGGCTGAGACAGGCGGATCACCTGAGGTCAGGAGTTTGAGACCAGCCTGACCAACATGGAGAAACCCTGTCACCACTAAAAATACAAAATTAGTCGGGCATGTTGGCACATGCCTGTAATCCCAGCTACTAGTGAGGCTGAGGCAGGAGAATCACTTGAATCCAGGAGGCAGAGGTTGTGGTGAGCCAAGATCACACCATTGCACTCCAGCCTGGGCAACAAGAGCAAAACTCCGTCTCAAAAAAAAAAAAAAAAAAAAAAGGCAGTTCTCTCCATGTATCCCACCCCCGCCCCACTCCCGCCACCTTGTGAAGAAAGTCCTTGCCCCTGCTTCGCCTTCTGCCATGATTGTAAGTTTCCTGAGGTCTCCCCAGTCATGTGGAACTGTGAGTCAATTAAACCTCTTTCCTTTATAAATTACCCAGTCTCAGGCAGTTCTTTATAGCAGTGTGAAAGTGAACTAATACAATGTCCAATGCATCTCTTGAACTATTCCTCCTGTCTGATATTTTGTGTCCTTTGACCAACACCTCCCCAGTCTTCCCCGTCAACCTTATGGTGCAGTTCTTGGGACATAAAGCAAATGAGGCACTTGGTTGCAAGAGACTCACTGGGACCATCTAAAGTGTGCAGAGGGTGATGGCCAAGTTAATTGTAAACAGTTCATCCCGGCACGGCCCTCCCAGCCTCATGGCAACCTGGGGCAGACACACAGCGAGGACCCACTCTGTGTGGGATGAAGCTCAGGTCCGGGGGTGAGCTCGGGGTGCAGAGTGGCCCCGGCAGCAGGGCCACTTTTCTGTGCACTGAGGAGCAGGTGCTCTCATTGGCTGCCTCTCTGCCATTGATTCGCCAAATCCTCTTTGAGGGCCTACTGTGTGCCAGACCCTGAGTGGGTGCTTGGGACGCGGTTTGGTCTCTGCCTCTCTATGGTCTTTTGGCTTCTGTGCCCTGTCCCTAACTGCTCAGCTCCCCCTGCCTGCATTAGTCAGTGGTCTTTGTTCTCGAGTGTCTGACTGAAACCCCACTCAAACTAACTGAAGTAAAGGGAGCCATTAGGAGATCCTAGTATAAATCATCTATAGAAAGAAAGGCAGGGGTGGGCGTGGAAGGCAGAGGGAGGCAGCGGAGAATGAGGCTGACTTCCAAGTTGACAGATCTAGCTCACCAGGGAGCAAGCTGGGATTTTAAAATAGCTGCAGTTGGGTGCAGCAACTCATGCCTGTAATCTCAGCACTTGGGAGGCTGAGGCAGGAGGATTGCTTGAGCCCAGGAGTTCATGACCAGCCTGGGCAACATAGTGAAACTCTGTCTCTACAGAAAATAATTTAAAAATTAGCCAGGCATGGTGGCATGTGCCTGTGGTCCCAATTACTCGGGAGGCTGAGGCGGGAGGATTACTTGACCCCAGGAGGTTGAGGCTGCAGTGAGTAGTGATTATGCCACTGCAATCCAGCATGGGTGACAGAGCAAGACACTATCTCAAAAAAAAAAAAAAAAAAAAAAGAATTGGGTTTCTGTCTCCACTTAACAAACGAGATTTCTTCCATTATACCTCCTCAAATCCCAAACTCTCCAATATTTTAATAGTGCTCTGCTGTAATTTAGAAACTCTGCTCTCATTTGAAATTTACTGAGGATCTGTATAACAATAATATTAATAAATAGCAATTGTTGGCTGGGTGCAGTGACTTATCCCTGTAATTCCAGCACTTTGGGAGGCCGGGGCAGGAGGATTCCTTGAGGCCAAGAGTTTGTGACCAGCTTGGGCAACATAGTGAGACCCCATCTCTACAAAAATTTAAAAATTAGCAAGGTATGGTGGTGCACGCCTGTGGTCCTAGCTACTCAGGAGGCTGAAGTGGGAAGATTGCTTGAGCCTAGGAGTTTGAGGCTGTAGTGAGCTATGATGGCACCATGGCACTCCAGCCTGGGTGACAGAGCAATGCCCTGTCTCAAAAAAAAAAAAAAAAAAAAAAAGCCAGGCATGGTGTAACACCTATAATCCCCACAATTTTGGAGGCCAAAGCAGGTGGATCACTTGAGCCCAGGAGCTGGAGACCAGCCTGGGCAACATGGCAAAACCCCATCTCTACAAAAAATACTAAAATTAGCCAGATGTGGCAGTGCATGCCTGTAGTCCAAGCTACTAGGGAGGTTGAGGCAGGAGGGGATTTTGCTTGAGCCCAGGCTGGGATTTCAAGACTTCAGGAAGCTGAGATCACACCACTGCACTCTGACCTGGGCAACAAAGCAAGACTCTGCCTCAAAAAAAGAAAAAAAAATCTGTGTAGATACTAGGCAAACATTTTTCTGAGCATGGCTTTGATCTTTTGGTAGGAACATTCCAGGAGAAAAACAAGAAAAAAAGCTTCTTAAGGATCTGCTGTTCCTTGGCTGAAGGATCTGGTATCAGGCTGATTGATGAAGGTCATGACATGCAGCAGTTAGGCAAAAAAAAGTCCTCTTCTCACGATCAGAAGAGCCGCATGTGTGTGTGAGCCAGTTGCTATCCTGCCTCCTTCAAGGTTAAGCACCTCAAAAAACTACCATGTGTCTGCTGGAAATTTTACTTAACCCAAGAAATAAGCAACAGTGCATCATAGGGCCATAAAGAGTTCTGCACCTATGTTCACATTATTTGCAGAATCATGTCTATTACAATTGTGACCTGTGTACAAACAAATAGACTTCTTAATGCATGGATCAAGTATGATAGTCACCTCTGAAGATTTTTAACGTGGGAATGTGATGGGGTGAGACTGGAGAACTTAACAATCATATTAACAGCTGCACAAGTCATTTTCTCATTTTTCTACTTTTCATAATAATCATGTAACTATACATATGTTAGTATTAATGCTTATTTCTTTGGTTAAATAAAAATTCCAAAGGACACAGGGCAGATTTTGGAAGTTCTTAACCATGAATGAATCAAGATAGGGTAGTGATTAGCCTTAGATAAATCCCAAGAAAATTACATTCATTTGGTGGATTGAGACCAAATGCAGATTTTTTTTTTTTTTTTTTTTTTTTAAATAAAAAGAAGCTCACGCCTGTAATCCCAGCACTTTGGGAGGCCAAGGCAGGCAGATCACTTGAGGTCAGAAGTTCAAGACCAGCATGGCTAACATGGTGAAACCCCATCTCTACTAAAAATACAAAAATTAGCTGAGCACTGTGGCAGGCGCCTGTAATCCCAGCTACTCGGGAGGCTGAGGCAGGAGAATCGCTTGAACCTGGGAGGTGGAGGTTGCAGTGAGCTGAGATCGCGCCATTGCACTCTGGCCTGGGCGACAAGAGTGGAACTCCATCTCAAAAAAATAAATAAAATAAAATAAAATAAAAAACATTTAACCCTCAAATTTTCTTTTAAAAAATTAGTATTTTCTATTTGATTACTGATGGAAATTGATCATGTCCACATTCCCTCTGTGTTAGTCCGTTTATGTTGCCATAAAGGAATACCTGAGGCTGGGTGACTTATAAAGAAAAGAGGTGCATGTTGGCTTATGGTTCTGCAGGCTGTACAAGTACGGCACCAACATCTGCTTGGCTTCTGGTGAGACACCAGGGAGCTTACAATCATGGCGGACAATGAGGAGAAGGCAGTGTCACATGGCAAGAGCGGGAGCGAGAAAGAGAGGGGGAGGTGACACAATTTTTTTTTTCTTTTTTAGACAGGGCCATGCTCTGTTGATCCTGCTGGAGTGCAGTGGCACAATCATAGTTCACTGCAGCCTCAAGCTCCTGGGCTCAAGCCATTCTCCCATCTCCGCCTCCCAAAATTCTGGGATTATAAACATGAGCCAGTCCACACTCTTTTAAACAACCAGATCTCACGTGAGCAAGAGCTCATTCATTACTACAAGGAGGGCACCAAGCCATTCATGAGGGATGCACCCCCATGATCCAACACCTCCCACTAGGCCGCCTCTCCAACATTGGAGGTCAAATTTCACCATGAGATTTGGAAGGGACAAACCCAAACCATATCACCCTTCCTTCCTTTCCTTCTTATCAATTCATAAAACAGAACATACTCCACCTATTGTTCCTCCCCTCACCCCAAATCCTCTTATTTTCAGTAAGGAAGAGTTGCCAAATAATAATATTTGATGGTAGTTTCTGATACGAGAAAGAGAATTGGATAGAGGCTGACGGCACATCCAACAGATGTGGGCAAAGGGCGAGTTACGTGTATGGGGAAATCTGTAAGATATCATCTAGACATTTTTATTTTGACAATTCATTCCCTTATTTGAAAAAGTAGTTTTCCAGTGTCTCATGGCTGTAATATCAATGCTTCTTCTTCTTTTTTTCCCCTCTTTCTTTCTGTGAATGGAATAATCCCAAAACTTTGGGAGGCTGAGGTGGGAGCATTGCTTGATGTCAGGAGTTCGAGACCAACCTGGGCAACATAGCAAGGCCCCATCTCTACCAAAAATTTAAAAATTAGCCAGACATGGTGGCAAGTGCCTGTAGTCCCAGCTACTTGGGAGGCTGAAGTAAGTGAATTGCTTGAGCCCATGAATTTGAGGCTATAGTGAGCTATGATCACACCACTGCACTCCAGCATGGGCAACAGAGGCTGACCGTGTTTCTAAAAAAAAACCCAACCAACCAACCAACCAACAAAACAAAAAAGAAAAACCTGGACCGAACTCACAGCATTAGAGCCATTTTTGTTCTGAATTGCTTTTTGGTTCTAATTCAGTTATTCCCTGCTTACTATGTACTATGCTGGGATACCTGGGGAAAGGCCAGGCTTTTACACACTACCTTCTGATATTGCCTTAGGTGGATCAAAGAATAAAATGGAACTGGGCATGGTGCCTTATGCCTGTAATCTCAGCACTTTGGATCACTTGAGTCTTGGAGTTCAAGACCAGTCTAGGCAACATAGCAAGACCCCATCACTACCAAAAATTTAAAAATTAGCCAGGCACAGTGGCATATACCTGTTGTCTCAGCTAATTGGGAGGACTGCTTGAGCCTAGGAGTCTGAGGCTGCAGGGAGCTATGATCGCACCACTGTACTCCAGCCTGGGTAACAGAGTGAGACCCTGTCTCAAAAAAAAAAAAAAAAAAAAAAAAAAAGGAAGGTTCTAAGGATTTGGAGGGAGGCAAAAGGGAAGAGCTATAGGAAGGCATATGAAGAGAGCCTTGGCCTTCAGGCCTAGATGGAATCTTGCTGGCTTTTTCTTTCTTTTTTTGTTTTTTTGAGACAGAGTTTCATGCTTGTTGCCCAGGCTGGAGTGCAATGGCACTATCTCAGCTTACTGCAACCTCCATCTCCCAGGTTCAAGCAATTCTCCTGCCTCAACCTCCCTAGTAGCTGGGATTACAGGTGTGTACCACCATGTCTGGCTAATTTTTTTTTTTGTATTTTTAGTAGAGACAGGGTTTCACCATGCTGGCCAGGGTGGCTTTGAACTCCTGACCTCAGGTGATCCACCTGCCTCGGCCTCCCAGTGTGCTGGGATTACAGGTGTGAGTGCTGGGATTACAGGCGTGAGCCCCCGTGCCCGGCCTCTGGCTGGCTTTTTCCAAGGTCAGCAATTGTGCTATTGATGCAAACCACTGTCTGTTGTAGCAAGTAGGATTCTCTCTCCACACCCCACACTTGGGCATTGCTGGGAGACTCTGGGGGCAGCTCTGGGGCCGCTCTGGGGCCTTAGGGGTATACAAGTAGGTTATTGAGGGCAGTAATCTCAGATCCAGATGTGCAGTGATAAGAGGAAAATCCTGTTTGGTTGGATTCTACAGTCTCTCTGACCTGCACTGGAAATATTTTCTGAGGACCTTCTAGCTGAAAGCTTCCTTTATGTGTGATGAGAACAATAGCCTTACTCTTTTTTCTTATTTGTCATGGCTACCAAAAATCACAGAGATGTTTTTCAGACCAATATATTGGGGACTTTATTGCTTCCAAATTTTCCAGGCAGAGAAGAAAGAACTAAACTTATGGGGAAAGAATACTGTGAGTTTAATTATTGTTTTTTATTTCCTGAAACACAAGGCTCAAAAGTTCCTGGGTCAAAAGAAGAATGCAGCAGGGCATAATGGCTCACTCACACCTGTAATCCCAGCATTTTGAGAGGCCGAGGTGGGAGGATTATTTGAGCCCAGGATTTCGAGACCAGTCAGGGCAACACAGCAAAACCTCATATCTATTAAAAAACAAACAAACAAACAAACAAACAAACAAAAAACTAAGAGTGGGATCACACACTGGCCGGTAGAACTTGATGCTGGACTGGGCTGGAGGGTCCACCCAATGGTGTCTTGTTCCAGAATTATTTTAAAGCCTTAAGAATGGATGTACTGGAAACAGTGGCTCCAGCCTGTAATCCCAGCACTTTGGGAGGCTGAGGCAGGAGGATCACTTGAGGCCAAGAGTTTGAGACCAGCCTGGGCAACACAGTGAGACTTCATCTCAAAAATTAAAAAAAAAAAGAATGAGCGTAGCTGCAACTTCATTTGGTGACACAACATGGGTGAGAAGTGTAATACTGGTTGTGAAATATAATACTATTAGCTACCATTTATTAGCAACTCCTGTGTTCCAGATTTTCTGCTAACTGCTTTGTATACGTGGTCTCAAAGTCAAATCATCTCATAATCAGTCACAGTGGTTAGTTAGTCAGGGCTAGCACATCTGCTTTTCCACATTCCCTGTTGCTCTGTTCATTTCTACTTTATTAACCTTGATGTATACACATTCTCAATCTTAACCCCCTGCAAATTACTGTTAGAAAGAGGAAGCATACAAATCAGGGAAACAAATATTTGGAATGATTTTCTAAAGAGTGATCAATTGTGAAGGCTTTGTTTGTTCTAAAACTCTAAAGAATAGCCGGTGTAGTTGTACATTTTACTAGGAAGAAAAACAACCACCATTCTTGTTAAATTATTCTGCTAATGTTTACTTTGTTGAAACAGTGGTATTTTATGAAAACAAAACAGAAAAGTTTTTATTTGGGCATGGCAGGGGGCAAAGGCCTTTCCTCTATTACTAGGAACTGGTTGAGCATCCCTAATCCGAAAAATGGAAAATCCAAAATGCTCCAAAATCCAAAACTTTTTGACCACCAACATGATGCTCAAAGGATTAGAGCATTTTGGATTTCAGATTTTTGGATTAGGGTGCTCAACTGGTAATTACATAATGTAAATATTAAAAAAAAATCACTCTCAAATTCAAAACACTTCTGGTCCCAAGCATTTCAGAGAAGGGATACTCAACCTGTATTCTGGAAGGAGGCTTTGTCATTTCTATCACTGCCCTTGGATCGTAATGGACTTGTGGGGTGTCAAGTCTTCTAGAATGAAATCTGATTCAATCTCCTTTTCAGTATAAATAATGTGTAGTCATAGACACATAATCTTTGCACTTGTCCTCAGGAACAATGTATGCAGGTGTGTGTGCATATAAATACGTAAACCAAAAATAGTATTCTAAGCCAACTGATGGACCCTGTCCTCTCAGCCAACGGCATTCCAAAGTTAACCTGAAAAACTAGTTCAGGCCTTGATGGGAAGGGGACATGTCAGACATGCCTCCTCATTCCCTCCTCCCTTTTGGAATTCAGGCCCAGCTGACCAACATTAACATCAACACAGAGACCTGAAGACTGATAGGACAGACTCTTTAAGTCTGAAAAGAAGCATTTACAATCTATTCTCTCTGAAGCCTGCTACGTGGAGGCTTCATCTACATAATAAAACCTTCATCTCTACAACCCCTTATCTTCACCCAGACATTCTAGGTCTTTAGAAAAGAACTCTTTCAACCAATTGCCAATCAAAAAATCTTTGAATCTGCCTATGACCTGGAATGCCACCCCCACCTTCCAGCTGTCTCACCTTTCTAGACCAAACCAATGTACATCTTACGGGTGTTGATTACATGTCTCCCTAAAATGTATAAAAATGTATAAAATCAAGCTGTAGCCTGACCACCTTGGGCACATGTTCTTAGGATCTTCTGAGGCTGTGCCACAGGCCATTCATTGGTCACTCATATTTGGCTCAGAATAAATCTCTTCAAATATTTTACAGAGTTGGACTCTTTTTTTTTTCGACAAATATGTGGTATATATGTAATCGTTTCTTTTTTATTTTTATTTTTTCTTTTATTTTTTGAGATAGTGTCTCACTGTGCTGCCCAGGCTGGGGTGCAGTGGTGTGATCTTGGCTCACTACAGCCTCGACCTCCTAGGCTCAAGTGATCCTCTCACCTCAGCCTACTGAGGTAACTGGGACTACAGGCTTGCACCAGCATGCCTGGGTAATTTTTGTATTTTTAGTAGAGACAGGGTTTCACCGTGTTGCCCAGGCTTGTCTCAAACTCCTGAGCTCAAGTGATCCTCCCGCTTCAGCCTCCCAAGTGCAGGGATTACAGGCATGAGCCACCACTGTGCTTGGCCTGCATCATTTCTTTAAGCTGTTTCATTTCTCCTGAGTAGCCCTACAAAATTATGCAAAATAATTATGTACAATAACCTAATAGAAATATAAACTTTTAAAAGAGAATTTAGATTTCCAGAGAGGAGGACAGCTGCCCATTGACAAGAACTCCTGCCACTGGGAAGCCTTTTTGTTTTTTTAGAGACAGAGTTTCACTCTTGTTGCCCAGACTGGAGTGCAATGGTGCGATCTTGGCTCACTGCAACCTCCATCTCCCAGGTTCAAGTGATTCTCTTGCCTCAGCCTCCCAAGTAGCTGGGACTACAGGCATGTACCACCATGCCTGGCTAATTTTGTATTTTTAGTAGAGACAGGCTGGTCTCGAACTCCCAACCTCACGTGATCCACCCACCTTGGCCTCCCAAAGTGCTGGGATTACAGGCATGAACCACCACACCCAGCAGGAAGCCATTTTTACCCTTGGGGGGAGTATGTGCCACCTGGGAAACTTTTAAAGTTTTTCAGAGATTTTGAGGTCTGGCCTAGGGGTGTCAATGCACAACCAAGGTCAAGGGCTTCCACAGACTCTCTCATAATCTGGGTGTAACCCTTCTGTGAGGACCATGGCAAATGGGACCCTAGACTAGAATAATCAGAGCTGAAGGGAGTGCTCACAGTCATCCACTACTGTATTGAGCACCCTTGACATAACTAACTCCATCTTAGAAAAAGACTCCATTTTATATTTCACAGGGGACTCTGCCAACAAGGATAAGATGTTTTGTTTAATACACAAATAAAAAGATAAAGACTGCATCCAACCAGATAAAGACACAAACAGGCACACTCTTCCAGGATCAGTTCTCACCAGAGGACTCTGTGACTATAAGAGGTCAGGCTTTCAGCAGCTTGAAATGGCTGTCTTAAATGACACTGTCTGGCGGTCACTCGTGATAAGAACTTTGCATCTGTGTCTGAAGGCTCTGCCACATAAAACACTCTTCCTTGAAAGACTGACCTGGCCCAGGCCCAGACTCCTTTTGTCTCTGCTTCCCTGGTCTGGTCCATTAACCCTTTCTCCTATCTCTTTTTTCTGAAATTCGGGAATACTTAGACAAGCAAATTCCTTTTCAAATGAGTGGAGTAGGAGACATGGATGATTGCTCTCAGCTCCTGCCCCTCTTTCCTGAGAGCTGCCCCTGTTCAGGAGCAGCAGTTGTGCTTGCAATACAGGACCACACACTCTCTGGATCCTGAGAGTTTCAAGTTGGGACTGTGAGATGCTACTTAGTCATTCCTGCAGGGCAAGCAACAGAGGACACATAAACCAGGGAGCTGAGAGCTGCCACGGTGGGTCTTGTGCGTGCATAAGCAGTGACCACGTGTGACTGCTGAGACCTACAGAGCAGACAAATTCGAGAAAGAATGAAAGCACAGGCAGCCGGCGCCGGCTTCCTGGTCCAGCCCTCTGTGGGGCTGGCTATCCTCGGTGCTCTTGGAATCCATTAGCTATCTCCAAGGCCTCCCAGAAAAGGCCTTTTGCTTAAGCTAGTTTGAAGTAGTGTTTTTATCTCTTGGCCCCCAAATCCTTAATTAGGAAAAATGGTAACCAAGGCAAAATGCATAACTTAAGCAATAATTAACATGGAGATAGAAATGCAAATGGAAGCAAACATTAAGGATGTATTAGTCATCTTTCCCTGTTGAAAATCTTACAGCAATCATTCTTAGCTTTTTGAGGATGGCAGTAGTTAGAATTTTTTTTTTTTTTTTTTTTGAGACAGGGCTTGCTCTGTCATCCAGGCTGGAGTACAGCGGTGCAATCACGGTTCACTGCAGCCTTGACCTCCCAGGCTCAAGCCATCCTCCTGTCTCAGCCTCCCGAGTAGCTGAAACTACAGGCAGGTGCCAGCATGCCTGCTAATTTTTGTATTTTTTGTAGACAGGGGTCTTCCTATGTGACCAAGGCTGGTCTTGAACTCCTGGGTTCCAGTGATTCTCCTACCTTGGCCTCCCAAAGTGCTGGAATTACAGGCATCAGCCACTGTACCTGGTCAGTTATAAATTTCTTTATAAAGGATAAGATTATTGTTACTCTGTAAATTTATTTTAATTTCTTTACCTGATAGCTCAATTAGAATTATTACTGTTATCATTTGTTCAGTAATAGGATATAAATTTTTAATATTTCAGCCATTAAAATACAGCATTGTGTAGAATTAGTTGAAATTTTATTAACATGTTGTCCACAATTAGTTCACCAAAATCAATGAATTTTACCTTGTGAACATTATTCAAATACTTTCCAAATGCAAATTGTGATGCGTGCCCCAAACTTTGTAAATGTCCTGTTAAGATGGATTACGAATAGTTCATACAGAAATTGAAGAACTTCTTCTGTGGGTTATCCTTGGGTGGCCTCTACTGAACTTGTAATTTATCAAAGAAGGGCCAAATAGGTGTCAATGAAAAGAGTCAAACTCTGTAAAATATTTGAAGGGATTTATTCTGAACCAAATATGAGTGACCATGGCCCGTGACACAGCCCTCAGGAGGTCCTGAGAACATGTGCCCAAGGTGGTGGGGGAGCAGTTTGGTTTTATACATTTTAGGAAGGCATGAGACATCAATCAAATACATTCAAGAAATACATTAGTTTAGTGCAGAAAGGCGGGACAACTCAAAGCAGGTGCTCTCAGGCTATAGGTAAATTTAAACGTTTTCTGATTGACAATTGGTGGAGTTTGTCTAAAGACCTGAGATCGATAGAAATGAAATATTCAGGTTAGAATAAAAAATTGTGGAGATCAGGGTTCTTCTGAAGTCTTATAGTGGCTGCCCTTAGACACAATAGATGACAAGTGTTTCCTATTTAGATGTTTAAAAGGTGCTGGAGTTTTAATTAATCTCTTCAGGATTGAGAGGACCTGGAAGAAAAAAATCTAGCTATGTTAACAGAGATTCTTTACAGATGCAAAATTTCCCCCAGAAAGAACATCTTTGCCAGGCCATATCAAGATATGGCAAAGAAACATGTTTTGGGGTAAAATATTTTGATTTTCTTCCTTGTCCTGTGAAGTTATGCCAGAGTCAGGTTGGAAAGTAAGTCATGATAGATAGTGTTAAATAAAAGCCATCTGATGAGAATTTGTGGTTTGTAGGGCATGACTCTCCAGGCCCCTTAGACAGGAATTTGGGCAAGATTAAAAAAAAAAAAATCAAAGCTTAGTCTTCCTAGGTATCCAAGTCAGACTGTCTGTATTTGAATCCAGGCTGTACTACTCACCAAAAAACCTTGGGCTAGTTATTATATTTGTTTCCCTGACAGGATTTCTCCACAGGAAAATCAGGTATTAGTGGTATCTAATCATAAGGTTTTTGTGGGCTTTTAGGAAGACAATCCATTTAAAGCAGCTAGGAAAATGCCTAGCACACAGTAGGTAACCATTATTTTCTTATCTCTATGATTAATATAGAATATTAGTAACTATTGTTAAGCTGCTTCTGTTGAAAGACCCTTTTCCTGACTTGTATTAATCAGGACTTTCTAGAGGGACAGAACTAATAGGATAGATATATATATGAAAGAGATTTTATTAAGGAGAATTGACTCACACAATCACCAGGTAAAGTCCCACGATAGGTTGTCTGCATGCTGAGGGGCAAGGAAGGTAGTGGTGGATCAGTCCGAGTCCCAAAACCTCAAAAGTAGGGAAGCCGACAGTGCAGCCTTCAGTCTGTGGCCAAAGGCCCGAGAGCCCCTGGCAAACCACTGGTGTAAGTCCAAGAGTCCAAAAGCTTAAGAACTTGGAGTCTGATGTTCGAGGGCAGGAAGCAGCCAGCACGGGAGAAAGATGAAGTCCAGAAGACTCAGCAAGTCTGCTCTTCCATCTTCTCCTGCCTGCTTTATTCAGCTGGCAGCTGATTAGATGGTGCTTACCCAGAGTAGGGGTGAGTCTGCCTCTCCCGGTCCACTGACTCAAATGTCCATCTCCTTTGGCAACACCCTCACAGACGCACCCACGAACAATACTTTGCATCCTTCAATCCAATCAAGTTGACTCTCAATATTAACCATCACAAGTATCGTCCTGTGTACTTGTGCTCACAGAGTAAGGGCTAAGGTTGAGTCAAGGTCAAGGTCCAGTCAAGGCTTTCCTCTTCATACGGTTTGACTGTGTCCCCAACCAAATCTCATCTTGAATTGTAGCTCCCATAATTCCTACATGTCAAGGGAGGGACCCGGTGGGAGGTAATTGAATCATGGGGGTGGGTCTTTCCCATGCTGTTCTCCTGATAGTGAATAAGTCTCACGAGATCTGATGGTTTTATAATGAGGAGTTCCCCTGCACATGCTCTCTTGCCTGCCACCATGTAAGACACCCCTCGCTCTTCCACCATGATTATGAGGCCTCCCCAGCATGTGGAACTGTGAGTCAATTAAACCTCTTTCCATTATAAATTACCCAGTCTCGGGTATGTCTTTACTAGCAGCATGAAAACAGACTAATACACCTTTCCTGTGAAACTTCCCTCTGTTTCTCAGACAAAGTGAGTATCCTCTCTGGGTTCCCTGGGCATTCCTCCACACTGAATTGGAATTAACTGTTTAGCTGGGCTCCCTCTCTAGACTGTAGGTACTCTGAAGACAGGAACTCTGTTATTCTCCTCTGAACCCCATAACAGTTTGTTGAATAAATACATGAATAAAAAAAGAGCAGAGGCTCTCCTGAGGGACAGCATAGAAGAGGTTACTGAAAACATGGAAGAGGTTGGGATGAGAATAAAAAGGGTCTCACAAATTTAGGGAAAGACTGATTGTTCTGTAGCCATGGTAACAAACAGCCACCAGAACCAATTTTAAATCTGTTCCATTAATTCGTGAGAACTAGCCTCAGTGAACATGCTTTTGCAAACCAACCAATCAATGTCAGCCTTTGCTTATGAAAATCAGCTAAATAAGAATGGATTTGGGGCAGGTGTGGTGGCTCACACCAGTAATCCCAGCTACTCAGGAGGCTGAGGCAGCAGAATTGCTTGAACCCGGGAGGGAGAGGTTGCAGTGAGGTGGGTGGGTAGATCACTTGAGGCCAGGACTTCGAGACTAGCTTGGGCAGCATGGTAAAACCCTGTCTCTACTATTAACAAAAATACAAAAATTAATACAAAAATTAGCCTGGTGTGGTAGCACACAACTGTAATCCCAGCTACTCAGGAGGCTGAGGCAGGAGAATTGCTTGAACCCGGGAGGCAGAGGTTGCAGTGAGCTAAGATCACACCACTGCACTCTGGCCTGGGTGACAGAATGAGACTCCATCTCAAAAAAAAAAAAAATTAGCTGGGCATGGTGGACATGGTGGCAGGCACCTGTAATCCCAGCTACTTGGGAGGCTGAGGCATGAGAATCACTTAAGCCCAGGAAACAGAGGTTGCAGTGAGCCAAGATCACTCCACTCTAGCCTGGGCAACAGAGCGAGACTGTGTCTCAAAAAAAAAAATGGATTTGCTTCATTAAAAATACCTCCAAGTGACAACAAATCAATGTTATGTCTCACTTATGTGACCACACTTCTACAGATGATGTCAACCTATTTATATCTGTGAACTTCTCCAAAACCCTAAATGAGATCAGATCAGCAGTCTGGTCTGCTCCTGGAGACCATGCCTGACCAGTGTAGTGGTATAGTTCTCCTTCATTATAGAAGCAATAAATTCAGTTTTGCTCTTTTATTTCAGGTATTGAGTGCTAGTTTCATCATTCTTTAACAACTCTGATACAGAAATTTTTTTTTTAGGTAAAATTCACTTAACAAATGTCTTAGTCCATCTGGGTTGCTATAGGAGAAGACTTTAAGTGGGATAACTTAGAAACAACAGAAATTTAATTCTTACAGTTCTAGAGGCTTGGAAGTCCAAGATCGAGGCACCAGCAGATTCAGTTCCTTGTAGAAGGTGACTTCTATGTGTACTCACATGGCAGCAGGAGCTTGCAGGCTCCCTCAAGCTTCTTTGTAAGGGTACTAATCCCATTCATGGAGGTGGAGCCCTCATGGCCTAATCACTTCCCAAAGACCCCACCTCTTAACACTGTTGCATTGGAGATTAAGTTTTAGGATACGATTTCCAGGGAAACACATGTTTTGAAAATAGCAACAAAATTCACCATTTTAAATATTTTGCAACATACAATTTGTGATATTTATTATATTTACAATATTGTACAACCATTATCCTTATCTAATTCCAGAATATTTTCTTCACCCCCAAGGGGAAGCCTTGTACCTTCCAATTTCCTCTTCTGTTCATTTCCTGTCAATGACTAATCTTTCTGTCTTTATAGATTTGTTTATTTTGAATAGTTCATATAAATGGAATCGTACTGTATGAGGCCTTTTGGGTCTGCCTTCCTTCACTTAGCATGTTTTCAAGATTCATTCATGTTGTAGCAAGTATCAGTACTTTGTTCCTTTTTATGGCCAAATTATAGTCTACTGCATGAACATAGTACATATTTATTTAGTTTTTTGAGACAGGGTCTCGCTCTGTCACCCAGAATGGAGTGCAGTGACACCATCTTGGCTCACTGCAACCTCCATCGCCTGGGTGCAAGTGATTCTCCTGCCTCAGCCTCCCGAGTAGCTGGGATTATAGGCGTGCTCCACCAAACCAAACTAATTTTTGTATTTTAGTAGAGATAGGGTTTTACCATGTTGGCCAGGCTGGTCTCAAGCTCCTGACCTCAGGTGACCTGCCCATCTTTGCCTCCCAAAGTACTGGGATTACAGGCATGAGCCACCATGCCGGGCCTATACTACATATTTTTAATCCATTCATCTGTTAATGGACACTGGGCTATTTTCTACCTGCAGCTGTTGTACATAATGCTTCCATAAATGTTGGTGTACACATATTTGAGTTCCTGTTTTCAAGTTTTTGGAGGTATTTTACCTATAAGTAAAATTGCTGGGTCAACTGGAATATCTATGTTTAATTTTAGAGGAATTGTCAAACTGTTTTTCACTGTGGCTGTACCATGTTTCTTCCCACCAGCAATGAGCAAGAGATCCAATTTTTCCACATCCTTGCCAACAGGTTATTTTTCATTGTTTTGAATACAGACATCTTAGTGGGTGTGAAATGGTATCTGGTGGATTTGATTTGCATTTCTCTAATGACAAATGATGTTGAGAATTCTTTGGTTATTTGTATATCATCTTTGGAGAAATATTTATTCAAGTTCTTTGCCCACTTTAAAACTGGGCTGTGTGCTAATTGTTGAATTGTAGAGTTTCTGTATATAATCTGAATGTTGTGCCCTTATCAGATATGATTTGCAAATATTTCCCCATTTTGTGCATTGTCTTTTCACTCTCTTGATAGTGTCCTTTGATACAGAAAAGCTTTTAATTTTTGTTGTTGCCTATGCTTTAGCATCATATCTGTAGGTCTTGTATGCTTTTTGTTCTTTCATCACTTCCTTTTTTAATTTAGTTGATTTTGTTTGTGTGTGCTACAATTTTAATTACCTTTTTCTTTCCATATATATAAAAGTTATTTTCTAACTGGTTACCTTGGGCACTACAATGAACAACTTAAACTTACAACAACCTACAGTAATTAACACTAACTAGTGTTAATAAACACCAGTTTGAATAGTACACAAAAACTGTGCTCCTATACATCTGTATCCCTTTCCCTTATATTGTTATTACCACAGATTACATCTTTATACATCATGGGCCCATTCCTATAGATTCATAATTATTGTTTTATATATTTGCCTTTTAAATCATATAGGGAAAAAAGAGGAGTTACTTAACAAAACACAATAATACAGGATTTTGTATTTACCTATGTAGTTACCTTTACTCGTGTTCTTTATTTCTTCTATGGCTTTGAGTTACTGACTAGTATTCCTTCATTTCAGCCAGAAAGATTCTCTTTAGCATTTCTTGTAGGGCAGATCTAGTAGCAACAAACTTCTTCAACTTAAAAAAAAAGTGGAAATATCTTAATTTATCCTTTATTCTTGAAGAATAGTTTTGCTGGTTTAGAATTCTTGGTTGAAAGGTCTTTTATTGTTTTTGTTTTTATTTTCTAAAGACTTTAGATGTGTTATCCTACTGCTTTCTGGTCTCTGTGGTTTCTGATGAGCAATCAGTTGTTAATCTTGCTGAGGATCCATTGTACATAATGAATTGCATCTCTCTTGCTGCTTTCGGCATTCCATATTTGTCTTTGGGTTTTGACAATTTGCCTATAATGTGTCTTGGTGTGGGTCTCTTTAAGTTTATCCTGCTTGAGTTTCTTGGATGTATTTATTCATGTCTCTCCTCAAATTTGAGAAGTTATTATTTCCTAAAATATTTCCTTCAAATATTTTTCTTCTTTTTTTAAATCTCTCTTTGGCACTCCTATGATGTGTGTATATGTTGACATGCTTGATGGTGTCCCACAAGTTCCTTGGGCTCTGTTCATTTTTCTTTCTTCTGTGTTTTCTGGTCCTTAGACTGGTTAATTTCAATTGCTTTATCTTTCAGTTTGCTGATTCTTTCTTCTGTCTGCTCAAATCTGCCATTGCATTCCTCTAATGAATTTTTCATTTCAGCTGTTGTAATTTTCAGCTCCAGAATTTCGATTTGATTCTTTTTTACTATTTCTTTATTGACGTTCCCTATTCATTCATACATTATTCTCCTGTTTTCCATCAGACTTTTTCTTGGTTTCCTTTAACCTACTGACTATATTTAAGAGAGTTAATTTGACATCTTTGGCTAGTAATTCCAGTGTCTGGGCTTCCTCAGGAGTGGTTTCTGTTCAACTCTTTTTATCTTGTGAAAGAGCCATACTTTTATGTTTCCTTGTATGCTTTGTAATTCTTTGTTAAGAACTGGATATTTTGCGTTTTGTAATGTGGTAACTTTGGAAATCAATTTCTCCTCCTCCTCAGTGATTGCTGATTTTTGCTTTTTGAAGGCTGCTGCTGTCCACTAGTTAACTGATTTTTTCAAACTATTTTTTTTTTTTTTGCAAAGTGTGTATTCACAGTTGCGTTTGGCCACTGAGGTTTCTGTTCTACTATCTATAGAGTCATCAGTGACCTGACAAAGATTTTTTGAAGTGGTTGGCTCCCAGAATGGGAAAAAAAAAATTGTCACCTTAAATATTCTAATGGATGCCACCAGGGAAAGCCATTACAGCTCATGAAGGCCGAATCCAAGGCCAGCATTAGAGACAGAAAAGCAGCTTGGTGGTTGCCAGGGGTTAGGAGGAAGGGAGAATAGGAAATGACTGCTAAAGGATATGAAATTTTCTTTTTGGAGTGATGAAAATATTAAAAAATAATTTAGATAGAAATGATGGTTGCATAACTCTGAATATATTAAAAACCAGATAATTTTTTAAAAGGTAAATTATATATTAATCAAGCTGTTATAGAAAAATCTAAACTGGATACTTCAAAGGTATCTCAAATTCAGTGTGTCAAACATCAATTTTTTATTTTTTTTTTTGAGATGGAGTCTTGCTTTGTAACCCATGCTGGAGTGCAAGCGGCATGATCTCGGCTCACTGCAACCTCTGCCTCCCGGGTTCAAGCGATTCTCCTGCCTCAGCCTCCTGAGTAGATGGGATTACAGGCATGTACCACCACACTCGGCTAATTTTTGTATTTTTACGGAGTCTCACCGTGTTGATCAGGCTGGTCTCGGACTCCTGACCTCATGATCCACGACATCAGCCTCCCAAAGTACTGGGATTACAGGCATGAGCCACTGCGCCTGGCAAACATCAAATTCTTGTTCTTCAATATTAAACCTTCTCTGTTCTGGTGATCTCTGGAGCTTAGTGAGTGTATCACTATCCATCTACTTATGCAAAATAGAAACTCCTAGGGTCATGCTTGCCACCTGTCTCTCCCTTCCCTTAGTATTTAGTTCATCCCTGAATCTTATCAGTTTTGTCTCTTAATTACATCTTTAATTTTTCCACTTGTCCATATCTTTATTGCCACATCCCAAAGCTGCCATTATCTCTTGTTAAACAAAGCTTTTTCTCTGGCTTCATATCTACAATCATGTGTCACTTAACAATGGGGATGAGTTCTGAGAAATGTATCATTAGGCAATTTCATCATTGTATGAATATCACAGAGTGTACTTACACAAACTAGATGATATATCCTACTATATATCTAGGCTATAGCCCATTGCTCCTAGGCTACAAACCTGTACTGCACATTACTGCTCTGAATACTATAGGTGATTGTAACACAATGATAACTACTATACTTCTATACAACTAGCAGCACAGTAGGTTTGTTTACACCAGCATTGCCACAACACATGAGTAATGTGTTGCACTATGATGTTCCAATGGCTATGACATCACTTGGTGATAAGCATTTTTCAGCTCCATTATAATCTTATGAGACCACTGTCATACATGTGGTCTGTCATTGACTGAAACGTTGTTATGCAGTGTGTGACTGTACATGTATAATATGCTCTTGCCCCTTTTCAGTTAACCATCCCTACAGCAGCCAGCAATGTTGGGACCAGGCAGATGCTTACTGCATCAGTAGAGCAGGACACTAGAAAATTGAGGCAACTTTTTGATATTTTGTAACAGGACACAAAATTTCTGCAAGTCACAGACAACGCAGTTCACTCTCGCTTAAATAGGGAGAAAATGTATTATCTACAAGGACTAGGCTCTAAGTTTGGGTTCAGCCATGTCTTGAAGCATCTATATTTTTTATATCTTTGCATTTTGTTGCTTCCCCTCATGGTGGTAAGGTGGCTGCCAGTTCCAAACAGGCAGCATGTTCCCCTATTCACATCCAGTGGAAGAAGGAAAACCTCCCCCAACTATGAAATATGTTCTTCCCTTAGCTTGTATTAGGCAAATTATACATGCACCTGTGGATCAGAGAAAGGCCAAATATTCATTGGAATGGACTGATTAAAGTCAATCCATGGATGGGTGGATAGTTGAACAAAATTGAAGATCTGTTAGGAAGAAGAAAGTGATGTGCTATGGTCTGAATCTGTGTCCCATCCCCCAAATTTATGTTTGAAATTCCATCCCCATGATGGTGGTATTAGAAAGTGGGGACTAGGCCAGGCACGGTGGCTCACATCTGTAATCTCAGCACTTTGGGAGGCCGAGGCAGGTGGATCACCTGAGGTCAGGAGTTCAAGACCAGCCTGGCCAACATGGTGAAACTCCGTCTCTCCTAAAAATACAAAAAATTAGCCAGGTGTGGTGGCACATGCCTGTAATCCCAGCTACTTGGGAGGCTGAGGCAGGATAATCACTTGAACCTGGGAGGTGGAGGTTGCAGTGAGCCGAGATTGCACTGTTGCACTCCAGCCTGGGGGACAAGAGTGAAATTTCATCTCAAAAAAAAAAAAAAAAAAAAAAAAAAAGGAAGGTGGGGCCTTTGGGAGATGATCAGGTCATGAGGATGAAGCCCTCATGAATGGGATTAGCATCCTTATAAAAGAGGCCCAAGGAAGATTGTTTGCCCCTTTTGCCATGTGAGGGCACAGTAAAAAGATGGCCTTCACCAGATATCAAATCTACCAGCACCTTGATCTTGGACTTCCCAGCCTCCAGAACTGTGAGAAATAAATTTCTATTGTTTAAGCCCCTCAGTCTATGGCATTTTGTTACAGCAGCTTAAATGGACCAAGACATGAAAGACAGAAGCTTGTCCTTGATCTCATATGTCTCTTCTTTGGTGCAGAGCTTTAAACATACAGAAGGGGCCACATATCTTGCAAAAAGAGGAAGGCAGCCTTAGCAAAATATCATTTCCAACATGAGAGATTTCACCCTTCATTTTCAGTGTTCAAAACTGAAAATGCACTTGATTTTACGTGGGACAAACAAAATTTAATAATTATAACTTAGTAAAGAGCTTTTTAATGTTTCTATTTGCATTATGATAAAGTTAGAATGTAAAGAATGCCATCTGGGGCAGGGTGCTGTGGCTCACACCTGTAATCCCAGCACTTTGGGAGGCCAATGCAGGAGTATAGCTTGAGCCCAGGAGTTCGAGATCAGTCTGGGCAACATAGGGAGATCTCGTCTCTACAAAAAAAAATTTAAAAATGAACTGGACATGGTTGTGCATGCCTGTAGTCCCAGCTAATTGGGAGGCTGACGTGGAAGGATCATGTGAACCTGGGAGGTCAAAGCTGCAGTGAGCCATGATAGTGACACTGCACTTCAGCCTGAGTGACACAGTGAGACCCTTTCTTAAAAAAAGAAAAAAAAAAAAAGAATGCCATCTGGGATTCAATATGGTCATTTTTTTTTTTCTGATTACAAAGTCTACTGAACATAATGGCGAAAGTTCACGGGTTACAGCAACCAAAAGTGGAAGTCTTCCCTTTCATGCTAAGCATTTAAGCAAAATATATTACACATCTACAGCAGTGCCAGGTAGCCTTAAGTAAAAAAGGAACATATTTTAGGCACAGTTGCAGGATAAGCTGACAGACTTGAAATTGTTCTCTGAACAAACAAGTGTAGATACTGATATGGTTTGGCTGTGTCTCCACCTAAATCTCATCTTGAATTGCAACTCCCACAATTCCCACATGTTGTGGGAGAAACCTGGTGGGAGGTGATTGAATCATGGGGGTGACTCTTTCCTGTTCTGTTCTTGTGATAGTGAGTTGGTCTTGGTCTCAGTCTCACAAGATCCGATGGTTTTAAAAACGGGAGTTTCCCTGCACAAGCCCTCTTTTCTTGTCTGCCACCATGTGAGATATGCCTTTCACCTTCTGCCATGATTGTGAGGCCTTCCAGCCACGTGGAACTGTAAGTCCAGTCAACCTCTTTCTTTTGTAAATTGCCCATTCTCCGGTATGTCTTCATCAGCAGTGTGAAAACGGACTAATACAGATACATTAATGATGATTAAGTCCTAAAAATCTATTCTACTAAAATCAAGCACAGCTAGCCTACAGATAAGGGATGCCAAAGTATAATCTTCATAAAAAGAGGTTATTCATTTGAAAGTATACATGTGTCACTGACACTGAGGATATGTTGAGGCCCAGGCAATTCATTTCCTTATACCACTGTTTGGCAGCTCCTGGAACTATACTGCAGAAATTCTGATTCTTCTTCTTCTTCTTCTTCTTCTTCTTTTTTTAATAAAGATGAGGTCTGGCTGGTCTCAAACTCCTGGGCTGAAGCAATCCACCCACCTCAGCCTCCCAAAGCGCTGGGATTACAGGTGTGAGCTACTGCACCCGGCCATCCTAACTACGCAGTCAGAATCTGTAGTTGGTTGGTTAAAGAAAAAAGTCAGCTATATGGGGCTTCATAAAATTATTATATATATCTTCAAAATTTTATTTTTAATTTAAAATATAAACAGGTTTATCTACCCATCACTCCTTTGATGTCAGGATAAGACCTTTTCTTTGCGTGTGGGCCTGCTGATGCAGGCTGCACAGAGGACATTGATTAGCACAGCAAGAAGCATTATCAATTTCAGCTTTAGTAGAATGAGGACTCAAGACACTTGTGAAACAAAATGAAGGCAAAGTCCTATATTTTGACACTTTTCTCTCCCTCCCAAACATTCACGGTTGCTTTACCCACACCTAATTCCACAGCATTTTTTTCTTTAATAACACGTCTTTTATCAGGTCTTTCCCAAGTTTTCAACTTTTTTTCATAGAGATTACTCTCTTCACACTCATAATTGTTTGATTTTGGTAATATTGAATTAAATTACATCGTTATTAAGTACAACTTGCAAAAACAAGTTTTGGAACAAATACAACTGATTTTTTTTTTTTTTTTTGAGATGGAGTCTTGCTCTGTTGCCCAGGCAGGAGTGCAGCAGCACAGTCTTGGCTTACTGCAGCCCCCGCCTCCTAGGCTCAAAGAATTCTCCTGCCTCAGCCTCCTGAGTAGCTGGGATTACAGGGGCCCACTACCATGCCCAGCTAACTTTTGTATTTTTAGTGGAGATGGGGTTTCATCATGTTGGCAGGCTGGTCTTGGACTGTCCTCAAGTGATCTGCCCACCTCAGCCTCCCAAAGTGCTGGGATAACAGGCATGAGCCACCATGCCCGGCCAAATACAACTGATTTTTGGAAAGCATACAACTCAGAGAGAGCAGTGATTAGCCTACCAAGGAGCAGACGACTTCATAGTAGGGGAAATTTGGGTTCTGAACATCCGGCATTATTTTTCACCGAGAGCAGAGACTGGCTCAAAAGTCTGAACCATATAGGTAGCTAATGAAAGCTGAGTTAGTTTAAGAAATGGAAAATCTAGGCAGGCCATGGTGGCTCATGCCTGTAATCCCAGCACGCTGGGAGGCTGAGGCAGGAGGGTGGCTTGAGTCCAGGAGTTCAAGAGCAGCCTGGTCAACATGGTGAGTCCCTGTCACTGAAAATTTTAAAAAGGAAAAAAGAAAGTCTAAATTCAGGGACTTAGCACCAAACTTTCATGAAGGTGAGCAATGCTGAAACCCTGTGGAGAGGGATGCTGACAATGAAGGCTTGGGCAATCAATCCATTCTTGGCTGGGTCTCTAGTGGGCCTGACAATGATTCTCTTCTCAAAGCCTGAGCCTCCATTTGCATGTGTTTAGTGTCATGAACCTAGTCCCAGCTAAATGTTCTAAAATATTTAAATACAACACCCTTTAAAGGAGACAAGAAAGGAACTGCTCCTAGTTTTGTTTAATAAAGTATTAAAGTCTAAAGTATCCTTAAAATGGGTCAGAAAGAGCGATGGCTCATGCCTGTAATCCCAGCACTTTGGGAGGCCCAGGCAGGTGGACAACTTGAGCCCAGGAGTTCGAGATCATCCTGGGAAACATAGGGAGACTCCATCTCCACAAAAAAAAATTTAAAAATTAGCTGGGCCTGGTAGCACAAGCCTGTGGTCCCAGCTTCTCAGGAGGCTGAGGCAGGAGGATTGCTTGAGCCCAGGAGGTTGAGGGTGCAGTGAGTTGTGTTTTCCAGCCTGGGTAACAGAGCCAGCCCCTGTCTTCAAATAAAAATAAATAAATAAAACTCTCCAAGAGCACCCATTTGCTAGACACTATGGGGGGACTATCCTGTCTACTGGTGCCCTCTTGTGTTAAAACAGCAGGTCTACATGAGAATTATGAAGCTTTAAGGTGCATGTGTCTGAGAGATCTTCATTCACCTTGGATTGCACATTAAAAATTAGCCCCAAAATGATTCAAATGGTGGTGCTTGAGGTGGGGCCATGGAATCAGAAGTGTTTTCTCCCCACCTCCTAAACTGTGTAAAATGAAATTATTAATGTATTACTTTTACCAGTAAAACACACACACACTAAAAAAACAGAACAAAACACCACCACAAATTACCACTACAGTTAATTAGTTATAACAAGCAGACCCAGACTGGGCACAATGGCTCACACCTGTAATCCCAGCTCACTCAGTTTCTGAGAATCAGGAATCTGCATGTGGCTTAGCTGATGCTGGGGCTGCAGTATTCATTTCCAAGATGGCACACTAACATGGTTGTTGCCCGAAGGCCTCAGTTCATCATCACATGAGCCTCTCTACAAGGCTACCTGGGTGTTCTCTTGACATGGCAGTTGGCTTTTTCCAGAATATGAGTGATCCCAGAGAGGATCACTCAGTTGAAGAATTTAAAGAGAGGCAAAGCGTTTAGGAAAGGTGAATCCACATCTGTTTTCTCCATTTGTATTTAGGAAGCCCACTGAATTATAGAATATCTATCTTAAAAGGTTTAGTCTTCCAATAAAGCAACAGAGAATATGCTTAAGATCATGAACTCTGGAGCCAAAATGCCACTTACTAGCTGAGTGGACCTCTGGCAATTACTTAACCTCTTTGTGCCTCAATTTCTGCAAAATAAGGATAGTAATATCACCTACCTGATTAAGACAATTAAAGGAAATAATGTGCAATTAACAAGTTACACGTAAACTGCTTTTAACAGTGCTTGGCATGTAGTCAGCTCTATGCAAGCTTAATAAATGCGATTTTTAAAAAAGTCAGACTTGACAAAGTATATTAGGGTTAAAATAGTTCTTCTATTATTTCTCCCGCTTAGTATTCTTATCTCTCAAGGTTTTTGCTAATAATAATTTCTGTTACGCCTCAACTTAAACTGATGCTTAATGGAATTTGTTATATTTAAGGGAAAGTAATCTAAATTGCTAAGAAGATAGATGTGGCAAAATAAAAAATATTTGGTCTTTGTCCCTGGTCCCTGGCACAGAGCTTCTCAGACCCTTGGAAATTACTGGGTTTTTTTTTTTTTTTTTCTTGAGACGGAGTCTTGCTCTCAGGGGGAGTGCAGTGGTGCCATCTTGGCTCACTGCAACCTCTGCCTCCCGAGTTCAAACAATTCTGCCTCAGCCTCCCAAGTAGTTGGGATTACAGGTGCCCACCACCATGCCTGGCTAATTTTTGTATTTTTAGTAGAGATGGGGTTTCACCATGTCAGCCAGGCTGGTCTTGAACTCCTGACGTCAAGTTATCTGCCCACCTCAATCTCCCAAAGTGCTGGGATTGCAGGCATGAGTCACCATGCCTGGCCGGAATGTACTGTCTTTTGTATGCTAATGAGAACATAGGGCTAGAGGATCAGAACTCTCAGCCCTGACCCACAAACTCCAGGGAGGTTAGAGGGGCTACAGACCGGATCATAAAAACTCCTGAATGATTAGATTTGGAAAGCTTCCAGGCTGGTGCTGTGCTGGGAGGCTGACGTGCTCAAAGAAGGAATGGAAACCCTGTGCCATTCCATCCCATCCCATGGCCTTGGTACTTCTTGCTTTCAGCTGTTCCTGAGTTGTACCCTTGTAATACATCTGCAGTAGTAAATACACACTTTCCTGAGTTCTCTGAGTCATTCTAGAGAATTATTGAGCCTGAAGGATCATGGGAATACCCTAATTTGGAGTTGGGGTGGGCAGAAGTATGGGTAGTTTGGGTACCCTATTTGATGCTGGCAAATGAAGTGGGTGTAGTTTTATGGGAGTGTGGGGTCTGGGCTAACTCCAGATAGCACCAGAACTGTTCTGAATTGCTGGACATTCAGTTGGTGTTGGAGAATCGGTTGCTGGTGTTGGAAAAACCACACATTTGATGTCAGAAAACACTACATAATGGGGCTTCAAGTGGGTAAGATGACCTTTGATGACGTCATGTGCCATGGCAATTAATATACAGCAGTCCTTCCCAAAGTCATCTTCCTCCCAGTGTGGAGACTCTCTAAAGAGATGCTGATAGTGCACTGGGAGAAACCCAGATGTAAATGGATGTGTACATACATGCTGGAGTTTAAAAATATGAGCATGGGCTGGGCACAGTGGCTCACGCCTGTAATCCCAGCACTTTGGGAGGCTGAGGCAGGTGGATCACCCGAGGTCAGGAGTTCGAGACCAGCCTGGGCAAAATGGTGAAACCCTGTCTATTAAAAATACGAAAATTAGCCAGGCATGGTGGCACACACCTGTAGTCCCAGTTACTCAGGAGGCTGAGGCAGGAGAATCATTAGAACCTGGGAGGCAGAGGCTGCAGTGGGCTGAGATCGTGCCACTGCACTGCAGCCCGGGTGACAGAGCAAGACTCTGTCTCAAAATAAATAAATAAATAAATAAATAAATAAAATAAAAAATAAAAATATGAGCATGAACTCTTTGATGCTATTGCCTTCAAAAGGTACAGCTTAATTCCCCATCCCTTCAGTGTAGAATGGACTTAGTGACTCACTTCTAACAAATCAAATTCATTGGAAATGATCGTGTGCAACTTCAGAGACTGGGTCATGAAAGGCCTTGTGGCTTCCATCCTCTCTGGGATCACTCATTATGGAGAAAGCCAACTGCCATGTCAAGAGAACACCCAGGTAGCCTTGTAGAGAGGCTCATGTGATGATGAACTGAGGCCTTCGGGCAACAACCATGTTAGTGTGCCATCTTGGAAATGAATACTGCAGCCCCAGCATCAGCTAAGCCACACACAGATTCTTGATTCTCAGAAACTGAGTGAGCTAATAAGATGTGTGTTGTTTTAGTTTTGGGGGTAATTTGTTACACAGCATACATAACTACTACAGTGTGTGCTTATGGATGAAGTGAAGTTTCATCACTGTTTCTAGACCTTACACTGTTCAACTGGTGAAGATCCATCATCTTGCCCGAAGAGCTAGTGCCAGATTGCAATAAGATGATTTGATAAAATGGTTTCTCTCTTTTCCCTGCCCAGTTACTACCTCATGTCACATGGATGTCTGGGTTCTCCTTACCACTTAGCTTATTTGTCTAGAATATTTGGGATGCAGTTTGAGTGTAGTCTCAAGTGAGATAGAGTGCCACTAGAAGAAGGCTGACAGCCTGGCTATGCAGAAGCCCCAAAGAGTGAAGTTTGCAATAATCTGTCCGGGCTTTGGTTCTCTATCCTGAAGAATCAGAAACTATGTTTCATCAGAATATTTAGAAACTCATAGGCTAAACTGACAAACTTGGGGGCAGAACCACACACACAAAATTCACATGAGACTGACATATAAACCAGAGAATTTCTCTAAATTTACTATGTGCAGAATGAAATGTTGGTGCCCTCATGCAGAATTCTCCCTTTTCCTGAACAACAATAGCTTAAAAGGCCATATCAACAATCAGAAGATGGTTCAGTTAGGCTTGTAATTAGTGCCAAAAGAAGTGGCAAGTCTCAAGGTATGTTCTCCCTAAGCCACATACCTTGGGTCTTGATAAACTAGTCCTAACTGAAGTAGAGAACACTTTTGGTCACTGAATTACTCACATCTCTTGGATGCAGGACTTCCTTTTCACGGATAACACTGTATACACACTGTCATATTTTGTTTCTTCAAACCCCATTTTGGTGAGTTGATAATTTCGGTTTTCTTTTCTCAAATGAGTTAATATCATGTAATAACCTACAGTGTACCTGGGAAGCATTGAGACTCTCCTCACTATGTGTAGACTCTCTGGTGGTTTCTTCTTATCAAGTCCTTAGAAGGTATCTCACTGCTGCCCCACATAGTACCTGTGTAGTTTGGAGAGGCCATTTACTTAGCATATCAGAGCCTGTCCAAAGAGAATACATTAGAACCAGTAAAGAATTTCAAAGACTGTCTTGTAATTTCTCATTTCTTTTATCTAGAAAATTTCCATGATCAACAACATTCTGAACTGATCACCAGGGGGTTGAAAAATGAATAAATAGCAGTTAACAGAAATAGGGTATTTATGTTCTCCTTTTCAAAAGCTCAATGTTTCATCTGCTACAGTATAGTTTTCCAAGTTTAGTCATGAGTATTCTTACCAAAATCATTCCAATTTCGAATGATTACGCTAATTTGCACTGTCAGTTTCAGAAATTCAAAAATATATTTTTTTCTATTCACAATTAAAAATTAAATTTTGAGTCAGGAGTTTGAGACCAGCCTGGGCAACACAGCGAGATCCTGTCTCCACAAAAAGTTAAAAAAAATAAAAAAGCTAGGCATGGTGGCTTATGCCTATAGTCCCAACTACTCAAGAGGCTGAGGCGGGAGGATCACTTGAGTTTGAGGAGGTCAAGTGATCCATGTGAGCAGACTGTGCCACTGCACTCCAGCCTAGGTAATAGAGTGAGATCCTTGTCTCTAAAATAAATAAATAAAAATTAAATTTTGAGAGAATATCTTAGTATTTTAGTATCTTAGTATTAGTCAATATCTACTAATTCAAAAGTTGAGAAGTATGTTCCAGTAAATTTATGCACTTGAATTATTTTAAAAATTTGGAATTATAAAATTCTCAACATTTTGCTCACTACATAGACAACAGAATAATAAAGCTCAATGATTAGTGATTAGCACTATGCTAAAATATTAATAATTTCATAAATTTGTATAATTTCAAAATTTCTTTTAGTTTCATTGTCCTCAGAAACCCAAGAATGCCACTAATTTGTATTCTACTGAAAACATCTTTCCCTGATTACTTTTGTTTTACCAAAAAGAAAAAATTGTACTTTTCTTAAAAACAAAGTGAAGTCTAAATTAATTCAATAGCTACTGAAATTCACCTGAAATTTTAAACAGCTACAAATCCACAAGAGGAAAAAGTAAACACATTAGCTTTAATACAACTAGTACATAATAAAAATTAAGAGAAAAGATTAATTCAAGGAGAAAAACTGATTAAAGTATGCTTACTAAAGGTCCTGTTATCAGCATTTTTATTCAGTTTAGTCTATGCTAGAATATAAATACATGACAGTATGTCTTTTCTTGTCAAGGGTAGCCTTTTACATAACTAAAATTTGTGGCTAGCAGTTTATATAACAAAAGAAAAGCTAAATCTGTAAATTATCAGAAAAGAACCAAGGATATAGGAAAATAATACATTTATATAAATTACAAAGGACAGTTACAATGAAACTCCATTAGTTTCCTCTCAACCCAATTTTACAAAATAAAGTGAACATGTATTATTCTGTGAGTTGTTAAGAGTACATAAACACTGTGGGCCCATTCAAAAGACAGTGGTCAAAGACAAAATGTTATCTTCATGTTATACACTGTTCTTAGTTCTTTACTGGAGTTGAGCTTCCTTTCATAGTCTTCTTTAGGTGGTGGTAATTTGGCAAGATTTTCATCAAGAAATCCAGCTGTAGTGTCTGGGGCTAAAAAGATAAGGTAATTAAGGCCGATTGGCAGAAAGCAAAGTCAAGAGTACCACACAGCAACCAGGCGTGGTGGGTCATGCCTGTAATCTCAGCACTTTGGGAGGCCCAGACAGGAGGATGATTTGAGCTCAGGAGTTCCAGAACAGCCTGAGCAACATAGGGAGATCTTGTCACTAAAAAAATTTAAAAATTAGCTGTGTGTGGTGGCACACCCCTGTAGTCATAGCTACTCAGGAGGCTGAGGTGGAAGCAGGGCGGCAGGGGTGCAGGTGGATTGTTTGAGCCCAGGAGGTTGAGGCTGCAGTGAGCCATGATTACACCACTGCACTCCAGCCTGGGTGACAGAGCCAGACCCTGTCTCAAAGAAAAAAAAAAAAAAGTTCCAGGTAGCAATGGTTATTAATAAGTTGTGGAATTACAGGTGCTTTTCATTGACTCATTTTTGCTTACATGCTTGTTTTTTTTTTTAATTTATAAGGAACATATACTAAGTTTGGTTACAAGAAAAAGCCAACAGATTTTATATATTTATATAAAAATATACAGAAATCAGTTTTAAAACTCGCTTTTGTAGATTTCACCCTGGCTTCTGAAAAGTTAAAAGTTCCGATTACAGAAGACCACATAAGTAAAACACCCAGAGTATTTTGTTTTCCACGTGACCTACAGAGCCACACAGCTGAGGTGTACTTGTTGGTTACATCTGTCTGATCTTCACTCTTCATATACCAGTACTGCCCAGATTTTCCTGATTGTAAAACTCACTGCGGTACTTGTGAAAAATATAGATTTTTAGGCCCCTGCCCTAGCACTGTGACTCAGTAAGTCTGGGGAATCTTTATTTTGAATAAAGACCTCTACATAATCCTTATGATTAGTGAAATTTAGGCATATTATAAAATATAAAGCTTCAGATATTCTTGCTCACTTAATTCTAATCTCCCTTCCCCAACACAAGCTTCATTTCCCACTCTTCAGTCATTTTTGCTGTTATGTAGAAAGTAAAACAAATGACTGGATTTGACCTTATTTCCTTTTTAGTCTATAGAGTAATACTTGCTTAAAATAATAATAATAATAATGAAGCCAAACATTACAGAAATAGAGTAACCCAAAAAGAACTGGAGTTTTGATTTCTGATAAAATATGGCTAAGAATCAGAAGCAAAGTTATGTCTTGAAACTATTCTTTTTTTTTTTTTTCTTTCCCAGGCTGGAGTGCAGTGGTACAAACAGCTTACTGCAGCCCTGACCTCCTGGGCTCAAGCGATCCTCCCACCTCAGCCTCCAAAGTAGCTGGGACTACAGGTGAATGCCACCATGCCCAACTAATTATTTTTTATTTTTTGTAGAGATGGGGTCTCATGATGTTGCCCAGGCTGGTCTTAAACTCCTTCCTGGGCTCAAGTGATCCGCCCGCCTTGGCCTCGCACAGTGCTTGAAACTATTTTCTTTAGTGGGAGGAAAAGGAGGCTAGGTAACTAAAGAAATATATATTGAATGTGCCAAGCAATGAGGCTCGAAACTGCAATACAAATGTCTTATGTCCAAAGGAAGCCCAAATGTCCTATCTTTTTCATCTCCTACTCTAATATTAAACTCCAAATATGTACTCTACATTATTCTTGATCTGAATTTCTAGGAGGAGATAATTTCTCAAGCCAGGAAAATATCCAAACACAGTTTCTTATTCACAAGCTGTGTTTATTATGAAGCTATGGCAATAAATAGACACACCCCAGTTAGAGGCACAGGATAAATGTAGTATGGTCATTCCTTAACCTTGAAGACTGATATTTTAGGAGTAAATCAATATGGCTTGTACAGTTTGTTTATGCATTGTCAGTGACAATGCATGAGACCAAGAGTAACATTTCTGGATCTTTTCTCATAACTGACTTGTCATTGTCATCCTTGTATATATTTTTGATATTAACCTAAAGACTAAATAATTGAACTGCAATTAAATCTTGGTTTTAGGGATTGAACTGCAATTAAATCCTGGTTTTCGGGATGTTTCTCATTGTTTTCTTTTTATTTATTTATTTTTTGAGTTGGGGTCTCTGTTGCTCAGGCTGGAGTGCAGTGGCATGATCATGGCTCATGGTAACCTCACACTCAAGAATTATCTTCCCACCTCAGCCTCCTCAGTAGCTGGACTATAGTCATGCCCCACCACACCTGGCTTAGTTTTTCTAGTGTTTGTAGAGACAGAGTCTCACTATGTTGCCCAGGCTGCTCTTAAATTCCTGCCCTCAAGTCATCCTCCTGCCTCGGCCTCCCAAAGTGCTAGAATTCCAGGCACGAGTCACTGAGACTGGCATCTTTTGTTTTATTTTAATTATGTTCTTAAATAGTGTACCTGCTGCCTCATGAAGACAATTACATTGTATTTTGGGAAAATCAGCAGATAGAACTCTTTTTAAAGAGAGGTTCTAGTACCTGCGGTCGCTCAGTCTGCACCCGACGAAGGCAGTCTGCACCATAGATCACCGTATTCTCAGGGATGACTTCAAATGTATTTAGGTTGCAACAAGCCCCAATGATGCAGCCACTTGTCAATATTACATTTCTGCCTACATATGCTGCAATAAAAACACAGAAAGAACTGCAACTTAAGACATCAAATGATTCCAACACTTTTTTTCTTAAGGTGATTTAGGTATAAAAATGTAAACTGGCCTCAAGAAAAAAGTTAAAGAAAATACATCAGTTTGGAGTTTGTATGGACAACACAGAGGCAGGCAGTACAAGCCAGGGTCAGATGAATTCAAAATGGAGCTCTGCTGCTATTTGTGTGACCTTGGGAAAGTCGCTGCAAAGTCTCTAAGCTCAAGTTCATCTATAAAACAAAGAGGCCACTCTACTTCACAGTTTAAGGAATAAATGTGATAACAGATGTAAAGTGATGAGCACAGGTTTGACACACAGTAAGCATAAAATAAATAGAAAATGCTGATGATAATAGTGATAATTGATAATCCAAATTAAAATAAAAGTCATTAAGTAGATTAACAAAAAGTGTAATTTTATTATTTTAAAAAGAAGCATTTTCTTTCGTGCCACTCAGGACCAAGAAAGATAACCCACTATTCTAAAGAATTGTCATCATTCAGGTTTTTTCTGGACCTTGGTGGGACAAGCTCTTGAAGTTGCTTCCCAGTAGTGACAGTGACTTTAGGTAATCTCCTGTCTGGTCCCACTTACAAGCACATGATATTTGTTTCTGATTGGCTAGGGAAAAGTATTCCTGAAATTAAAGAAAACAACTGCTACAGAAACTTTGATTTTTCCCCCCCTTTAATTCTACAACAACACTAACCAACTAAAATTTCAGAGACTAGTATTTAGTAGAAATCTTTTCCAAATCTTTCATTTAAAGTTTATGGTTTAATTCAATCCTGTACATAGCTGATTTTAAATTTAATGTATTTAACATTACCAGATAACCACATAACCAGATTAGGTTCCTTAGTGGCAAACAATTAGTTCGCCAGCTATTGTAGCCCACTTCCAAGCACAACACCTTGCCACAGTTTCTATTAGGTTGTTTCCCAGGACACCACAAAGAGAAAAGAGGTCACTGCTTTGACAATGAAACTCTGAATGTAGCTTACCTTTTGATTCAATGACATTATTATCTCCCATCTTCATGGCTTGGGAATCTGTAAGCCAGAGTTAGGTAAATACTACAAATATGTTCATCTTTAGTCCCCACTAACACAGTATGTACTTACATTGCACTGGGACAGAGGACAGGGGTGTCAGATGGGCCATGCAGGCTCACCCTTGCCAGAACTCTTTGCTCTGGGCAATCTGTGGTAACGGTTTAATCTTTAAACATAAGTATCTCTAGGTATAAATAAATGACTTGTGTTTTTAAAGAAATGAGCACCTTATACCCTGATTTTATGAGTAAAATATTTTCATAATTGTTTCAAGATAATTAAAACTATCCATCACCCAATCACTTAAACACTGTTAAAAGTTTGATATATCTTTATATAAATATATAGAATTTCCTGTATATAAGTGGGAATCAAACTGTATAAACTTTTATAGCTTATTCAGTTCACTTAAATTTGCAAGCATTATTCCACGCTATTAAAATCTTTAGGCCAGGCAGGGTGGCTCACATCTGTAACCCCAGCACTCTGGGAGGCCAAGGTGGGAGGATTGCTTGAGCCTAGGGGTTCAAGGACCAGCCTGGGCAACAGAGTGAGACACCATCTCTACCAAAAATAAAATTAGCTGGGCACGGTGGTGTGCACCTATAATTCCAGCTACTTGGGAGGCTGAGATGGAAGGATTGCTTGAGTCTGGGAGCTGAGGCTGCAGTAAGCTATGATTGTGCCACTGCAATGCCAGCCTGGGTGACAGAGCAAGAGCCTGTCTCAGAAAAGATAAAATAAAAAAAAAATCTTTAAAAACATAACTTTAAATGACTGCTTAATGCTCCTAGTGGTTTTATGCTCATAGTTCAATTTATTTAAATATCTTGCTATCATTGAACATTTAGATTTTTCCTTCTAAATATTTTCTACTATAGTATGTTTTGCTGACACCATAAGATTTTACTATCTTTTTTTTTTTTTTTTTTTTAATCTTTTTGAGACGGAGTTTCGCTCATTGCCCAGGCTGGGGTGCAATGGCGCGATCTCAGCTCACCGCAATCTCCGCCTCCTGGGTTCAAGTGATTCTCCTGCCTCAGCCTCCCGAGTAGCTGGGATTACAGGCATGTACCATCACGCCCGGCTAATTTTGTATTTTTAGTAGAGACGGGGTTTCTCCACGTTGGTCAGGCTGGCCTCAAACTCCCAACCTCAGGTGATCTGCCCGCCTCGGCCTCCCAAAATGCTGGGATTACGGACATGAACCACGGTGCCTGCCCTGATTTTACTATCTTTTTAGAGTACTAAACTAAGCAAAAGAACTGGAGACATTCTAGGGAGGAAAAAAGACAACACATGAATAATGGAATATTTTCACCCCTACACACCATTTTCTTGAATCAGACAATGCATTGTCTACCTAAAACTACAGAGGAACCACACTGACAAAGCTGGGGTTCTTGAATCAAGAAGGAAGCCAGCATTGCTGCTTCTATGTTTACTGTCACTCAGCCATTGCTACCTGTCAACAAGCTGTAGTACCAGCAAAAGAAGTGGTTTCTTTCAAAGTGCTGAGCTAAAGATATGTGTGTGTCTGCGTTTGTCTAAAAACGGCATACTTATTTTACTCTATTGACTTATTTACAGGAACAGAAGGGACCATTTTTAAAATATATACTATTCAAGAAGTCTGTTCAAAGAGCTAGATGACCTACTTTTATTTATTTTTATTTTTATTCTCTTTTGAGAAGGAGTCTTGCTCTGTCACCCAGGCTGGAGTGCAGTGGCACAATCTTGGCTCACTGCAACCTCTGCCTCCCGAGTTCAAGCGATTCTCTTGCCTCAGCCTCCCAAGTAACTGGAATTTCAGGCGTGCACCACCGTGCCCAGCTAATTCTTGTAATTTTTTTTTTTAATAGTAGAGATGGGGTTTCACCATGTTGGCCAGGCTGGTCTTGAACTCCTGGCCTCAAGTGATCCGCCAGCTTCGGCCTCCCACAGTGCTGGGATTTACAGGCATGAGCCACCGCACCCAGCCTGGATGACCTACTTTTAAAAATGTAATTATAATATATATTGTGAATGTAAGTATGTTTGATAGATAAATTATGACAATTTTACAATTTCTACAGGAGAAGACTTAGGTACTAAAGGAGAGCCAGGAATTATTTACAATTTCTACAGGAGAAGACTTAGGTACTAAAGGAGAGCCAGGAATTATTTATGGTAGATTATTGTAAAGGATACAACAGCCAACTTCAAACACATTATTGGTGCCAATGATCATAGGTTTTGGTTCTGGATCTTCAGTGTCAGGAGTGATATTATCTGGGTAACTGTAAACAGAAGAAACAAATCATCCAAAAAGTCAATAACACAATAAGCAATTTTCTTCCCATTTTCGAATTTGGGTTAATTCTTTCAATTTTACCTACATCAAGCTTAAAAGACATGACTATATAAGTTATTTCTTTTTTTCTTTCTTTTTTGATATGGAATCTCACTCTATCACCCAGGCTGGTACAGTGGCACCATCTTGGATCACTGCAACCTCCGTCTCCCGGGTTCAAGAGATTCTCCTGCCTCAGCCTCCCGAGTAGCTGGGACTACAGGCACGTGCCACTAGGCCTGGCTAATTTTTGTATTTTTGTGGAGATGGGGTTTCACCATGTTGCCCAGGCTGGTCTCGAACTGATCTCAGGTGATCCACCAGCTAGGGCCTCCCCAAGTGCTGAGATTACAGACATGAGCCACCACGCCCAGCCTATGTAAGTTATTTCTTAATTCAAGTGATTCATTCATCCTGTGTGCTAGAGAAGGCTTGATTTTGAGTTGAAGAGAGCTACTGAAAAGTGAAGAAGTCATTGGTGTGTGGAAAAGAATAGCCTTCCTTAGTTTATTTGATTTTTTTATTTTTTATTTTTTTTTGAGACGGAGTCTTGCTGTGTCCCCCAAGCTGGAGTGCAGTGGCACGATCTTGGCTCACTGCAACCTCCACCTCCCAGCTTCAAGCGATTCTCCTGCCTCAGCCTCCCAAGTAGCTGGGACTACAAGGTGGGGTGCCACCACGCCCGGCTAATTTTTTTTTGTATTTTCAGTAGAGACGGGGTTTCACCATATTGGTCAGGCTGGTCTTGAACTCCTGACCTCGTGATCTGCCCGCCTCGGCCTCCCAAAGTGCTGGGATTACAGGCATGAGGCACCACGCCCAGCCTACTTTATTTTTTAAATTCAAAGTCCAGTGGGTCTTCTCCAGGACAAAGGAAAGAAGATGCTAGCTATCTTTTTAGGCTGTTAATTAGAACCAAAATCATGCCTAACTTGAAAATTTTCCACCCTTAATAATCATTTGGGATTGTGAAACATAAACAGATATTCACATAAAATAATTATTGCTATTAGTTAGCTAGTTGAAATATTTGGAAGATAAAATGTTTGTGTTCTAAGAGGTGGACGCCATTTTTAAATGGTGCTTTATCTCTGACAGTTGAGTTACTGCAGAATATAGTTGCTGTTAATTGACTTACACTGAAGGTGCCAAATGTATTTTAAATCCTAAGTAAGCATTAAATCAGTCTTTTTCTGACAGTTAAATATTTTCCCAAGGTCTTTCTTACAAATTCCATACATGGTTGCTATAAATTAGGTATAAGCTTGAATTCCTTCCCAAAATTTTATCTAGAAAGAACTTATGTTTATGAAAAATTCATACGTATTACAGTCTAGTTCACTCAGATCATGCACATGTTCTAGTATTTTATTATTTTTAATCTTTACAGTTTAAAAATTGCCTCTAAGACTCCACATTTTTCAACTATAATTCTGGGTGTCACCTGTGCAAAACATGTGAAAAAATATATTTGAGTTAAATTCACGTGTTTAGGCATGAGTAATAACATTTCAGCTACAACCAAAAAATCAAAAAAAAAAAAAACTCTGCAGGGTGGTGGGCACAGCACTTGGAGGCTTGAAGTGTTCGGGAAATGTTTGCTTAAGGAATGGGTGAGATAGCCACATGTAAGGGGAAGATCACCAGACCGAGCGTCAAAGATTCTAGGCAGCTACTCAGCTCTCTCATCTTGGACAAGTCTTTTCCCTCATATGGTATTTGGTTTGCTCATTTACTTATGTTGAAAAAGACCCTTAATGCTTCTCTAGCTCTAAAATAGTAGGCCTCCTGGATGTCAGCTGAAAAGGTTCTTACAGACAGCTGAAATTAAGAAAAACCGTTACCCATGGTACTTGGTTCACAGTATGTATAAGAGTCTTACGCATTTATGATAAGGGCCTGTTCTTCTATTAGGTTCCCTTCGCCAATCACTATTGGCCCGGCTTCCGCAATAATTCTTGCTTTAGGGTGGATCACTGTCCGAGGTCCTGTTAAAAATAGTTTGAGAAGAAATTATTGGTGGAGGCTATGCTTCCAACAGAAGGGTGGAAGGTGACTGAGGATGGGTGAGGCTGTTGGGAGGAACATTTTCTAAGTATGTGCCAGGCACCAAGCTAGGTACTTCACAGATACTATCTCCCAGGCTTTATCATCAGTAGTCAGGGCCAAGTTGCAAGCCAATGTGAGTGGAATGGCACAGGCACTAGAGCCAGACAGCTCTGGCTCAGCCTCCACTCGGAAGCTTCCTGTGATCTCAGCGGTGAAACAGAGGTGATGACAACACCAGTCCCACAGGGTTGCTGTAAGGGCTAGGGGCGATAATGCTGGAGACACAGCATGTGACACAAAGGTGGCAATAAAAATTAATTCCTTCTTTTCCCTCAGCAAGGTAACACTCTCTTTGCTTAAGCTGTTCTGCTTTCTTATGCGAGTGTACCTCCGAATTAGTCTTTTTATTACATAATTGAGAAGAAATGTGGAGGCCAAGGCGGGGAGATCGCTTAAGGTCAGGAGATCGAGACCAGCCTGACCAACATGGCGAAACCCCATCTGTACCAAAAAATACTAAAATTAGCCAGGCATGATGGTATGTGCGCCTGTAGTCCCAGCTACTTGGGAGGCTGAGGCAGGAGAATCATGTGAACACAGGAAGCAAAGGCTACAGTGAGCTGAGATCATGCCACTGTACTCCAGCCTGGGTGACAGAGCAAGACCCTGTCTCAAAAAAAGAAAAAAAAAAAAGGAGAAATATGGGTGGACAGAAGTCAGAAATTATGGGATCTAACAGCTTTGTTCCTCTGTCAGTGTCCCTATTACAAGCACACCTACTGAAAGGTGGCACAGCTTCTGCTGTCTGGCCCAGGATATGATTTAAACCAGTGAAAGCTGAAAAGGTTAAAGGGAGGCAGCAGAAGGACCCAAAGGTGATCACTGGAGTCCGAGGACTTTGGCGTGGGGAGCCCTGAGGCGATGCCTCTAGTCTCGAATTGAAGGGAACAGCCAGGGCCCTCATTACTCCCACTTCACCAGCACGGTCTACCCCGCCCTGAGCCTGGAATGCTAACATACTCCCTCCCAGCTTTATCTACCACAGGCTGAGGGTTCTGGTGATAATGAAACCACTGATGAGAAAACATAGCCTCCTTTAGGCTCTCTCCAATATCCATCCCACGTACCCCTCAATACCAAGGCAATTTTTATGGGTAAACAAGTGCAGATGAAGTAACTGACTCTGAAAGTAAGGGAGGGTGGACAGAAGTGTTGATAGAGGGGGTGGGGGATTAGGAAAGAAATTCAGTATTCAATTGTGTAAACTGGTTTTTTTTTTTTTTTTTTTTTTTAAGAGACAGGGTCTCATTCTGTCACCCAGGCTGGAGTGTAGTAGTGTGATCATAACTCCCTCCAGCCTTCAATTCCTGGGCTCAAGCAATCCTCCTGCCTCAGCCTCTTGAATCACTGGAACTACAGGCACATGCCACCACATCCAGCTAATTTTTAGAGATGGGGTCTCACTATGTTGCCCAGGCTTGTCTTGAACACTTGGCCTCAAGAAATCCTCCTGCCTCAGCCTCCCAAAATGCTGGGATTACAGGCGTGAGCCACTGTGCCCCACCTAATGATATAAATTGTCAATTCATAATTATTATCTGCCTGTGACAGCTGAGATGCCTCACTATATGTTATGGGGCAACAAAAATAAATACATGTTATTTTTGTCCTTTTGAACTTGTTATCTTGAAAACTGGGAATGCTTAATATACACTCATTCACAAATGTACTAAAATAAATAAGGAGGTGTTTCTGGTGCCCAGAGAATTGGAGAGAACCTCAGGAATGCCTATTGTTTTTCCTGATGAGGAATTGCTGGGGGCTGATAATGAGGGCGGGGGCCTAAAACAGGGTGCTCAGTCCAACATCCCAACATTTCTTATCAGAACGCACAGTCTGGTAAGAAATAACAAGAGTGGCCTTGATCTCTCAGTCACTTCTGGCTTTCCAAATCTTCAGCTGTTAAAGTAAAATTTCCCAGGCATATTCTCCTATTCAGGATGGAAGATTTCAGGATGGAAGATGGGATGGATCTCTGAGATCCCTGGGAAGCTTCTCAAGTTGAACATGAGTGTAAATGTGTGCATCTAACCTTTTCTTTAAAACAAACAAAAAATATATATGCATATATAACACATATTCACATAGATACATATATAAAATAACATGATCATTACAAAAAATTACAAAAAAATAGTTAGCTATTCTTAAAAGTTTGGAGTATATTATTCCAGATGTAAGCTCCACTGTACACTTAAGATATGTAAATATTGCTGGGGGCGGTGGCTCATGCCTGTAATCCCAGCACTTTGGGAGGCCGAGGTGGGTGGATCACTTGAGGTCAGGAGTTTGAGACCAGCCTAGCTAACATGGTGAAACCTTGTCTCTACGAAAAATACAAAAAAATTAGCCAGGCATGGTGGTGCACACCTGTGGTCTCAGCTACTCAGGAGGCTGAGGTGGGAGGATCGCTTGAACCTGGAAGGTGGAAGGTGCCGTGAGCCAAGATCACATGACTGCACCCCAGCCTGGGTGACAGAGCCGAGACTCCATCTCAAAAAAAAAAAAATTTGTAAATATCACTCCATATAAACTATATCTCATTAAAAAGTTTAAAAATAAATACGATTTGGAAAAACATATGCATTTCAAGCACACACTTCTTTCACACCAAGAAATATTACCTTCTTCTGCAATTTGCTTATTTCATGGTAATTTTTCCAAGTAAGTATATCTAGATAGATATTCTTTTTAATGGCTGAAAAGTATCTCATTTTATATTAATATACCATAATTTATTTCACAGGTCCCTTAATAATGGCATTTAGACATCACAACTTTCGGGGCTGTGATCCTAAACAACAGGGAAATGAGCAGTGGATTTCTTTTAAAGGAGAAACTGTAAGGCTTCCAGCTGTGGGAACCAACTGAAATTTGTAGTTTGCACCATACCAGGTTTATATTTTACGTCAAAATATTCTATGATAACAGGACACAATCTGCCTCTTTTAGGTTCTTTGTAATCAAAGCCCCAGCCAGCCCCACCCCCCTTGTCTAGAGAGTCTAGACACCGGACTCTATCACTAAAGGTGATGTGCTTACTCTCACAAAGGCTTGTTTTCTCATCTACAGAAAGAAGAGATCTGTAACCTACTTCTTTGGGCTGAAATGTGGATTATATGAAATGTTTGAAAGAGGGATTGTGGGGTCTGGACCATGGTTCTTAAAAAATGGGAGATTTATCACTATTTACTACTAAGAGCTAATGCACAACTTTTTCATAGTAAGCAAAATAACTAATTCTGGTCTGGGACACAGAAGAAAATGAACCACTTTGCACCTCTACTCAGGTATCAGGGTAATACCTCCTGTTAGCCAAGGGGAAAAATTCCACACCACATGATCAGACAGTAAAAAGATTAATGAAAGTATTTTCCATAACTAGCTTTAAAAATCTTAGATATGGGGCTGAGCACAATGGCTCACACCTGTAATCTCAGCACTTCAGGAGACTGAGGTGGGAGGACTACTTAAGGCCACGAGTTCCAGACCAGCCAGGGCAATGAGTCAGACCCCCTTCTCTACAAAATGAAAAATTAAAAAAAAATTGGCCAGTTATGGTGGGGTGCACCTGTGGTCCCAACTACTTGGGAGGCTGAGGTGGGAGGATTGCTTGAGTCCAGGGGTTCGAGGCTACAGGGAACAATGATTGTACCACTGTACTCTAGCCTGGGCAACAGAGCAAGACACTGTCTCTGAGGGGAAAAAAAAAAGATAGGAGGAAGTGATCGTCATATCTGTTACAGAAAGCAGATCCTCTGCCACTGCTAGATAAGTAGCCAGAGACACTAGATATTCTGCCGGTCATCAAGCTGTAGTTCTTGACAAGACAAGGATACCCCTGGGACCTGTGTGTTTCTTTAAAACTTATGAAAACAAGTGACAGTTTCATTTTTCCCTTTCAAAAATGACTAAGTAATACAAATTTCTTATATAAAGAACTCAAACAAATAAGCACACTTTTTAAAAATTTTTAAAAATTTTTTTCACAGAAGATACCAGAAGCACACATTTTTAAAAATTAAAATAGGCCAGGTGTGGTAGCTCACATCTGTAATCCCAGCACTTTGGGAGACCGAGGCAGGTGGATCACTTGAGCACAGGAGTTCGAGACCGGGCAACATGGCGAAACCCCATCTCTACTAAAACACAAAAATTAGCCGGGCATTATGGCGGGCATCTGTAATCCCAGCTATTGGGAGGCTGAGGCAGGAGGGTCACCTGAACCCGGGAGGCAGAGGTTGCAGTGAGCCGAGACTGCGCCACTGCACTCCAGCCTGGGTGACAAAGTGAGACTCTGTCTCAAAAAAAAAAAAATTAAAACAACCCCAAGTCCCATAAGATGTCTTGCACAATATTTAAAAAATAATATGTGAGCTATTTTAAGCAGGTATTTTATTTTATTATTGTTATTACTGTCTTTATCATTATTAATAATTATTAAACAAGTAACTGGAAAATGCCTGGTTAGAAATCTGAGGGCTGTGTCCAGAGAGGGAGAGAAAGCACCGCCGCATTTAGGTGAGACCAGTGATTTAGACACCACCTCCACCTGCTGGCAGCATTGCCAAACTACAGGTCCCAGTGTTAAGAGGCTGAAATAAAAGTTTGAGAAATGATCAGCTTTAAATTGTGAGGTGACAGCAAATGTCACGGGCAATAACTCATCAAATAGCTTCTCTCAACTTCTTGCGGGTCTTTTTTGGGCACAGACTGAAGTAGTTAGCATAAGCGTACTTCAGGATACATAACCGCTAGATTTTGGTTTGGTGAACTTTTTTTTTTTTTTTGGATACAGAGTCTCGCTCTGTCGTCCTGGCTGGAGTGCAGTGGCACCATCTCAGTTCACTGCAACCTCCGCCTCCCAGGTTCAAGCAATTCTCCTGCCTCAGCCTCCCGAGTAGCTGGGACTACAGGAGCCCACCACCACGCCCAGCTAATTTTTTGTATTTTAGGAGAGACGGGGTTTCACCGTGTTGCCCAGGCTGGTCTCAAACTCTTGAGCTCAGGAAATCCGCTCGACTCGGCCTCCCAAAGTGCTAGGATTAAAGGCGTGAGCCACCGCCTCTGGCCTGGTGAACTTCTTAAAGGAAGGCTGTGATTTCCGTGAATGATGCGGATAATTCTGCTTTGTCTGCGTGGTCTATTGATGGAGGTTGGGCAGCACAGAGCCCAGAGCCCAGCAACTCAAGCACCATAAGAAACAGCACACTGAAACGTGGCCACGGTTCACTTCATGCTTTTCTGATGCCATGAGCACTTTTATTACACCTAGATCAGGTCTGAATTCAACATAAAGTTTAAGGGTCTTGAGGTTAAAGTGCTTTAAAAATAAAAATCTGTCACCACGGAAAACATTGAAAGCCTGCTGTGAACCCTGGCGCTCCTTCTGGCGGGGTAGTTTGTGTATTTTCTTACTAAATGTGCTGAAGCCCTATTTGGCTTATCTGCTTGTTTGGAAAAATGTGTCTAGAGTTGGAACTGCCTTACTGGCTGATGAATTATTTTTCTAAATGGTTGGCTGGGCTTGGTGCCACATAGCCAGAAAGATATTCCTTGCATCCAATTTCCATTTCCCTGGTAAAGGACACTTTTCCTGTCTATCTTTGCCACAGAAAGCAATCTTTGTGTACATTTCCATTTGTCAATAAATAATTCAAAAGGCCTTAAGCTCTGTTTTTTTGACAACTAAACAATTTTCTTGAACTGTAAGCTGAAGTACCTGTAAGAGTGCTTTATAGGTGATAATTTCTCAAGTCAAAGCCACTGTTCTGCCTTACTGAAAAAGACTGCCGCAATGAAAGGGAGGCTTTTGGTCCGTATTAAAACTCTCCTAGAGAGACTAAGTAAGTGGGACAAAGTGCTTCCAGCACAAAACATTTCCACTGAGCCGAGTTCCGCCTTCACATACTGATGTCCTGACCAAGTTCTGTCCCGGCCTCTCGCCCTGTAATGGACCACGGGACGGTGCTTCAAGGTACCTTTCAGAAATGTTTTCAGCTCTCAAAATAAAGATTTACAGGAAATAATTCATGGGCCATGAATTAAGGCAGACTAACTAAAAATAGGCTTGATGCTATGAAACCTTATTTACCCAAATTATAATTAACAAGAGGGCTGTTACTTTTCCCAAGCTCTGTCTCTGAACAGCCTTGAATAAGGGGGTCAGGCTCCAGCAGAGCTTCAAGTCATAGGGTTTCTGGTTAAGGACCATACTTCCAAGCATCCAGCTAGTTTCTCTGAAAAAACAAATACCTGCTTTTCTAGGAAAACAGATCGGGTTTAAAGTTCCATTAGCCTGAAACTTAGCAAAGGAAAACATTACTTTCTTCCTGAAATATTTCAGAATGGAATAATTTGTAAAAGTATACATGACTAGAAGATGGAAAATTACACAAAACATCCTGAAAAAAATCTATGAATTAAACAACAGTTTATTGCTACTTAACTCAGATAAACTAAGTAAAAACAACAATAAAAGCCCTAAAATGAAAAATAAAGCAGGGTGGGGAGAGTTGTAATCAGATGACTTATCTCCACTCTTTGCTTTTATAATTGTATCTCCCAGGAGCTTTTTAATCTGATGCATTACATCAGAAAAATGAATTAATAGAAGCCAAAAGACTTGAGACATTTTATACCAAATATAACAATGACAAAAATGATTATCTAATTACTAATTCTGAAAAATTCCCATATTATACAGTTGAAGATAAGAAACATACATAACAAAAATGAGACAAGAATTGTAGAAGACAGAACCATGGGTAACTATATAACTCTTCTGAACCTTCATTTTTCCTCATATTTTCCTTAACTTTTAAAATTGAGTTTTTCTCCTCAGTATTTGAGCAAAAATTTTCTTGTTTAGAAACACTGGGTCAAAGTAAATATAACAAGTATTCACTTGGAGGCTGTCTGCTGTGATAAACTTTAAATCGCTAGAGATTTCTTTCCTTAAAAATGTATTACCACTTCTTATGTTATAATCTGTGCTAACTTTGGGAGGCCGAGGAGGGTGGATCATTTGAGGTTAGGAGTTTGAGATCAGCCTGACCAACATGGTGAAACCCTGTCTCTACTAAAAATACAAAAAAATTAGCCAAGTGTGGTGGCACATGCCTGTAATTCTGGCTACTTGGGAGGCTGAGACACAAGAATCGCTTGAACCCAGGAGGTGAAGGTTGCAGTGAGCTGAGATCATACCACTGCACTCCAGCCTGGGCAAGACAGCGAGACTCTGTCTCAAAAAGAAAGAAAGAAAGAAAGAAAATCTGTGTTAAAATGTCATTTTAACCATCAGAATTGTGCACTACCAGCTAGTGGTCAAAAACTAGCTGAAGGGCCAAGAGCAATGACTCACACCTGTAATCCCAGCACTTTAGTAGGCCAAGGCAGGAGGATCAACTGAGGCCAGGAGTTTGAGATCAGCCTGGGCAAAAATACAAAAATTAGCCAGGTGTGGTGGTGCGTCACTGTAGACCTAGCTACTTGGGAGGCTGAGGTGGGAGAATCACTTGAGTGCAGGGGTTCGACACTGTAGTGAGCCATGATCACACTGGTGCGCTCCAGCCTGCCCAACAGAACAAGACCTTGGTTCTAAACAAACAAACAAACTAAAAGGAAAGTAGATTTAAACAATGCACTTCCTTATGTAATTTTTTTTTTTTGAGACAGGGTCTCACACTGTCATCCAGGCTGGAGTACAGTGGTGCAATTATAGCTCACTGAGCCCTCTCAAGTAGCTGGGACTACAGGCATGCGCCACCACATGCAGCTAATTTTTCCCTTCCTACCTCCCTCCCTTCCTTCTGCTAATTTTTCTTTTTTCTCCTTCCTTCCTTCCCTTTCTCTTTCTCTTCCTTTCCTTTCTTCTTTCCTTCTTTCTCTTTCCGTCTCTCTCCCTTCCTTCCTTTCCTCCCTCCCTCCCTTTCCTCTCCTTCTTTCTGTCTCTTTTCCTTCCTTCCTTTCCTTCCTCCCTTCCTTCCTTTCTTCCCTTCCTCCCTCCCTTCCTCTCTCTCTCTTTTTGTCTTTCTTTCTGGTCCCACTATATTTTCCACACTCGTCTTGAACTCTTGAGCTAAAGTGATCCTCCCAACCTCAGCCTCCCAAAGTGCTAGGATTATAGCCATGAGCCACGGCATCCAGCCTGTACTTCCTTAAATAATTTCAACATGTAGGGAAGGTAGGAACATAAGAGGGTTAAAGATGGGGGAGGACCACAATGTAGTGAAAACCAGAGAGAGAAACAGGAAAGTGAATACTGATCCCTGATACCCCTAAAACTCAGTCCTAGGCAGTGGTCCACCAATCACTGGCAGCTACCTTCCTTGCACAGGATAATGCCTTTACAGCCCAGAAAAGCTTCTGCAAAAGATGTTATTTCAAATCTGAAATACATACCCCCCCCACCACATAATGCCTGTGTATATTTATGCCTGCAGATGTATCTATACTATCTACATACCTATCTTATAGTAGACATTATATACTTATTTAAAATGGGGTTGTTGTTGGGCCAGGTGTGATGGCTCACTCCTGTAATCCCAACACTTTGGGAAGCTGAGGCAGGAGGATCGCTTGAGCCCAGGAGTTTAAGACTAGCTTGGCAAAATAGCGAGACCCTGTCTCAAAAAAAAAAAAAGAAAGAAAAAAAAAACCAAAACGGGGTTGTTGTAACATTGGGGGATTTAAAAAAAAAAGAAAAGAAAAAATGTAAAATGGGGAAGAAGTAGAAATGCCAGGGAAAATCTACATAATTAATTACATCACTTCAGTCTTACTTTCCTTCTAACTGAAGAATGCATTGCAAACTACTATAAGGTATTATTCCTAGAATATCATGATGATAGCCACAATTATAATGCAGTAAAATGATGAGTAAAAAGAACACAGAGGAGCATTTTGATAAATATGTGGTCCCAGTCTGCAGTAGAGATTGTAAAAAATTAAAAAACATAACTTTCCTCATTTTGCTTCATAAACACTTCGCAAGTGGTTTAGGTAATACAAAAGACAAAGAGTTACCACGGCACTGAAAAGAAATAATTAAATCAACCAACCTGGCAAATTCTTTTTTCTTTTTTCTTTTTTTTTTTTTCTGAGAAGGAGTTTCGCTCTTGTTGCCCAGGCTGGAGTGCAACGGCGCGATCTCGGCTCACCGCAACCTCTGCCTCCCAGGTTCAAGCAATTGTCCTGCCTCAGCCTCCCGAGTAGCTGGGATTACAGGCATGCACCACCATGCCCAGCTAATTTTGTATTTTTAGTAGTGACGGGGTTTCTCCATGTTGAGGCTGGTCTTGAACTCCTGACCTCATGTGATCCGCCCGCCTCAGCCTCACAAAGTGCTGGGATTACAGGCGTGAGCCACCGTGCCCGTCCTAACCTGGCAAATTCTTAACAATGTTCCATAATACTGGCACAATCTCCACTGGTTTTATAAGACAAGATGCCTAAATTGTTTGGAGGCTTAGATTTTTTTTTGGAAAAAAAAAATGACGTTACAGGGTTTTTTTTTTTTTCATTAAAGAAACTGTTCATTTAAGGAAATAAAGTGTATTTCCTCTCTGAAAGTGTAATAGTTCACTGAACACTTTAGTCTGGTAGCATACAGGTGACATGCGGCTGCTGGTAAGAATGAGCTCACACCAATAAAACTACAAGGGCACCATATCCAGGTAAACCCCAGTTAAAAGAACAGAGTAAAATGTTTGAGGAACTTAGTCAAGTTCACGTAAGTAAAATGTTGGACTTGAACTCTGGCAAGGCTACACTGAGAAGATCTGACAGCGTTAACAGCAAATATTTATTGACAGCTTACTACTCACAATTTTCATGTTTTCTTTCAAGAAACCTAGGAGGTAGATACTACTATTTTGCATGTTATGAAAATTGCTCATTGCCATCCAATATCTCTTCTCCTCTTTTTCCTTGTAATAGAACCCTGATCTCATTAGCGGCTGCAATGCAACCAGCTAAGACTACAACTCCCAAACTCCCTTGCAGCTTGATGTGTCCATGAGATTGTCTTAGCCATGAGACACACAGAGGAGGGTCGTGTGGAACTTTCAGGAAGGCTGTTTAAAGGGAGCTGACTCACAGCTGGAACACATGCCCTTTTGCTTCCACGCCTCCCCTTTCTCATCCAAGATGATGCTTGGTGCTCTAGCCATCACTTCCTGGCCTGCAGGGCCGGAGCTCCATGCTGGACAATCAACCGATCAGCCCTCCATTACTCACCTTGAAACTTTTTATATGAGAGAATAAACCTCTGCAGGTGTAAGCCACCCCTACATGCAGCCGAACCTGATCCTGATACACACAATTATATAGATGGGAAAAACATCAAGGTTAGAGAGGTTAAGTAATATGTTCAAAGTAACCCAGCAAGAAAGGAGCAAGGAGCAGAGTAGCCCAGGTCTGTTGACTCCATGGCCCACGCTCTCCACGAAGCTCCACAAAGGCAGCACCTTTGTCTGCTGTGCTTACTGACGTGTCTCTAGCACTAGCACAGTGCCTGGCACATCGCAGGTACACAACAGATCTCTCTTAAATACATGAATGACTTTGTTATACAGCCTCATTAGTATTTCAGATAGGAGTTTAAACACAGCCTCCATCACACTACATTCTTTCAGAAATTTAAACACATAGGAGAAAATGCATTATTTTGTCAATAAAACTAGGACATCAGTGAAATAAACATGGAAGACGGTATCTAATTGTAAAGCACTAAAATAGATTAAATCACATCAATTCTTGAAAAACAGTAAATAAACTATTTCTTACCGATAGTTACATCTCCTCTGATTTCACTTTCTACACATACAACTGCTCCAGGAGCAATCTTCACACTGTAGCAAGAAAAAGGTAACATTTACCAGGGGTAAGATTAAACATACTGTTGGAGGAGCTACCGTGACATTGTAATGAAAACAAGGTTTAAAAAATGATGGAAAAAAAGGCCAGGCGCAGTGGCTCACGCCTGTAATCCTAGCACTTTGGGAGGCCGAGGTGGGGGGATCACCTGAGGTCAGGAGTTCGACACCAGCCTTACCAACATGAAGAAACCCCATCTCTACTAAAAATACAAAACTAGCCAGGCGTGGTGGCGAGCACCTGTAATCCCAGCTACTTGGGAGGCTGAGGCAGGAGAATCACTTGAACTCGGGAGACAGAGTTTGCAGTGAGCCGAGATCGCGCCATTGCACTCAAGCATGGGCAACAAGAGTGAAACTCTGTCTCAGGAAAAAAAAAAAAAAAAAGATGGAAAAATGGAAAGTCAATGGTAAGAGGGTAAGGTTTTAATACATTATAAATTTTTCAATTGGTATATTGTCCATCATCCCAAATCACATGTGCTAAAACACTTGAGAAGAGTTTTGAATCTTTTCTTTTAATAGCAGCACGTTTCTAAACAACAAAAAGCTGAAAACAACCTAGATATTCATCAGTGGAAGATTAGTTAATAAATTATGGCACATTATGGACTATTACATGGCCATCAAAAAGAATGAATAATCTCTTGTCAAGATTTTGGAATGGCTGAGCACAGTGGCTCACACCTGTAATCCCAGCACTCTGGGAGGCCAAGGAAGGAGAACTGCTTAAGCCCAGGAATTCAAGACCAGCCTGGGCAACATAGTGAGACCTCATCTTTTTTTTTTGAGACAGAGTTTCACTCTTGTTGCCCAGGCTGGAGTGCAATGGCACCATCTCGGCTCACTGCAACCTCTGCCTCCCAGGTTCAAGCAACTCTCCTGCCTCAGCCTCCCTAGTAGCTGGGATTACAGGCATGTGCCACCACACCTGGCTAATTTTGTATTTTTAGT